>NC_000006.12:115979880-116282911 GCF_000001405.40 Homo sapiens
CTAGGTTTGTGTGAGTACACTTGGTAATGTCCACACAATGGACTCACCTAATGGCACATTTCTCAGAACATATCCTGGTTGTTAAGTCATGCATGACTATATTTCTGATATTAAAATGAGAGAGAAATTTCTCACATTATGTCCTCATAAGGAAAACACAGAAAATACAATGAGCAATATCATCATTAACATTCTTAATAGTAAATACACTAATATATTGCAAAGAACTGACTCTTATAATGTCCATTAAGACGGACCAGTTACCAACAGGGAATTCAATAAAGGTATTTGTATGGGAAACTACAACAACACAGTTCACCACCCAGAAGAGGAAAAGCAATTTGCAAAGAATGTTCACTAGAGCATTTTTCTAGGATTAAATGACTGTTAAATTGTAGCAAATCTGAAAATTCAGAGTCGTTTTTAAAAATTATGTAATTGTAAAAATTATCTAGCAGCAAGAAAAATATGTAAAATGTATTAAGTGAAATGGTAGGATACAAAATTAAGAGAATATCATACGGAAACATGAGGATACATCTGGCAGCTCACGTGTCCTAGAGCCCTGTACTACTAAAGGAATCCAGCTGAGGTTCCTTGTGGAAACCATAATTGTATATGGGCAAAGATGATTAAATTTGCCAACATGAAAATAATTGTGTTAGATTGGCAGATTTGTGGATGTTTTACTCCCTCTGCTTTCCAAACCAACTGTAATAAAGTTATACTGCCTTTAAAATAAAAACATACACATAATGCTTCCAGCTTTTTTAGAAAAGCAGTATGAGAATTAACAACTTAAAGACAATGTCTGCACATTTTGCTGAAGACACTGTCTGGTATGATACTTGATATTCTTTCCATAAAGAACTCATGAACTCATTTCTCTTTGAACTTAATGCTTAAAATTATAATGTGTCTCCTCTTATACATAAGCCAGTGAGAAGCACAATGTGTTTCCCTTTTTGCCTTACCTGCCAGAGAACCCCTGGCTAAACTGATTTCTAAACTGTGATAATTATCTTCTGTTAGAGACTCAGCATGATCTATATCTCTGTTCTTTTTCATTGATTTTGTCTTTTTTATGTTTAGCTATATTTTATATTATGTTTCAGCATTATATGCTGACTTAAAACCTTTTGGAGATATATGGAAATACATGCACAAATGAAAAGATAATCAAATGACACGGCACACTTACTAAACATAAGAAAGAATTACTAAAGAACTGAACTGCCCAACAATAAAATAGGCTGATTCTCCAGGATTTTTGTTTATGGGAGCTTTGAAGCTTCGAATTATGAGAGATTCCTCAGCAAAGACAATACAGTAGTAGACTAGACATTCTTCACAACTTCTCTTATTCTATTAATGAAAAAGAAATGGAGAAAAGAGAATATGATATGTGAACTATCAGAAATTTTAAAGATGGTTTAATTTTTTTTCTTTTACTGATGAGAAAAACAAAATCTAGAGGTCTGAAGTACACCGTTAGTTGTTTTCAGAGCTGGAATCTAAGTCTAGCCATATGAGTGATAGTAGAAACAATAGAAACATTTAACCACTAATTTCCTATTTCTTGATCAAAGAAAAAAAGGTAAGAACTTATTATTTTCTCAGTAGGATGTTATATGTTCCAAAGCTTTCTGAGGGAAATCTTTCCCTTCTCTCTCAAAACTCTCCTAAAACTCTCAAAAAGCCTTCCCCATAATGAGGGAAAATCTCAGGACTCAATTCCTCTTCTCTTTTTCCCCACCCAATTTCAGCAATTAGTAGACATGTTGAACAGGGTAAACATGAAAGTCATACAGAAAGGTAACAAACGGTAATTAAAATACCTTGAAATCAATTTTTATCTCCTTTGGAAATACAAAGGAGTATTTTTTGTATTAGCTAATTTATTTTCATAGCAGATTACTGTATTTCATTTTTTCACCTTGTTTCTACATATGCAAGAAAACTATTGGTAATTTGATAATTATTAATTCTCATTTCTACAAGCAGATAGCTCTATTTCTTGGAAATTTCATCATATTTAATGAGGACCCATGCTGTTTATTTCAAACAAGGATTAGACAAAGGTTACTGTGATGGTTACTTTTATGTGTCAAATTGACTGAGCTAAGAAATGCCTTGATAGCTAGTAAAGTGTTATTTCTGGGAGTATCTGTGAAGATGTCTCCAGAAGAGATTAGCATTTGAATTAGTAAAGAAGATCTTCCCTCATCAATGTGGGCCAGCATCCTACAATCCACTGAGGCCCTGAATAGAACAAAAAAGGTAGGATGGGCAACTTCACTCTCTCTCCTGGATGTCCATCTTTTCCTGCACTTGTACATCACAGCTCCTGGTTCTCAAGCCTTTGAGTTCTAAGACTCATACCATTAGCTCTCCCACTTCTCAGGCCTTCAGAGGCCTCTGACTGAATAATTATACCATTGCCAGCCTTTCTGGGTTTCTACTTTGTAGATGGCAGATCATGGGACCTCTCAGCCTCCACAATTTTGTGAGCCAATTCCCATAATAAATTTCCACATATATATACTTTACTAGTTCTGTTTCTCTAGAGAATCCTGACTAATACAATTAAAGAGGGTAGACTATGTTTACTTTTATTTGTCATTGTTTGGTGCAAATGTAGGTCAGGTAACATACAAGTAAACACTTCACATAAAGACAAACCACCCCTTAGTTACAGCCTGCACTTTGAAGGCTGGCTAATCATCTTCCTAATGACCCTTACTCATTCAGGAGTGAACCAGGTGAACAACTGTGAATTACTCAGTCCTATCCATCACTATTCCTAGAAAAACAGCTCAAAGTACACATTCCAATGAAAGATGGGCCAACAGCTCCATCTTTCAGTGCAAAACATAGCATTCTTTATGAGTAATAATAAAAGCTATAGAGGCTTGGTGGGGTGGTTCATGCCTGTAATCGCAGCACTTTGGGAGGCTGAAGCGGGTGGATCACTTGAGGTTAGGAGTTTGAGACCAGCCTAGCCAATATGGTGAAAACCCATCTCTACTAAAAATACAAAATTTAGCCAGGCATGGTGGCACACACCTCTAATCCCAGCTACTAGGGAGGCTGAGGCACAAGAATTGCTTGAACATGGGAGGACAAGGTTGCAGTGAGCCAGGATTGCACCACTGCACTCCAGCCTGGGCAATAGAGTGAGACTCTATCTCAAAAAAAAAAAAAAATCTGTTGAATTTGTATTGAGCACCTGACCTAAGCAAGCACTGTGCTAAGTGCTTTTTTATGTAATATTTTGTCTAATCCTCATAACAACCTGATGGGGTTTACAGTGGAGAAAACTAGTTTATGAAGAGATCAAGTAATTTGTCCCAGGATACAGAGCAAATATCTATGAGTGCTATGGTTCAAAACCAGGTAGTGAGATTCTGAAGCCCACACTCTTAATCCCTACATATCTCCCTCTATTGTCAACCAGCAAGCACTTTTAGGCAGCTATCACAAGGCACTGCTCACAGCTCCAAAAGCAAGTAACCTTGGAGCTACTGTTTAACAAGATGATAATGCTTTGGATAAAGTCTATTCTATGACTGACACCTCTTAAAGGGAAATACTAGGTTGCGCATTACCTTCTTACAGTATTTTTCTCCATCTAATACCATGACTCTATTTTCCTCAGTCTTACAGATACAAACCAAAATTTCAATTCACATTATCTTATTCCCCAAGTGTCCTCCCCATCTTGACTCCTCTCTCTCAATGAATGGCACTGCTATTCTGAAACCCAGACATGAAAGCTGGATTCCTCTCTTCCTGCCTTCTTAATTCTGGCTGGGCATTATACGCTATCAATTTGTCCTCTGCACTGCCACCACCTTGCTGTTTCTCTGCCTAGAGTGTTTCAGTAGCTCATAGTCTGTTTTCCATGTCTCCAGCCTCACTGTCCATCTTCCAGTCACCAACATCATCTTTCTAAAATGCAAATCTGACCTTGTTACTGTCCCCTTTAAAGCTCTTCAAGTGTTTCCCTACTGCCTAAAGTTCAGACCCCATAACAGAATTCTCCACTGCATCTTATCCTCAAGGTTTAAATGCTTATTTATTGCTCCCTGAATGTACTATGGTGTTTTCTATCTCTGTGCATTTTCACAAACTGTTAAGGTAGAATATCATTCTATTTACATATTACAGGGTAATTCATTTTTCAAGGCCCAGCTCAGGCATCTCCTCCTTTATGAAACCGCCCAGTGTAAGCGAGCAGAGTAGCTCACTTCGTCCTTAGCATCCACTGTGTATCTACCTCTGTTATTGAATTCATTCCACATCATTGCTTATATATTTACCCTGTACTTCTCCTACTGGACTTTGAGCCCTTTGATTGTAGAGACCATGTCTTCTTTATTATCCTAGTACTTAGCACGAAATTTTCAAATCAGCATTATCATTATCATCATCATCATGACTAACACTTATTGAGCTCTTATTGTATGTCAAACATGGTGCCAAGACCTTCACACACATTATCTCAGTGAATTCTCACATCAGTCCTGATATGGGAAAGTGAAGCTGAGATGGCTTAAACAGTCTGTTCAAGACCACTCAACTATTAAGTGATGGAGCTGAGACTGAAATCCAAATAGTTTGATGTCTGTGCTCTGCAACCTATTGGCTCAATAAGAGTTCTCAGCACATGTTTGATGGATATGTAGATAAACAAATGGATGCACTAATAATGAATCTACAGAAGTAAGTCCCAAGCAGAACATGGCCTGTTCCATGAGTTTTGATGTTTATTCCTCTTGTTTTTTGTTTTGTTTCTTTTTTTCCTGAAATCTCAGTTGAAATATCCTATACCTGTTTCCCTCTGCCATTCACACAAAGTCTAAGGGGAGATTAAAAAAAAAAAAAAAACTCCAATAGCTTCTGAATTAGACTTTGAATCACATGATCAGTATCCACTTCTGTTGTGAACTTTTGAAACAAATTTGTTTCGATGTGCCGATTTGGTGATAATTTAGAGATCTTCATTTGGAGATCTTAATTTAGAGAGCTCATGGAGCATTTTTCTATCACAATTCAAGAAAGCTTCAATAAGCACATCCTTGTGGGTGGAATACCATCTGACAATTACAATGACATCATCCTGAGCCTTGTACTTGAAAGGCAGCATGGTGGGGAAGAGCCTGAGCATGGTCTCACAGAGAGCTGGATTGGAAATGAGATCTGCTACTTACATGCAAATCAATTAATTCATCTTCTCTAAGCCTCAGTTTCCTCACTGTAAAGCCAAAAAGAACACTCCCTGCAGGATCATGGTGAAGATTATAATAAATACACCTAAATCAGGGTGAGCGTTCCATGCATAGTAACTACTATTACTTGTTTCCAAAACCCCACACAAATAGCATCACTAAGCCCGGCCCTTTCATGAGCTCTCTTTGGGTGGTTACTTTTCCTTTCAGGGACTAAGATATAAGACAAGGATAGAGACAGCGGTGAGGGCAAAACACTGCAACTACAATTTTTAGTAATGTGTTTAAATATTTAAATGCTACAATGTTTATTTTTAAAAGGAATGATGAATGAGATCTCAATCTTATATTTCTGTACTAGAGTTTGCAAAGAATTTTCACATATTCTTTTTTATTGTACAATGGGGTGGATGTCCACATAAGTTCTGAGTCAGATAGCCTGGCTATAAACCTCAGATTCTTTACTTTCTAGCTGTGTGACCTTGGACAGCTACTCCATGACGCAGTTACTTCCACTGTAAATTGGTGGTAATAATAGTACCTACTTCAAATAAATATGCTAAAACATGTAGAAATGTTCAGGACAGTGTCTAGCACAAGGGAAGCACTCTGTAGATATTATTCTCATCAACCAATAACGTAGACAGGACTGATGCTACAACTATTTTATAGATGATGAAACTGAGGCTCACGCAGTGGATGCCCAGAGCTTCTGTTCCAATCTGGAGTGATTTTGAGATAAAGAAAAAAGATAAAGAGGAAAGTATCAATACTTTCTCCCAACAAGCAGCAAAATCATTATGATTAGAATGCTGAGTGCTTATATTATACATATATTTTATAGTAGACAACTTTTCAATACAGTGATGTTGCCTTTTGGTTGGGGGGGAACAGTTATTTGAGGCTATTTTTATACCATTAATATGTGTACAAATTTATGTCTGGGACTATTTATGTGAAACATGGGGTTAATTATTCATTCTCTCCTAGCCTTTGCCATGACTCTCAATTAGATGCAACATTCTTCTCCATCCCACTTACTCAGGATGTGGCCAAATGACTTGCTTTGGTGAATTGAGTAGGGGCAACCATGACAAACAGCTGTCTTCACAGAAGCTTTAAATAATTTGGTTTGCTTCTTCTTAGTCTTCTGCTCTCCGCCATGAGAAACCCATGACTCACATAGCAGCAGCTCCTTTAGC
Organism: Homo sapiens; assembly: GCF_000001405.40. Classification (NCBI taxonomy): domain Eukaryota; kingdom Metazoa; phylum Chordata; class Mammalia; order Primates; family Hominidae; genus Homo; species Homo sapiens. The sequence continues at coordinate 115,986,314 of NC_000006.12, forward strand.
CTGAGTTCCAGAATGAAAGGTACATGGAGATTACCCTAGGCCTGTCTACCTTAGACAGAGCCCAGTCGAGCCATGACCAAACCAGCAGCCATTATATAGCTTGATTAAACCACTGAGATTTATGGGTAAAAGTGATTAATACAGGACATTTCAAAGAAAGCACTGTGACTTCTGTATAATGTTTAAAAAATATCAACAGATCCTGTTTTAGAGCTATCTGCTCACATCTAGTCATGTTAGCACGGATGAGTAACACTCTATCTAGCCTTTAATTCCTTCAGTTATGAAAACAGTGTTTTAAAGAGGTGATCTCTTCAGTTCAAGTTCTCTACTTCTAAGATTCTAGCAAGAAGGTTTACAGAAATAAAGTTATCATAACATTCAAACGTGGTGGAGAAAAATTATGATCTCTACTTTCTGAAAGAGAAAACTGAACCACAAACATTTAGATGAAATCTGAAAATTCTAGAGACTCATTATTGTGACAAGGCACATCCAGGGAAATGTGGTGGGTTATACATCGAGTAATGTGTGTTGACACTGGGATTCTGCTCTGTGGGCATCCCTTCTACCCCTGATAGCAGCTCCATTAATTTGCCTAATTCTTATTTTTTTGCAAACTAAATTATCCAAACAAACAAAACAAAATGCTGAAGCTACATCACAAATTCCGGAGAGAAAAGAACAAACCCAGTACCTTCTTTCTTCCTTCCCACAGGCAATTATAATAGCATCTCAATCTCTTCATAGGCCATGGATGCCAAGCTACAATCATGGGACAAGCTCTATGAAGGTTCTTTATTGCTCAGGCTTGAGTGCTAATGACAATAGCAAATACTGATTTTGCTCGCTATGTGCCAGGCTATGTTCTAAGCAGTTTTCATGCATTAACTCATTTAATCCAAACACCACCACCAAGAGGTAGGTACTATGTTTTATCTCCATTTTACTGAAAAGGAAGCTGAGGCATGGAGAGGCTAAGTGACTTGCCTAAAGCCACAGTTCTAGTAATAGAAAGAACCCAAACCCAAGCACCCTGGCTGCAGAGTTCGTTATCATAAACTGCAATACTCTTAATGGGAGAACCCATTTGGAGCTCTGATGACCTTATCCTTCCAATCAAGATAATCTTAGCATAAAATTCTGCTTTCAGATTTCTTACAAATTGAAGACATAAGAAAGCAATCCTCATTTCTACTCTAACTCGTTATTATTATACACATAAAATTAAGTGTTTTCCTTTATTTTGACCATTTGCTTATCTTATAAAAACCAGAGTAACACAACAAATTAATATCTTTCCTATACGGGTGTCTCTTTTCATTTAGTTGGCATTACCCCTCTACTGCCAATTAGAACATATGCTTCACAATGCAGGAACTGTATCGCTTGCCATTTAGTCCAGCCCTCTGAATACTTACTGGCACTTAGTAGGCATTAAATAAATATTTGATGAATGAATGGATGGGTTTGTAAATGAATCACAAGTTCTTTAAGGCATGGATCATCTCTTTGTTCGGGACTATACATACAACAGATATATAGAAAGTGCTGTTCACTATAATTATGTAAAAATGAAAGTATAATTTTTGCTTATTTTTCCTTCTTTTATGCTTGTGCTTCCTACTTACTTTACTTTTCACAAAACCTTTTTTACAAACATCTGCAGGTGGTAAAGAGATAGCTCTGCAGAGAGAGGGGATTGAAAGAAAGTCCCTGCTCTGCTGAAACAAATAGGAAAATAAAATTCCAGCAATGCATAGGCTTTTAAGACAACAAAATAGTTTCTCAGATTGCAGTTTCTGTGCCAAATTTTCTAATAATATAATGCAAGGCATGTTTCTAAAATGCATTATAAATGACTTCATGATTGACAGGATGCTGATAAATAGTTATAAAGCAGCTAATGTGCATATATCATTTTAGATACATGGTTTAAAATTAGAAACAATAACTTATTAAATTGGATTGTGTTTATTTCATTCATTTTTATATCATGAACACATTTTGTGTAACTATCACCATATAAAAACTAGGTGCCTAAACCATTAAGAAAAATTAAGCTTTGGTCAATTTTTTGACGTTCATAAAGCAAAACTGCTACTGTATGGAAGTGGTTTCATATAGCATAAATTACTAAAAATGCTTTTAAATTGTACATTTGTTTTCAACTAAAATCAGATATTCTTCTTTTTATGAATTAATGGGTCATGAAAACTAAAAACAAACAAAGTTAACAAAAACCTTCTATGTTTTGTCTACATGATGGCGTGTTACTTCTGACATGCCACAAGAAGGAGCACATGTTTGAGTGAAAGCCCTCCAGTGGCCCACAGATGTAAATTAAGAGTATGGAGGGAAGAGTTGAGTAGCACTCAACATCATAGTGTCCTGTTTGTATACGCGATACACTACTTGGACTTCATTTCACATTATTTTTTCAATAACATATTTTTGTCACTTGGAATAACAAAAGTAAATTTCTTACATATCTTATTTGATTTAAGAATCAGGCAGCCTTAAGATTCAAACATTTATTTAGTTGTTATTTACCTGAAATACAAACTGAACTTAATTTCTCAAGCCCAGTGAAAAGAAAGAGGAACTGGATGCCCTCTTTCTGACTGACTTTCATCACCAGGGCCAAAGAGCTTTAATTTCCTGTTCAATCCAAAACCCGCACCAGGTCTTCTCAAATGTTTGAGATCATTTTTTTTCAATTTGAGATCATTATGTCTACATGATATCTCGGTCTGAGAAGCAGAGAGACCAGTCAATCTCAGTTCTGGCACTTTCTAGCTATCCAAAAATATTATCCATATTGGATTTATCATGGCCAAATTGATAATATATACAATCCAGTAGCTTTGTTAGTTATTCAAGCATAATGGTGGTAATAGACTAACAATTTACAGATCTTTTTATTTGCTAAATGGTTCAAAAGTGCATCACAGAAAACAATTTCCAATTCTTTTATTTATCTATTTTATTTTAGATTCAGGGGGTACATATGCAGGTTTGTTATATTAATATATTGCATAATGGTGAAGTTTGGGCTCCTAGTGAACCCATCACCCAAATAGTAAGCTTTGTACCTAAATAGATACATTTTTAAACTCTCACTCCCTTCCCATCCTACCCCTTTGTTGAGTCCCCAGTGTCTATTATTTCCATTTTTATGTTCATGTACCCATGGTTTAACTTCCACTTGTAAGTGAGAACATGTGATAATTGGTTTTCTGTTTTTGAGTTATTTCACTAAGGATAATGCCCTCCAGTTCCATCCATGTTGCTGCAGAGAACATGATTTCATTCTTTCTTAGTATAGTATTCCATGGAAAATACATACCACATTTTCTTTATTCAACCATTGATTGACACTTATGTTGATACCACATGACCTTGCTATTGTGCATACTGCTGCAAATAAACATACAGGTGCAGGTGTCTTTTTGGGATAACCATTTCTTTCACTTTGTGTAAATACCCAGTAGTGGGATTGCTCAGTCAAATAGTAGGTCTATTTTCAGTTCTTTGAGAAATGTCCACACTGTTTTCCATAGGAGTTATACTAATTTACATTCCCACTACCAGTGCACAAGCATTCCCTTTTCTCCACATCCTCACCAATATCTGTTATTTCTTGATGTTTTAATAGTAGCCATTCTGAATGGTGTAGGATGGTATCTCATTATGGTTTTAATTTTCACTTCTCTGAGGATTAGCAACGTTGAGTATTTCATGTTTGTTGGTTGCTTCTGTGTCTTTTGAGGAATGTCTGTTCCTGTCCTCAACTTACTTTTTAATGGAGTTGTTATTTTCTTGTTGATTGGTTTGAGTTCTTTATAGACTCTGGACATTACTCCTTTGCTGAATGCATAATTTGTAAATATTTTCTCCCATTCTGTAGGCTGCCTGTTTACTCTGTTGATTGTTTCTTTTGCTGTGCAGAAGCTCTTTAGTTTAATTAAGTCCCACTTGTCTATTTTTGTTTGTGTTGCATTTCCTTTTGAGATCTTAATAATAAATTATTTGCCTAGGTCAATGTCTGAAAGATATTTTCCTAGGTTTTCCTATAGGACTTTTATAGGTTCAAGCATCACATTTAAGTCTTTAATCCATCTTGGGTTAATTTTTGTATTTAGAGAGAGGGGTCCAGTTTCATTCTTCTGCATACGGCTACACAATTTTCCCAGCACAATATATTGCATAGGGTGTCCTTTCGTTATTGTTGAATTTGTCAACTTTTGTTGAAGATCAGTTGGTTTTGGCTATGTGGCTTTATTCTTGGGTTATCTATTCTGTTCTATTGATCCGTATGCCTACTTTTGTACCATTACCATTCTGTTGTACTTATTATAGCCTTGTAATGTAGCATGAAGTTGGGTAATGTGATGCCTCCAACTTTGTTCCTTTTGCTTAGGATTGCTTTGGCTATTTGTGCTCTTTTTTGGTGCCATGTGAATTTTAGAATTTTTTTTCTAATTCTGTGAAATATGACATTGGTAATTTGATAGAAACTGCATTGAATTTGTAGATTGCCTTGGGCAGTATAGTCATTTTAATGATATTATTCTTCCTATCCATGAGCATGGGATGTTTTTCCATTTGTTTGTGTCATCTACAGTTTCTTTCATCAGTGTTTTATAGTTGTCCTTGTAGAGGTCTTTCACCATCTTGGCTAAATGCATTCCTAGGTATTTTACCTTTGTTGTGGCTATTGCAAATAAGACTGAGTTCTTGATTGGTTCTCAGGTTGACTGCTGTTTGTGTATAAAGATGCAACTAATTTTTATATGTTAATTTTGTATCTGGAAACTTTACTGAAGTTATTTATCAAGTCTAGGAGTCTTTTGGAGAAATCTTTCAGGTTTTCTAGGTGTAAGATCACGTCATCGGTGAAGACAGACAATTTGAAATCCACTTTTCCAATTTAAATGACTTTTATTTCTTTTTCTTGTCTGATTGCTCTGGCTACAATTTCCAGTACTATATTGAATAGGAGTGGTGAGAGTGGACATCCTTGTTTTGTTCCAGTTCTTAGAAAGAATGCTTTCAACTTTTTCCCATTCAGTATGATGTTGGCTGTGGGTTTATCATCTAAGGCTCTTATTATTTTGAGTTATGTTCCTTTGATGCATAGTTTGTTCAGTTTTTATTATGAAGGGATGTTGGATTTTATTGAATGTTTTTGCTTCATCTATTGAGATGGTTGCATAATTTTTGTTTTTAATTCTGTTTATGTGGTGAGTTACATTGATCAATTTGCATATGTTGAATCATCCTCCATTTATTCCTGAAATAAAACCCACTTGATCATGATGAATTATCTTTTTGGTATACTGTTGAATTCAGTTTGCTAGTATTTTGTTGAGGATTTTTGTATCCATGTTCATCAGGGATATTAGCCTACAGTATTATTTTTTTGTTATCCTTGCCAGATTTTTGTATCAGGATGATAATGATTTTGTAGAATGAGTTAGAGAGGAATCCCTCCTCCTCAATTTTTTTGAATAGCTGCAGTAAGATTGATGCTAGCTCTTCTTTGTATGTCTAGTATAACTTAGCTGTGAATCTGTCTGGTCCTGGGATTTTTGTTGTTGGTGGTAGATTTTTTTATTACTGATTCAGTTTCAGTATTCATTATTGGTCTATTTTGGGAATTTTATTTCCCAAAAATTTTATTTCCCAGTCATAATGTCACTTTATCATTTCTGACTGTGCTTCTTTGAATCTTCTCTCTCTCTTTTTGTTTCTTTCTTTTAGTTAACCTAGCTAATAGTCTATTTTGTTTATCCTTTCAAAGAAATAACTTTTTCATTTCATTCATCCTTTGCTCTTTCAAAGTAAGAAAGGTTCTTAATAATAAACATTGTCTTAACAGAAAAACAAATTCTGTGCCACTATTTTCCATTTGCTTTTACTCTCTACTAAGCATAATGGTGTTTGTTGTCTCATCTCCTGTAATGCCCTCCCTTATAAATCCCTTCAAAAGAAGTAATTGCTCTCTTTTCTGGGTCTTAAATCACTTTGCATATAACTTGATTATTATGCTTGTCATAGTGTGACCTATTTATTTGCTTACATAATTATGTCACATAGTAAACACAAATGAAAGTGCTATGATAAATGAGTAAATGTATGAATCAATGATTAAATGAATGGTTAAAAATAGTTCAAAGTGTTTCTCCAAATAGTTTTGAAAATTTCTTTTCTATATAAAGACAAATTGAGGCCAGGAAAAAAAACAGTACCATTCTTATTAAAACAATTCAACCTTTATAAGAAAACAGTTATAAAGAAAACACTTCAACATGCAAAACACCATGCTATGTCTTGAGTACCTTGCTCAAAGAAAGTAAAGAGAAAGGTTTAGAAGATGGGAAGTGCAAGTCTTAATCGTGCAATAGCTTATGTCATAGCATAGCATAGTTTAACTTAAAGTAATACAAACGATTAGACAAGAAATGGCTTTTAGCAAGGCTATGAAGGGCTTAAATGTCAAGGTAAATAGGAATGTATGAGGTTTGTAAAGGAGAGCTATTGAAGGCTTTTGACTCTTCTAAATAAAAGAGAATGAGATACAATACCAAAGCAATGCATAAACTTCTATCTATTATATCAAAAAGCAAATAAATAGAGAACCAGAAAGGACATTGGGAGAGATTCGAGTATGAACTCTAATAAATAATATTGTTGTATCCATCTGAAATTTTCTAGGTTTAATAATGGAAATGTAATAATGTAGGAGAGTGTCCTTATTCATAAGACATAAATACTAATGCTAAAATTTTTAAAGTTGAGGTGACATGATATCTACAACCTATACACGGATGTATGTAGATATACAAATAAAGGCGAGAGAGAGGGAGAAAGTAAATGTCACAAGGTGTTAACATTTAGTAATTTTAGGTGGAAGTATGCAGTTATCAACTTTATCAACAGTCAGGCAAAATGTATACTTATCAACTTTTTAAATAAGTTATGAGAAAAATAAGAAAGATTTTATATGTTTTTATTGAGTTTTGATACGTAATGCTGTGAAGAATTCTGAAGCCAACTCAATTCTCATTCTTTTGTGATTAACTTATTTTTTCCCTGGATGTTCACAGAATTTTTTTCATTTTTCCTTGATATTATAATATCTTGAAAAGATGCCCTAGGTATAAATGTTTTCACTTATTTTGCTTGAAACACTGTATTTTCAATCTGCCAACACGAATTTAAACATTAATATAAAAGAGGGCTTGGCCTGACTTCACCACTACACAATATATTCATATAACAAAACTATACTTATACCCCATAAATTTATACAAATAAAAAAATTAAGGGCAAATGTAAGCATGCTTTCTTGAAAAATAAAAAAGAACTGAGGAAAGCTTTCTTATGCTACATATTTAACTATTGCTTGCATTTAATTATTCTAATAAATTTCAAAGAAATGTCTCCTCTTTGTGCATCATCTGTCCTCACAAACTTTAATCTATTATTCTTTCTCCCCAAAGAGCATCTCAAGTATGCTCTTTATATCACTAAGTGATATCTCTCATCAATTGCCTTTTCATGCTGCTTTTTATGCTTAATTTCATAGAATTTGTGCTTTCTTGTATTCTGAGATTTCAAATCAAATGATTTCAAAATTTATCTACTGTTCCTTTCAGTGAATTATGTCTCAAATGTAGGAGTTTTCTATCTTCACGTTATTGTCATCTCTTATAGTATTCTTTTTCCCAAACCATGTTTTATAGAAAACTTAATGGTTCTATGACCAAGTAGTTTGAGATATTCAGGGTTGAAAAAGTTCTATTTCTTTGCCATAAGACTTATCAGAGACTTTAGTATGCTTTGTCAAGTCAAGGCAGAGATAATGTAACATGGGGTACTTTCAAGTGCACGTAACTGCTGAACCCCCTCTTTCCAGTGAAACACTATTGGCTTATCAAAGAATTGGGGTCCTAGAAGATAAGTTGGGAAATTTTGTTATTGGGTATCCAGAATCTCACAACCTCCCCCCCCCCCGCCTTTTTTTTGTCATTATACTCATCTTTGAATGAAAAGAAACCTGGTACTTAGAAAAACATGTGCCTGTCCTCCTCGCTATGCATTTGGATGAGTCTACACTTTCTTCTGTTAACTCACACACAGCAGGGCTGCAAATGCATTAAGTCTCTAAACATATTAGCAATGTCTAACAAATATTCAATCCCTATGATTTTGCCAGAAAAAGAGTGGATCTTCCCCTACTTTACTGGCATGGCCACTGACAATAAGAAACAGAATTTAATACTTTGCAATTGTTATGACCTGCAATTGCAATTGTGTCCCTTTCTCAAAATTTATATATTGAAGGCTTAAATCTCAATGTGATGGTGTTTGGAGGTGAAGCCTTTGGGAGGCGATTAAATTTAAATGAGAACATGAGGGGTGGAGCCTCCATAATGGGATTAATGCCCTTATAAGAAGAAAAAGAGACCAAAGCCCTCTCTCTTTCTCTCCCATGTGAGGATACAATAAGAAGGTGGCCATCTGCAAACCAGGAAGAAAGCCCACACCAGACAACAAATCTGTAAATAGAAATGAAGGGAGCTATGTGGTGCCTAGGGAAGGGCCAGATCACTGAGTTCGTTCCACTTAGGAGAGCAGAAGCTGCCTGGTTTTCCACTAACTGCACATCTTGCCTCTCTAAAACAGGGGCACACACTCAGCATGAGTGAAAGCATCCTCCTATCTTCAACTTGACTAGCACTGATCTGATGCGTAGGTCAAAATCTATTCCAGCCACTTAACAACATCTCAACCTACATTCACACTGAAGGTGTGAGAGTATCTACCCAGATTCTAAGAAATCATTGGTTGATAGACTTAGTTTATAGAGCTACTATGATTCTGCATCTCTTATGTATGTTTTGAATAGTTGAATAGGAAGTAGGAGGATGCTAACTCCAGCCACTATCTTAATCTGAAAGTACAAAATGTAAATAAAGGATCAATTTACTTCAGCTGTTAATAAAATGAAAAAATCAAGGGGGTAGAATATATCATGAATTACAAAAATATAGCAATTTCTCACATGACTTATCAACTTCCTACTTATTTATTTAATATCTGAAATTGATTATTATAAAGCAGCATCCAAAGGGTAATAATAGGCATTATTTCTTTGTTATGTTTTCCTCCAAATTGCTGAAAATATCAATACAAAAAATCTTTTTAACAAACCAAGGTAAGCAAAAGAAGAAAAGAAAATTAAGACAAGTCAATATGAGGGGTTCACAGACAAACAAAAGAGGGAAAAAAAAGAAAACAAGCCTTGTAAAGAATATTTCTAGAAATGTTAGTTATGAATTTTCAGTAAGATAAAAGATTCTTCATGAACCAGTGCCCTAGAGGAAAAGGTTCTTTGCCTGTGCATCTGCATGTATATGTGTGTGTACAGATGCAAACACAGACACACGTGCACATAATAAAATGTTAATTTAACTTTATAGAGTATTTAAAACATTTGAAATATAACTTATCATTGGTAATGTTCAGAAAAGGCAGTACATACCATAACTCACAGAAAAAGTCACTTGCAATTATAGGCAATGATATTTGCAATTTAGCTGAACAAAACTAAATTATGACTTTAATTAAAAGGCATTTTCTAAGATGGCACCAACATGTTTAAAATTTAATACATTTTATATGAGATACTGGAGTTATTAACATAACATTCTCTTTCTGCAGCATGTGCACTTTTTAAAAAGCAAAACATCTTTAACCAATATCAAAATGCTCCCAGAATCCATAGAAGTTTCATTGCATAATAAATTCAAGGAGCAATATTTTTTTTGTTTTTCCAGTCATTTAATATGTGTCTCTTCTTGGGACATACAATTGTCTTTACATCTGTAGTTAATGGTAATACAATTACTGACAAACACTAGTGGCCACAATGTTCGCATTAATTTTGAATGAAGAATGAATGAATGGCTCAAGGGACTGATGATGAAACTTAGAACATTTTGTGATTGGACTGAGTCACATTCGAATGACTCTGAAGATCTCAAAAGTTTGAACAGAATCATGGTAGCTGAAGGGTCTGTATAAAGTGAGTTTAGGACGAACTCTGTGCCTGGCAGAGACATAGAGGGTCATACTAACAAGTGATATGTCCTTCTGATTGTGTTTCCTCTACAAAAGTCTTATTACCTGGAAAAAACTGACCTGTCAAGGTGTGAAATTGTCTTTCTAAAATAAGTCTGAAACACAGCAGATAGGAGGATTATTTGTAATCCTACATGGCCCAGACTTCTAAGGTTTAAGGCAGTGACAATGTCCTTGATTATCTCTGCACGTTGTAGACTACAATGTAAAGAGGTGTTTGTGTGGCTACTGATTTTACAAAACTCTACTGTAAACTATGAAGATAGAGAAGAAGCATGAAATAGAAGCAATAAAAACATGTTCTTCTACTGAAGGAGTTTAAAATCTAGTTTGAGATGCATATTTTTACCTACAATGAAAAAGCCACTCAAATTTAAATAAGTCTTTTAATTTGTAAGTTCAACATGAAGGATACACACAAGGTCAACAAGAAAGGAGACACAACTTTCCTAAGGAAGCTGTTACTGTTCTCATTACTTTTTGAATTGCCTTTAGAATTAATTACAAGGCATGCAGAAATATTTACAAAGTTACAAATCCAGAGTATCATTCAAGTTAATCATCCATATTATTCAGAAAGTTGCTTTGGATAATTCTGCCTACTTCCAAGTATCAAAGCTGCCCTTAATGAACACATAATTACCCCAGCTAAGGGATATCAAATAATTATCACATAAAGTAGTATTCTTTCTAAAAAGGCAGTTCTACCATTTGTGCAATACTTTGTACAATCATAGTCAATTACTTTGAAGAGCAAAACATGTATTTCGTTCTGAAAATTCTAATATGCTTATTTTTCCATTAAACTATGCCACTAGAGAGGCCTATTATATTCTCAAGAAGTGACTTCACAGTGATCACAAACTACTATTATAAAAGTCCTGCATACTCCATGGGAACTCCAAGTTCACTGTGAGGAAATTTTATCATAGAAAGTACTCTGCTCAAAATCAGCACAAACAAGTCTCCCTGACCAAAAAAAAAAAAGGAGAATGGCTATTTGTATGTTCACTCATATGTGTCTCAAGCACCTCTGAGATTATTTCCCTTGGTTTCCTCCCATCTCTCCGTAAATCATCTCCTCCTTAATACCTCATTTAGCCAAAGCTACCACTATCCCCCAATCCCTCATGTCAGAGATCTGACATCCATCCTAGAATCTCATTCTCCCTTATTTTGCCCCATTTCTGATTAGTCACCAGTTCCTGTCAGTTTTATCTTCTAGATATTTCTCACCTCTATTCTTTTCTCTTTGTTCCTCATAACTCTGTCCTGGTTCAAGCTCTCATTTATGGAGAAAGGAGACTGTGTAGAAAAGAATCCTGGGAACTCTTTCTGGATTGCAAAGCAAAGGGTTCACTAGGCCTGTCCCACTGTCACCCCATAGGGACTGCATCTGAACTCAGCTTCCCACAGGCCAAGTGATTTCCTCTTCTGAGCAAAAGAAGCTGCCATTTCCCACAGCACTTCAAGCTCATAGGTGCTGGGCTTTCCAAAGAACCTTGCAAATAACTGATAACTAAACTCAGACTGCTTAGCACCAAAGCAGTCTTTATCCCCAGTCCTTGGGCGACTCCCATACTTGCTCATAAAAGAGAAGAGCAACAGAGGGGCCCTATGCTTCTGGGGATGCCCTCTGCTAGAGCAGAGACAGTGCAGCCAGCTGAGCTTGGGATCTGTTGCTTCTGTCTGCAGAATGCTGATGGACTCTGCTCATCTTGCACCTATAATTTCAAACAGCAACTAGTGATTCCACCGTGTGTGTTCCTCTCATATCCCCCCGGACTATTGCCTACAAATCTCTCATCCATTCTCAACATCAAAGGTAACATCTAACAGACAGATTACACCAATTACTTTCTGCCTAAAACTTTGCTCTGTAGAACAAGGTCCAAATTCCTCAGTGTGATATACAAGGTCGTGAATAGTCTAGTTCCAACTTTCCTTTCCACACTTATTTTCTACCATCCCTCCTCGCCTTCATCCACTCCCCACATGCACCCACACACCTGCACTATCCTCCACCCTTCCAATCATTCCACAAAACACCAGAAAAACTCACAACTCTGTGCATTTGTCTTTGCCAGAAATAATAATTTACACACTGCCACCTTAAAACACAAATTGATACCTTCCCTGACTCCCCTCAGAGATTTGGCCCCTGCCCTCTCTTGTCTCACAACAAAATAACTGTATTGTAATTCTTCTCTAGACTGAGTTCAGGGACTGTGCCTTGCTGGTCTTGGCTGCCTTTCACTTACTAGAGGGCCTGGCACACAGTGGGCATACTGAATGCCGTTGAAGAAATAAACAAAGGTATAAGTATATGTCAACTCCTAGATGCATCACCTTGAATATTATTGATGAGCTCTTTTGCCTTATGGCCTCAATGTAGTCACTTTTCAATTATCTTCAATATATTATTGCTTGGTGCTGAACAGGTTTCACTGACGAAAAATGTGAAAGCTCTACTACTCTGTAGGCTTTTACGTGCAGAGTTGTCTCAAGTAAAATCACAGTATTCAATGCAGAATCTCCTCTGAAAAACTCAGCTGCAGCTCAATTTTAGACCCTAAAGTGCATTTTTTAAGTGTACTTTAAACAATAAATAATACTAATGCTTATAGAATACCAACCAGTAAATTAATATTAATGGTAATAACAATAATAGTTTCCTTTAAAGTAATTGATTGAAGTCAAGAAATAGCCAAACCAGTTGACATGCAGTTAGAATTTGGTATTTTTCATCAGAAAAACAATTCACTACCAATGACAAATAAGAGTAAGGTCACTAAAACTATCTGTCATGCATCTAATGAAGACAGATTCTCTGGCTACCACATATAATATGTAATATTCAAAAGCGCTGCTGTAATTCACAGCTAATTAGTGTCTTGCCATTATGAGAGGTGTCGTGGCCCTAACTCTCTTTTCAGATCTACTCAGACCTCACAAGAGCAGACAGCCGTGCAGGGATCACAACAACCCAATTAGCACCCACCCAACCTTGGGCTGCTACTTCTCAGCCCACTCAGCATCAATAAATCATGCACCCTCATGAAGCTCTTTTCTGACAGCTCCAAGCCATTGTTGCTCAAGGAATAAAGACAATACTTCTAAGGAAACTCAAGTGGGAAAGAAAGAGATAGAAAAGGGATATTTTTTGCCTTCCTTTAGCAGCACAGCAGTCAGCAAAATTGAAGACCATCAATTCAGACTGATTAAGAAGACAACTGCACTAAGAAATAAATCTAGAGTGGTATATCTGAAGATCCTTAGCAGTAATCAACAGTCAGCAATTGGGTTGTTTGTTTTAATGTGGATATATTGAAAGTCCTTTTTCTTTCCTTTCCATTTTTCTCCTGTATAGCCTTCCCTCTGGCTAATAGGAAAAATTTTCTTTCAGTAGAACATAATGGTATGCATTTACTTTGTCCCCCAGTGAATACATAGCAATCAGATAATTTGTTTAAAAGACTAAATTGTTTGACTTCATTGAAAAGAAATCATAATGATATGCTGGTCTCTAAGCAAGGCCTGCAGAGCTTCCTAAATCCATAAGCAAGCTCCAGAGTATTCACAGCACATAACAGCCAATATCCTTGTAATTTTTTTCTAAGCCTGTAAAGCTGTTTTGTTCCATAACATTCTACTTAGAGAGTATTCTGAACAGTCACTGTAGCCTGGCCATTATTCAAAGATATAATTCAGGTAATTCTACTTTAAGTTTGTTTTCCTCATGAAAATATCATTCTTTCTTTTTTTTTTTTTTTTTTTTTTTTTTTTTTTTTTTTTGAGACGGAGTCTCGCTCTGTCACCCAGGATGGAGTACAATGGCGTGACCTCTGCTCACTGCAATCTCCACCTCCCAGGTTCAAGCAATTCTCGTGCCTCAGCCTCCCTAGTAGCTGGAATTACAGGTGTGCACCACCATGCCCCATTAATTTTTATATTTTTAGTAGAGACAGGGTTTCACCATGTTGGCCAGGCTAGTCTTGAACTTCTGGCCCCAAGTGATCCACCCAGCTCGGCCTCCCAAAGTGCTGGGATTACTTACAGGCATGAGCCACCACACCCTGCCTCATTCTTCTATATTTTTAACGCTAATCTAAAAACATTTGATCTCACTTTTGACTAAATAGCTGCCACCTAATTTGACACTTATTGCCAAAGACAAATAAACAATCAGGGATGTATTTAAACAAGGAATTCTCTTATAACTCTTCTTATTAAGCATAAAGATTTCAAAAAGATTTTTCTTCCTCTGAATATATTACCATGAAAATACTCAAATATTCAACTATTTATCTGTAAGGATGTCCACTGTATCATATTTTATAGCAGCAAAATAATTAAAATGTACAAAATATACAATAAGTCAAATAAATGATGATATACCCATGCAACTTCTAAAAGTAATAGAAGAATATTAAAGGGCATGCAAAAATGTTCACAAGATACTGCAAGACAGAAATAAGAAATATGGAGCTTGGGCCGGGCGTGGTGGTTCACGCCTGTAATCCCAGCACTTTAGGAGGCCAGGGAGGATGGATCACGAGGTCAGGAGATTGAGACCATCCAGGCTAACACGGTGAAACCCCGTCCCTACTAAAAATACAAAAATTAGCCAGATGTGGTGGCACATGCCTGTATTCCCAGCTACTGGGGAGGCTGAGGGAGGAGAATTGCTTGAACCCAGAAGGGAGAGGTTGCAGTGAGCCGACATGGCGCCACTGCACTCCAGCCTGGTCGGCAGAGTGAGACTCTGTCTGAAAAAAAAAAAAAGAAAAGAAAAATGGAGCTTGGATCCATGTTATACACATACATGCATACATGCATGCACACACATATGTATATACATATGTCTGTACACATGTGTGTATATTTATCTAGATATAGATAGATTTATAGATATATACACTATTAACAAAAGTTAACCTGAAAGAGCCAGTCTTCAAGATGGATCCCAAGTGGCTAACTGGTCCTAAATTTAAAATAGAACCAAGGGTCCATTTGCTGATAGAGGTCACACACATACTCTGAGTTTCCTGAAAATCCACACCTCTTTAACTTTGGGACTTTCAGAACTTACTTGCCTTGGCCAATCATGACTCAGCTGTATCAACCAATCAGGACTCAACTTTGACAAACAATCAAGGTTCAGCTGTATTGACCACTCAGAACTAAGCAAGTTTGAATCCCTCATTTGCATAAATGAAACTGACTGGGAACCTGGGTAGTAACTTTTCTATGAAATCATAACCCTCCCTTTGTTCTCTGGAATGCATCTTTGTTTTACACAGAAGGCTGCATCTTCTGGGTCTGCAAATGTCACTGGAATAAAGTCTCTTCTTTCGAATTCCTTTTTGGAGAATTTTGTTTACAAAACATACACACACACACAAGTATTTCATTATTTACAAGCTAATGTTTGATGCAGAATCTCTTCTGAAAATTCATTTTCAGAACAGAATTTTTCAAAACAAAAATTGTGTTTTCTGTGTATGGGGGTATAAGTATGTATGTATATGTATATGTGCATAAAAATATACTTATAGGTCAAGAATTTTTAAAAATCCTGACAGGAAAAGTATTTCGATATTTAAAATGCATCTTTCGAAAGTCTTATTCTAGATTATTCTTCTTTAAGCTGTTTGCTTATAGAAAAGTTTTTTATGTTTCTTTCATAATGAGAAAAAAACATTGCTATATGAAATATTCACTTATATCACTTGGATATACAGATGTGGACTGGTGTGAAGTCCCAGCCTGGTGGAGCATCTTTTCTGAGTGGCTAATGCCCATCCCATATCAGTCATTAGATATTTTGATTATCACCTTGGGTATAAACAACATTTAAGGTAAGTGACAGGCCAGGCATGGTGACTCACGCCTGTAATCCCAGCACTTTGGGAGGCCAAGGGCGGTGGATCACGAGGCCAGGAGATCGAGACCATCCTGGCCAACATGGTGAAATCCCGTCCCAACTGAAAATATAAAAACTAGCCAGGCATAGTGGCACGCGCCTGTAGTCCCAGCTACTTGGTAGCCTGATGCAGGAGAATCGCTTAAACCCGGGAGGCGGAAGTTGCAGTGAGCCACTGCACTCCAGCCTAGCCATAGAGCGACACTCCGTCTCAAAAAAACAAAAAAATGGTAATTGACACATCACACACAATCACATTTCAAGAGTAACTGTCAGAACTAGCATACTCTAACCTCTTATCCATGGATTAGGTAGTAGTGAAGTTGAATCCATGTGGTTCTGGAGTACCACATTGTCTCAGTGTCAGCATAGTCAGGACCTGAAGTACGGACCCTCGGCAACACCTGCCTCAAAACCACTGCCCTTGCTTCTCTCCAGCTCCAACCCATCTGCCCTGATATTTGGGACTACCAGGTGTGGAGAAGGATAATGTGTACCAAATACAGACAGCCTGGCCAGAGTTCAGGTCAGATCAAAGTTCCCAATATATGTGGAATTATGGCCTGCTTTCATGCGGCATCATGACGGCTGCCCTGATTTCCAGCTCAGTGAGTCAGGCAGACACAATGAGGCAAATGGGCATCATGTTTAATCAGCATTTATTGCAGGGAAACAGGAATAGAGGGAAGCAAAGCCTCTCCCTCCACAAGGTTCACATCTAATTGGAGAAACAGAATAATACGTATTTAAAGGGGATGATAACACAAATGACAGACCTTGACAACACAGAGAACAGAACGGGACAAGAAGAGAGAAAGCCTCATATTTAGAGATGACTTAGTGTAGGGTCTTCAAGAAAAGATATTCTGCAACCTGGCAATATACCTAAAAATATAGCTTTTTCAAAGCAAAGACATATATTTAGGTACCTGTAACTACTGAGTACATTTTCAGGTCCCCTGTGCTTCTTTTCTCCTGGGGCAGTGTAAACACGTACTTGATCCTTAAGTGAAAAACTACATTTGACCAAATTTTACATATTATGGGGTTAATCACATATATTTGCATTAATCATTTCAATTCGTTTTATGTTTAACCAGCAAAGAGAATTGAAATGCCAGAAGAAGAAAAAAATTATATTGTAGCATGATAATTTTGACAACAGTAGAGTTTTTGTTTCTTCCTTATCATTTCCCTAAAAGAATCCTAGATAATGCAAAAGTTAGAAACTGTCAGCAGATCCATGTTCTCCATTTCATATCTAGAGCATATATATTTGAAACTGTTTATAGAGACTTCTAGCCATAGACAGTATCTTTTTGGCTAATTTTTATATTACTCTTAAGTAGTTTAGTATTAATTTTGGTGCTACTGTAAAGATAAGAAATAAGGCAAATTTTAAATGATCGTGTCCATGTTCACACAGAAAGCTCATGACTGCAGACTCTCAAGCTCATATTGAATGACACAAAACAATACCCTTACCTGAAAGAGAGAATTCTCCTTTTTGGCTTTCACTTTCTCTGATTAGAAAGGAACCGGTCTTGTTTTCTGAATATAATAGTTGTTTCTCTGCATCTGATCTTCCGATTGCTCCAAAGAACCACCTAAAAAGAGAGATATGTAAATGTTAAGTAACCAATTAACATTCATTTTTTAAGGAGGAAAAAGCCTGGCAAGATAGTATTCTAATATCAAAAATGTTTGGTATTCTTTAGTAAAACTATTACAGGTATAAATGGTAGCTTCTGACACTTGAGATGATTTTTCAGAATGCCTGTAACCCACACCAACATTTATTTTTTTTTACCTACAAAGCAGGAATTTGATTATGCCCACTACCACATCACTTCTCACAGCTGTGTTCTGTCTGAGAGGTCCTGAGCCTTCCCTCTATCAAAGCCAAAGCCCCAGTGTCTGCCTGCCATGTATGTCTGCCATGTCCCAGGCTCTAAAATGACTCATCATCTCCATCCAACCATCCACTGCTTCCCCTAACACCTCTGAGCTGTTAGGAGGCAAATATTCCAATCAAAGGATCCATGTACTTTATGTTAAAGTACGAAGGATTAAAAATATAGTTCTCTGGATATTAGTTCCTTTCTTTTCCCACCTCCACCACTGTCCAACCCTGCCATAAGATGAGATTATTTTGCATATCTAGGAGGAATTTATTAATATAAAGGAACATTTAAGCAGTGGAGAGATTATCTGAAAAAGATACATCTGCCCAGGAAATATCCTTTTAGTAATACCTCCACTTCTTATCTTTTCCCCTCTTATCTTTACCATTCCAGAAATATAAGAGTCAGATACTGAACACACAAGTTCATGAATGCAATCATCATCAACAAGGAATTATGGATCATTAATATCAAAGCCACTGTCAAATGTATATCATGTTAGTAGAAACCAATGTGTTCTAATAAGAGGAAGCTGAGAATTCCTGCTTTTCACAAATGACCCCTCACTGTAGGGCCATAAAAATGGTCATCATCATTAAAGATTTTAGGTAAAACATTGATCTTTTCAGGTAACTTCTTTAAAAATGTAAACACTCCAAGAGAAGAAATGCAGGCTTAAGGGAAGAAATACAGGCTGGGAGAAAAAAAAAAATGTGTGCTATCAAAATTTAACTTGAATTTGATTGACAGGTAATGGGTATTAGAGAATGTGAGTGCCCTAACAATGACACAATTGTAAGGCAGTTGGGGGAAGGAATTGAAAAGAGAGACATTAACATATAAATATTACCTTCTAACAAATGCAGGGTGTTCGTTTATCATTTCCCCAATTATCAAATTGTAAATTACAGTACATTAACTGTATCTGTCAGGATATGCCAGGTCATCTTGGAGTAATGAACAACTCCAAAAATCTCAGTGGTTTAAGACAACTGGTTTCACTCAGCTCCAGGTCTATTAAGGTACTCAAGGTCATCTGGAGCTCTGCTCGATGTCAGTCTCACTCAGGGAGTTTCTATCTCCATGCTTCCATGATTGCTGAGCCAGGATTGGAAAATGTGGCGAATCGCAGGCTGGTTCCTAGAGCTTCTATTTAAAGATTCTACTCAGGAATGAACCCACTGGCAGTAAGTCTTATAGTCATGTCTAAATGTAAAGAGAGTAGAAACAGCCAATCCCACCATTTCCCAGAAGGTAGAAAATTGGAAACATTTGGTAGACTACACTAATGACTGCTGCATTGAGTCAGTATCAGGAGCAAATTGATGTCCATGGACTATTGTTTATGTAACTGAAACCATGGAAGTCATGGAAACCTTCCAAAGTGGCCATGTAATGAATTCACAGAAAAACAGAAATGCATGTTTTTGATTATTGCAGAAACAAGTCAATAGAATACTTGAACATAGTAAAAAACTGATACCTAAATATACAAATTAGTGATGAAAGAATGGATGACTCAATAAATAACACTGTTATCATTAATAATCCATATGGGAAAAAAACTGATGCTACCTACAGCATACACAATAATTTCACATAGATTAAAGGCCTACTGTAAAAGGCAAACTTCAAAACTTCCTAAGGACATTGGACTAGGGAAGTTTTCTTTAGCAAGACAAAAACAAAAAGACATACAAACCTTAGGGAAAAGATTGATAATATTTATTACATCACAGTTAAAATCTTCTACACCAACAAGGTCACCATGAAATAAAATTTGAATATAAGCCAAAAACCTGGAAAAAATATTTGCAAAGTATATAACCCAAAATAGGATTAGTATTCACATTATGTTGAGACCTATAATCGATAAGAGAAAGACAACACAGTAGAAAAATTGGCATAGGATATGATGATGCCTGGATATAATTGGGCAGTTCACATAAAAAGAAACCCCAAATAATTAATAAAAATGACAGGAACACGGCCTCTACATGTGCTGGTATTAGTAATATTACATATAAAACCACAATGAAATACTATTTTATACTTTCACATTACAATTTAAAATGCTAACATTATTAGGTATTGAGGAAAATGTGAAATGAGCTTTTATACAGTACTAGTGGTAGTACGATTTGGTACAACTAATTTAAGAGCAATTTGGCACTATCTGGTAAAGCTGAATATTTGTGTACTACTCAATTTCACTTCTAGACTACATGCTGTATGAGCTCAAGAAGATACACTACAAGAACATCCACTAAAGAATCCTGGCATTGAAAATTTGGAAACAACCTAAATGTCCATCACAGGAGAAAAGATAAACAAACAGTTGTAGATATAAAATGAAATACTATGTAGAAATTAAAACAATGACTGGGCATGGTGGTATGCACCTATAGTCACAGGAACTCAGGAGACTGAGGCAGGAGGATCACTTGAGCCCAGGAGTTCAAGGCTGTAGTGCACTATGATCGCACCTGTGAATAGCCACTGCACTTCAGCCTGGGTGACATAGAAAGATTCCATCTCTCATAAAATAAATTAAATTTTTAAAAATAAATTGTTCAAGGATTAGAGTAAGTTAAAGAATGAAAAGAATGATATATACCATTGTAGTAGCATTTGTATAAAGTTTAAGAAAACACGTTAGAAAACTGTACCTAATTTTTATGAATACATGCATGTTTAGTGAAAGCTAATAAAGTACTCAAGCATTCTTTTAACTCTATTTCCAGAACTGGCAATACTTTTTCACAGAAATATTTCAAGCAAAGAAGCAATATGGATGAAATATCTTAATCAACTCAATGCATTTTCCTGATTCAAAGTGCATTGATTATGCATCAACACTAAAATGTTTAAGCAACATATTCATCTAAATATCTCTTTCATTAGTTCATTGCTCTCCATCTTTGCTAGCTCACAGACTGAAAGGCATGAACACTCTCCAGTGAGTTATTGGGACAAACCCTTCAATGGACACTACTCACTCATGCTTGCTCTCCAGTCTTTTCAAATAATGTTTTATGAGCACTCTCACATGCTCTTAGTTTACAGATGAGGAAACTCAGGCCCAGGGAAGTTTATTAACTTGAGACCGCATGGAGAGGTGATGGTTGAGTCTGAAATTGAGCCAAACTTCTATTTCGCATGCCACAGTACCTTGAAGTGTAATGTGAAGAGGATGAGTTGGGAACACTCAGATAAAATATGAACCATTATTTTTGCACCAGGCAAAGGGAATTTAGGATAAAGAACACCATGTATTTTGGTCCTCATTTCTTATTTTAAACTAGTAAAATTTGAGCATTTTAACAGTGTCTTAGATAAGAAATAATATACCAAAGCGGTTTTTGTCCCATATAATTGGTTTCTACCTTCAGGTTGTAAAGCTGAATTAGTATATAAAGTATCATACTCCAAAGATCACTCAGAATGGCATTGTCCTATTAATACACTATAATGTTTCTAATCTTCAACCATCCAGGCAATTTAATGGTTTCAATAACTTTCTAGAGGTGACAGTAATGCATATATGTTCAGAAACAATACAGCATTTGAAAGTTGGGGCACATAAATTTTAATGCATGTATTTAGAAAATATATAATTTACTTCTAAGTATGTTTTTATTTGAAAAAAATGAAGGGATGATGGTGCAAAAATAAAAATAAAAGGTTTAAACAAAATATAAATATGTAAGCCTTTACAAGAATTACAATGTATCTAGCAGATTAAGTTCTCCAGAATTATTATTATGTCTCCTATATATCATTCTCAAAACTAAATACTCCATTACATAAGTTTTATGTACATATGTTACATTTGTATTTTGGCTAATCAAGTCTATAAATGATGTGTTTCCTCTGTCCAATATATATATAAGCAGGCAGTTTTTATAAATCAAATGGTTAAAGATAAAGCAATTTTACTACATTTGTAGAAAAACCCTATAGCAAATTTTTTTAATCCTCCTTTGTTTCAACAATTTTGGACTTTTGTATAATAGATTGGTACAATTACTTTACAAAGCAAATCACACTAGAATTGAATCCATAGTAACAATGAAATAAATATAATATTTGACTGAATGCATCAATTCACTTAATTCCTAGAATTTTACTTAGCTGAGCTCTGATCAGGAAGTGAAGAATATAAGTTTAAAAATGTTTTCTGCATGTAGTGGCATTTATAACATCGTCCTTCATACTCAAAGGTGATGCAATTGCTGTGGACTGCAGTCTCTAGGGCAAGTGCTGCTGTGGAGACTGATGGATAAACAATAGCTTGTTCTACCCTTTGCATGTGTGAAAACTGTTTCTTAATTTGAGGTTTGAACCATTGGCAGGACTGTCATTCTGATCAAGTCTGCCTTTTAGAGCCTCTGCTGGCCCCATTCTGGAAGGGCACACACCCCAGGCCCGGATGTCCACCACAGCCATTTTCAGCTCTCTCTTTAAGCTACAGTTCTTACGTGCAGTAGACAGAGAGTGCTGAGAAGGGATCAAGATATCCTAGGAGTATAAAGCATCACAAGAGAGTCATACGGATCAGTGATCCTCCAAGTGTGGTCCCTAGATCAGGAGCATCGCATCACATGAAAACTTGTGTTAAAAGAAAAACCTTAGACAAATCAAATGTAACAGAGTTTAATTGAGCAAAGAATGATTCACAAATTAGGCAGCCTCCCAAGCCAGAGTATGCTCAGAGAGTCCAGTGCAGCCACTTGGTGGAAGATTTATGGACAGCAAAAGGAAAGTGACTAACAAAAAAAAACAGAAGTGAGAGACAGAAACAGCCGGACTGGTTACAGCTTGATGTTTGCCTTATTTTGAACAAGGTTTGAAGAGTTGGCCCCCTTTGATTGGCCAAACTCAGTGATTGGCACAAGAGTAGGTTACTGTCTGTTCATACATCCAGTAAGGTTATAGTTTACTATGCACGGAGAAACCTTTAAGCTGAACTTAAAATATGCAAGGAGACAGCTTTAGGCTAATACTTGTTAGAAATGGAAATTCTTGGGTTTCACTTCATACCTACCAAATCATAAACTCTGGGGGTGGGCCCAACAATCTGGGGTTTATTAAGTCCCCCAGCTGAATCTAATGTACATTAAATTTGAGAACTACTGATGTATAAAAATAGTAAACCAATTAGAAATTTGTACAAGGCAGCTGAGAATGTTTGAGTTTGGCACTTACATGCAAAAAAGTATCCAGTAAAATAATACCACAACTACTCACACACACACAGTTTATTGATATTTTAAAAAATAATCTTTATTGACATACCATGCCATGAAAGATATCTTTATTAACAATAACCAAGAAGAAGATTAAACTCATGATATGAAAAGAAATGCTGGAAGAAACAAATGCTTCAATTTGATAAAAACAAACAAAAAATATAATTTCTGTTTTAGATGAAAATAGTATGTAATTTAAGTCTATAATTATGTAAATTATCAAGTGTCTACCGTATGTAAATTCTGTAACATTAACACAGAAAGATTGTGTTATTTTCTGTGTCTGCAGGACATTGTTGTATAAAATGTGTCTGCAGGACATTGTTGTATAAAAAAGGGTAAATTACAAATATTAGGAGTGTTATAGGTTTATTTATATTTTAAAAAATCAACAAACTGGCCGGGCATGGTGGCTCACTCCTGTAATCCCAGCACTTTGGGAGGCCGAGGTGGGTGGATCACAAGGTCAGGAGATCAAGACCATCCTGGCTAACACGGTGAAACCCCATCTCTACTAAAAATACAAAAATAGCCAGGCGTGGTGGGCACCTGTAGTCCCAGCTACTCGGGAGGCTGAGGCAGGAGAATCGCTTGAACCAAGGAGGCGGAGGTTGCAGTGAGCCGAGATCATGCCATCGCCTGGGCAACAGAGTGAGATTCTGTCTCGAAAAAAAAAAAAATTCACAAACTAAAAATTATATGTGCTTACTTTCCTGGAGATTAGTGAGAGAATATGAAAGTAATGACAGAGGAGTTTCACTTTTTACTCTGCATTCTTCTCTATAATTTGGATGTTTATAATAACATGTAGTTGTAGATTACTTTAAAATGTATTTAAATATAAAAAATTAAAAGAGGTCAATCAGGAACATGCTACAAAAATTTACATGTTGTAAAGGTCTGGACTAGAAACTTTGGCACTTAGAATTGATAGATACAGGAAAAAATCCCAAAGGAATATAAAACAAGTGATTATGAATGAGCAGCGAAACAGATGGAAGAGACGATGTGACACCAGGATTTCAAATCTGAATGACTAAAGGACAATATGTCCTGCAACATGTCAGAAGGCAGAGTATAATAACAGTTAAGAGTGACAGCATCTCATTAGGAAGTTATTTAACCTCTCTATGCCTCAATCTCCTCATTTGTAAGTGAGAATAATAATAATTTCCTTATAGCCTTGTTTCAAGATTAAGAAGAATGCTGCATGTAAAGTGCTTTATGTCTCGACACATTCATGCTCAATAAATAGTAGAGATTTTAAGATAATTAATTGAAGGCAGATATTATCAATTTTGTTTTAGGCATGTTGGATTTGAGGTCATGCTGGGACACGAGTGAATATGTGAGCATGACCTTATTTCTTTGTTTGTATTAACAGTTTCATCCCAAGTGACTCTTCTGTCCTGCCTGCTGTTCTGGACTAGGACATGCTGCCACCAGGTGGCAGTAGGCCATTTTACTAATCCAAAAAGGGAAAGGAGAGCTGTCCTGTGATTAACTGGACGTGCTTTATTTTATGAAAAAGGCAGTGAGCCTTAAAAAAAAAAATTGCAGTATAAATGAATATCAACATTTACATAAGATAAATATCTTAAATATTAATCAAAATTTAGGGAAATCAACATGTAAATAGATGTGTTACCTCAATTAAGGTTTTGTCATTTCATCTAATAGAATCTTATTGTGCCTCACTGACGTGTACAAACTAGGTTCCTAGGTAACTCATAATTCTTATCAGATGAAGATAATTGCCTCTTACACTTTTTAAAGAGAAAACTCATGCCCAGCAACTGATGGCTAGGATTTACAAAAGTTAACATATGACTTCTTTTTATAATGTCTCCTTAAGACCAAGGCAGTCAGCCTTCAAGTACTATAGACAGATCCTAAAAAAATAAACTCTTAAGACTAGTTCCAGGAAAAAAAAAAAACATCCTTCCAGAAAATGCAGAAAGGAAACTGGGTCGATCAACTTGGCCTAACCAGTCATAGGGAAAGTAAGCTAGGATGATTTCCCTGTGGGAGCTCAGGGTTAGCAGTGTCTTTCATGTTTTCATCACAGTTACACATGTTATAATGGGTAAAACACCTATTGTCCTCATGAATGTGACTTGGCAGGCATCGCTGTCACCCACATTGGCAAAACACCTTCAATTTGCAGGGCACACTCATAACCACATTTAGTCATTTATGGTATCTAAATGAAAGGCTTGATTCATGCCCCTTGAACTATTATGGTTCGGTATGACTCACCTGCATCTACCTGTGTTTCCACAACACTATGAAGAAAATCTCTGTGAGAGTTCTTCCTGTCAAGGTAATTATTTCCCTCCCTTTCCACAAAACCTTCTTCGGCTCAGTATCCCCTTGGTTCCCAGGAAGTTAGCCCTGCTACTCTTTCCCACTCACATGGAATGATAAGGACAAAGAAAAAAAATAATGCTCGCAATTATTTTGTTATTCATTCCTTCCTTTCCATTTCCCTCACCATAACCCTTGTCTAATTCAACATCGCCTCTTGGATTATGGAAATATTTTACTGCCTGTTCTCTTTAACATTAACAATTTATATTTACTGATCACATAAAAGGAGGCAGGCACTGTTGCTACAAGCTTTACATGCATTTATCTCAGACTCTCCCCCTTGCTCACACCACCACCACTAGATTTATCATCTCCCCACATACACATAAATAAGGGGTATTTTGCTTATGGAGTAAAACCTCTATTAACCTGGAAATTCAGGCCTTCCACCATCTGGACACAAGCCACTTCTTCAACTTTATCCTCCCTATATCAGCCCTCTGTTCTAGCTAAATTCACACTGCTATCACTACTTATACTGGCAATACTAAAACTTGACTGCTCAGAATTCCTACAGTATTCAGTGACTACTCCTCTGTTTTGATATGTAGCATACAAAAGCTAGCGATGCATTTTAAATTCTTGTTTAGATTATTCTTTGTTTACACTTGAAGCTACAGACCTCCCCAGCATAAGGACAGAGTCTGATAACTTCACATATCTGTGGCATGAAGCACTGGCCACATGCCCTGTGGAGCTGTTAAATAAATACTTGTTGATGAAACATTAATACATTGTACTTCAATTTGGGCATTTTATATAGTCTTCTGGTTTATACTGAACATTGAACTTTAGATAATGCCTGTGTTTTTGTGTAATCTTTTATTTGAGCTTGCCACATAGCTTGCAGTATAAAGTGTTTATGGGAGAAGGCTTATCTGCTATGGACCAGTTGCAACACAGTTTCTAATGTTAATTGGCCTTAGACCACAGATTTCAATCTGACCTCTCTCTTTTCCCCCAAAGAGAACACTTTCATGTGAATGTAAAGATCAAAAATGAAATTGATTTTTCTGTCCTTTAAAACACAAGCATATCAGGGCTGTACACATGTAAAAAATTTGTGATAAAGTGACAATGTCAAATTAAGTATCAGAGGTAGGACTTGCAGTCACATAGAAATCCTTTGCTTGGGTCATTTGATAAAGCTTTTTTGTTGCTGTTATTCACCTTTATAGTCATCATAAATGAGAAATTTTGAAGGAATTTCTTTAGAGGGGAAGTCAGGTGAACTCATTTGTGCTTTCTTCACTGGGGGAGGTGACTATTTATAAAAGAATCTTGTTATAGTCTGAATCCACTTCCCTGAGTCTGGTAATCAAAAGTATGCAATTCCTCACAAGAAGTTTACAAAGAATACAACAAAGTTCATATAAATATTCAATCTCAGGGCACTTTTTTTGTTTCAAAACTATCCTCTATTTGGGGAAGAGGAAAAGACAGCTAATATTGATTTCTCTTTTAAAATAAAAAACAAAATGTGTGCCTATATAATGACATTTCCAATCATCAAGCCTGAAATAAAAATGTAAATTTTAATGCATCTGCTTTGATTTTGTACAACATTTGTGATAATGTTTGTCCCAGAAACTAGAAGAATATGGATGGGTTAGAGTTGAAAGCTTTAATCATTAATTTCTATCTTTGTCACATCCAAAGAAAGTAAATGCACTTGATCTTATGATGCCTAGGAAAATGCCTTATTTTATAAAATACCACAAATGTTCATTCCTATTCTCTATACGAATAAGCTTTGGGGCAGTACTATACTTCTTACATGGGACACTATATGGTTATACAGGACACTAATTTCAGAAATGACAGTCCCAAAGACCAAAGACCAAACTCAAGTCCCAACTCAAATACCAAATTTGAGTTTAGTCAGCTAGTAGTCATTGTGTGTAAACCATTCAAGAAGGGTCAATAATGTCAAGTGCAGCCTGCTCTGTATTCCCTGGATCCAGGTTTCTCTTGCAAAAAGTAAAAAAGAGGGAGCATCTTTCTTCCCTTTTCCTATACTAGAGGTGATATTCAAAATATTTTATGACTGCTATAGCACACACACACACCATCAGAAAAGACACCAGCAAAACTAGAGGCTTATGTCTAAGCTTCAGCCCTGGGGCTTATCATTTTAACACTCAGTGATGCACTATGATGTCACTGAGCTTCATTAAATCTCTTATCTCAAATAAAATATTGTAAACATCTTGAAGGTATCTTAACTTCATTACCTACAAGGTACTAATCATATCATTTTCTATGTGCTGAAATACATTAGAAACATTAATTTTATACTAACAATATGGAGAAAAGATAAAGCAAAAGAAGGGTATATAACTTTTCCTTTGAAAATCTTAGAGTATCAAGGGAGAGATAAAAGACCACTTTAAGTAACAAATCAAAAAAGAAAGTGATGAAACAGGAATTTAAAAATCATTTAATCATCAACAGTGTGTAGTAGGAAATTAACCATAGGCTATAAGGAGGATGGAAGTGTTCTTTTAAAAAAATATACTTTGAAAGGATTTGAAAGAGATACAGAAATCTAAAAAAATGAAAGACAAGGGTATGTGCACAAGTGAAGAAACCAAAAAGGTATTTGTGAGCAGATTGGTTTAATGAACAGCAGTGGTCAGGGAAAAAAAAAAAACCCAAGAAATATGGGCCTTTGATGTTTACAGATAATTCCATGTGGAAACTAACTCCATGGAAGAAGTAGATCTTTGGTAAATTTGAAAACTACAAAGGAGAGTTTTAAGATACTCCATTTAATATTTAACACAAAAGGAGTTTTAAGCCCTGAGCTCACCAGCAATATGAGGGAAAAAATGTGACTTGTTCTTTAAAAATTGTTTCACAAACAAATATGAGATGGAGATGTGGAGGGTGAAAGCAAAGAGGAATTCTTCCATGACTAGAAACAAAAAAGAGACTTGGTCCAAACTTTAGAGGTGAAAAGAAATTTTCATAAGGATCTACAGGCAAAGGTGTTTTAATGAGTACATGCATTTTTTTCCGGGGAGATAATCCATTGTTTTATTAAATTCTCAGAAATGCCTGTGAAAGAAACTAACCAACTCTTTCAATAAGGCCAAGTGTTTCTTCTGTATTTACACGAGCTGGTGCCAAGGCCACAACCACAACCTACCACCTTGAAAATCACTTATTCATTTTTTATTCAAAATTTACTTATTGATATGGTTTGGCTCTGTGTCCCCACCCAAATCTCTCTCTAATTATAATCCCCATGTGTTGGGGAAGGGACCTGGTGGGAGATGACTGGATCATGAGGGTGTTTCTTCCCATGCCGTTCTCATGGTAGTGAGTTCTCACAAGAGCTGATGGTTTAAAAGTGGCAGTTTCTCTGAACTCTCTCTCTCCTGCCACCATGTAAGATGTGCCTTGCTTCCCCTTCCACCATGATTGTAAGTTTCCCGAGTCTTCCCCAGCCATCCAGAACTGTGAGACAATTAAACCTCTTTTCTTCATAAATTATCCAGTCTCAGGTAATATCTTTATAGCTGTGTGAGAACGGACTAATACAGAAAATTGATAGCAGTAGAGTGGGGCACTGCTATAAAGAAAAACTGAAAATGTGGAAGCAACTTTGGAACTAGGTAACAGGCAGATGTTGGACAGTTTGGAGGGCTCAGAAGAAGACAGGAATATGTAGGAAAGTTTGGAACTTCCTAGACACTTGTTGAACAGTTTTGATCAAAATGCTGATAGTAATATGGACAATGAATTCCAGGCTCAGTTGGTCTCAGATAGAAATGAGGAAGTTATTGGGAACTGGAGTAAAGGTCACTCATGCTATGCTTTGGCAAAGAGACTGGTGGCATTTTGTCCCTGCCCTAGTGATCTGTGGAATTGTGAACTTGACAGAGATGATTTAGGGTATCTAGCAGAAGAGATTTCTAAGCAGTGAAGCATCCAAGATGTGACCTGGCTGATTCTGAAAGCAGTCAGTCATATGCATTCACCAAGAGATTATCTGAAACTGGAACTTTTATTTATCAGGGAAGCAGAGCATAAAAGTTTGGAAAATTTGCAGCCTGATCATGTGGTAGAAAAGAAAAGCCCATTTTCTGGGGAGCAATTCAACCCAGTTGCAGAAATTTGCTTAAGTGACCAGGGGCCAAATGTTAATAGCCAAGACAATGAAGAAAATGTCTCCAAGGCATGCCAGAGATCTTCATGGCAGCCCCTCCCATCACAGGTCCAGAGGCCTAAAAGAGAAAAATGGTCTCATGGGCTGGGTACAGGGTCCTGCTGCTCTGTGCACCTTCTGGACTTGGTGCCCTATGTCTCAGCTGCTCCAGCTCCAGCTGTGGCTAAAGGAGGCCAAAGTACAGCAGAGCACAATCTCTATAGTAGGTTGACTATAGTTAACATTAATCTACTGTTCCTTATTTGAATGTTCCTAGCATGAAGAAAAGAGAAATAGTTAAGGTAATGGATATTCCAATTCAGATTATATTAATGTATCAAATTATCACATGTACCCAGAGAATATGTACATCTTTTATGTACCAATAAAAAATAATTTTAAAAACTATACTGTCTAATCTTAATCCATACATGACACAGAGACACACACACATATATGTGAATGAGTGGATGGATGTGTGTGTGTGTTTGTGTGTGTGTGTGTAGCTGCAGATACCAACATGGATGTACAGATATGTACTAGTTTTACTGCTTTGGGGGGATTAAAATGAAGCAGGTGCCCCCAGGGAGTCAAGGTGTGAGACCTGGTCTGCTACAGGTCAGAACAAGCACACACGTTCTCTTTCTTTCTTCCTTCATTCTTTCTTTCTTTCTTTCTTTTTAATAATTTAGCCCTGTATACCCAGATACTCACTAAGCATTACTATCATGAATAATTACCAATAATAACACCAATGTTAATAACTAAAGATAGTTTAAAACCCATGTAAATGCCACCCACTGGACTTTGAAATAGTAGAAACTGAACACATCCACAGAGCAGCTTGTTCTCAAAAAGAAAGCCTGAAACAGTGCCAGAAAACACATCTTTTGTTTTCAGTGTCAACAAACTATTTGTCAGGAAACAAAAGGAAGGCTCTGCCTGCACTGATGGACTTTTCTGAAATCTGAAAATTAGTTTACTGCTTGCTCCTGCTTAGAATTACAGAAAGAAGCAGTTGCACAAATACATTACAAGCTTACTCCTCAGAACTGTTGTGGAAAAAGGCAGACTGAGAGAAGAAAGAGCCCCCACCTCCCTACCTCCCAACACACACCCGTGTTACTGTTAAATCAAGCAGAAAGCTGTCTCCTTACACGTTTTAAGTTCAGCCTAAAGGTTTCTCTGTACACAGTGAACTGCAACCTAAATGGATGTGCAAACAGACTGTAACCTACTCTTGTGCCAATCACCAAGTTTTGAGCAACCAAAGGTGGCCAACTGTTCAAACCCTGTTCAAAATAAGGCAAACACCGAGCTGTAACCAATCCAGCTGTTTCTGTACCTCTTTTCAATTTTTCTACATCGCTTTTCTTTTTCTCTCCATAAGTCCCTTTCCACCAGCTGGACTCTGTCTGAGCACACTCTGGCTCAGGAGACTGCCTGATTTGCCAACAGTTCTTTGCCCAGTTAAACTCTGCTAAGTTTAATTTGTCGAGGTTTTTCTTTTATCACTACCTAAGGATTAACCTTCTCTAGGGCCTCAGTTCTCAAACTCCAGTTTCTGAAGACTGTCCCAGGAAGTGTGTACAAGGCAAATAGTCTAAGAAGGTCGGAGGTAGAGCTCAGGATGCTGTAGGTTCCCAAGTGCCACAGGCAATTCAGAGGCAGGTAACCAAGGTACTACAATTTGAAAAACACAGCTGTTTCTAGAAGAGGGGGACTTTCTCTTAACATCTTCTCCTAAATCCTGAGTCATCCTGCCATAGCCCACCTTGCACCTTTTTCTCTCCAGTCCACTCTGCCTCACACTGCCTCACACTGGACCCCACTTCTTTATTTTCAACCCTTACAAAACATTACAAATTCAATCCAAATGCTGTATAAAATTTGTGAAGAGCAAAGCTTTAAGTACAATACAGAGCAGAAAACAAGTTCAAACAGATACCAGAAATTTCTGTTCATTGAAATTTAATGTCCTTTCTGCTGAAGAGGGAATTTCCCAAAACTTTTTCCCTTATGTCTAGGGCCCCCTAATAGGTTGCTGAGGAACCACTCCTCTTCCTCCTTTCTCTGTGCCAGGGATTTTACAACAAAATTCTCCATGTTTCTGTATGCAAAGCAGTTTGATTTCCTACCCAACCCTTACTCCAAACTAGATTCTGGGTCTCCCTCTGTATACCCCAGCACTTCTTAAATTGTTCTGCTCAATTAAGGCCCATCTATTCCATGTCTTTATTCTCAGCAGCACAAACAGCCAGAGCTTTGAAAACAGAATTTTCTTTAGCACATCAAATCCTTAGGCAAAGCTCTTCTCACACCATTATCCATAGCAGATGGTAGCAACAGAATTATGCATCCTCTCGCTGTCCAGAACAAGCCTATACCCTGGGGTAAGGGTGAAAGGCAGAGTCCTTCCAGTTATATTTGTGTTTTAAATAATTCAGTTTATTAAAATTATAAGTGTCTTGAAGTAGACTAAAATGTTTGCTCTCTTACAAAGTGTTTTCATAAGAGGATATACTCTAATAATACACAATGGAAATATTATTTGTAAATAGCATGTAAACTATTTATATACAAATATGTGTTTTGAGAAACTGAAATATTCCCTGCCTCAATGACTGCCTTACTAGTAAGCATATTGCAATTAAATAAAATTTTATTCCAGAATTTTAGTGATACAAAGACATTTCCACCATGCTCTTTGCCTGGGATAATTTTTTTTTAATCATTGAAATACTCAGAGCATAATAAAATCTGACCTGTTCACTGTGACCCAGGAAAGGATTTTAAAATCTTATAGATTTGAAGAGACCTGCTGTTGGAAAGAGGGCACAGTAAAGGAACATCCTAAAGCCTTAGAATTAGAGCTTCAAGTAAGCTTGAGGAGCATATTTCTCTGAAGGTGAATGATAATAGATTCATTGCACAAGCCAGCTCCCCTCTGACTTATCTCCAGTGCATTCTTTGGATGGCAAGGCAAGGGGCTTGTGGTAGGAAAGCCTTCCTCTACAGATCAAATGAGTCTGAGCACCTTGTTCCTTTCCTTCATAGCTCTTTCCTTAGCTTACTTTGTTTTTGGTATTATTTGATTAATTCCTACTTCCCATTACACATGTAAGCTCAAGAGAGTGGAAACCTTATCTTTTACTTATCACTGAAATTCCAAGAGCCTAGCACAACACATGGTATTAAATAAACTTGCATTCATACTGTTGAATGAATAAACAGATGATTATTTGAGGATGTGAGTCTTCCACTTGAAAGTTAAAAAGCTGACCAAATAATTTCAAAACGTAGGACAAGAATATAGAGAGAATATACTGAAGATTTGGTACAGAGAGCAAAAGAACAAGTCCACTTTTACCAGTAATGAATAACCTCATAGCCAATCAGATGATCACAATCCTATGACGACGATGACAATTATAACAATCATGTAAAGAATAACATTTGGATTCCACTTTATAATTGAGTGCCATCACCTAGAATATGGCACTTATTCTCAAGGCAACTCTTGGGGATAGTCAGAGCAAGTGCTTCAAAATCCCCACTTTGTGGAAAAGGGAACTAGAAATGAGAGAAATTGCATGATTTGTCATGCAGAAATAATAAGCAGAGCCAGTGTGTTGGCAGATGTGCAAAGCAGTTACATGTGACTTCACTAAAATTGTGCAGAATAGAAAGTGGGGAGTATGGACTTGTCCTCAAATAATAATACCACTCTACAGAGTGGGTCAGAAATAGCCAATAGTTATGACTTATTAAGACCCAAACTTCAGGTTCTAAAAATGTTCCTGTAGAATAACAGAATATCTGTTTATGAAGTTAAACATTAACTCCTATTTGTTATTTAGAGGTAGGCTTGGTTGCATAAGGATTAAAATTTGAAAACAGAAAGCAAAATGAGATTCAAATAAATATTTATTTGCAATCCTAAATGTGCAGCTATTACCAATAATAAATTATGATCTTAAAGAAACTTTTCTAAACTATCAACAACAAAAAAATTGATCAAACATTTCAAAAGTAAAACCAAATTATGATTTATTCCATCTATAGAAAACAGTATTACAAAATCATTGTGACATGAAGAGCCAAAGAGAATGAAGACAAAGACTACCATAAAAAAATTTATAAAAGACAGCTCATTAATATTTTATTATTCTCTAAATAATTTAAAGTGATCTCTTCTTTTGTCCTAGATCAATATTCCTTTTTTTTGTTTTTTGTTTTTTTTTGGAGTTTTGCTCGGACGCCCAGGCTTGAGTGCAATGGCATGATCTTGGCTCACTGCAACCTCCACCTCCTGGGTTCAAGTGATTCTCCTGCCTCAGCCTCCCGAGTAGCTAGGATTACAGGCACACGCCACCACATCCAGCTAATTTTGTATTTTTAGTAGAGATGGGGTTTCACCATGTTGGCCAGGCTGGTTTGAACTCCTGACCTCAGGTGATCCACCCACCTCAGCTTCCCAAAGTGTTGGGATTACAGACGTGAGCCACTGCACTGGGCCAATATTCCTTTTCTCAACAAATTCTGCAAACATCATTTTGTATCATTTTTCCTTAAGAGAGCTACCTCTCCAAATTACATATTCTATAGGCTCTCTAGATTCACCTGTGTTCAGAACTATTTTTGTAAACAGTAAATCGCAATGACAAGACACAATTTTTCCAACTCCTTGAGTTTCCATACATGTGCTTATAATAGGCATTTTTTAACTTTGCCTCATAAAACTTTTCAAATATATTCCAAAGTAGAGACAATAGTATAACCACTTTACCCAACATCCAGCTGCAACAATTATAATTTTTCTAATTGTATTTCTTGTGGTTTACTTTTGATATGAATACAGATTTCTAAACTGTGGTTGGTTTCTAAACCTCAGTTGGGAAATTGAAGTAAAAAAAAGGACTAATAAAAGTTCAGTGGTTTCATGTTTGCTTTGAAATGTAATATTTTTATGATCCATTAACTTTTAAAATCAAGTTCTTTCTGTTCTTTAGAAACTAAAAAGATGAATTATAAATGTTTTAAATGCTGAGAAACATTTTAAAAATATATTGAAAAAATAAATATTTATGGAGGCCTATTATGCACTGAAAGAATAAAAAAAAAAAAGACCATGCTTGCTTACAAGTTTACATTACAGTTGGAAAAACACAAACGTAGACCAGTATAAAAAGAAAAGAAGGGTCACAAAATATAAGCTTCCTAAGCACGCCATACATCATTTTGATGTCAGATAATTGGAGAAATATATTTTAAGAGAAATGTATCATGAGGAAACGTTTCATAATTGACATATATGATCAATATGTCAAATGGTGCAGACAAAATTTCACCTATAATGGTTGATCATTCAAAGGTTATGAGTAAAAAGAGTGATACAGTATAATTGCCTGGAATACATAACTATACTTCCACCTTCAAATTACAGTGCTATTAGTAGGAGTTTGACTTGACAAGCAGAGAACAAGGATTTTCTGCCTTATGATTTCTTTATGCTGCCTGCAGTCTTCATGCCCATTGTATGTAATTAACTAAAATTAAATTTACAGCAAAGGTCATGTCACTTTAAAATCTCTTAATAACAAAAATAAGATGATTAAGAAATCTGCATAAATTTTCTTAGCATGCCCTAATGCAAATCTTTCTATTGCTTTTTCAAAGCCATATATTCCCTTTCAATCCATGTTTTGAAAAAAGAACAAATTAAACCTAGAAGACATAGAAGGAAAGAAATAGTAAAGACAACAGTAAAAAATGGTCAAAGGAAAACCAAACCATGGGAAGAATGCACAAAGACAAAAATTGATATTTTTGGGAAGATTAATAAAAGTCATAAGGCTCTAACAAGATTGTTCAAGAAAAAAATCAAAAATAATTTATCAATATCAGCAATTAAAGAGGAGACCATCACAGATTCTCACATATATTAAATTAATAAAAAAAATGTTAACAACCATAGGACAATAAATTTGACAACTAAGATGAAATCGACAGGTTCCCCAATACATATAAAGTACCCAAAATAACACAAGAAGAAACAGAAAATATTAATAACCCTATATTTTTTAAAGAAATTACATTCATAATTTAAAACCTTCGCACAGAGAAAACTCCATGCCCTCAGGGCTTCACAAGTGAATTCTACCAAAATTTAAGGAAGAAATAATGTCAGTTTTACACATAAACTCTTTCAGAAAATACAGAAATAAAAAATGTTTTCCAATTTGTTTTATGACACAAAGTTACCCTGATACCAAAATCATAGAGAATCATCTTTTTCCAAGAAAAGGAAACTACAGATGAATATCTCTTATGAACACTGATTTGCAACCCCTTAAAATATACTGGTAAATCAAATTCATCAAAAATATATCACAACCAAATGGGATTTATCCCATTTAGAAGGTTATTTGAAAATCAGTTGTAATTGACCATGTTGATGAATTGAAAAAGAAAAACTATATAATCAGCCGCTCAATAGATGCAGAAAAATCTTTTTGAAAAAGTCAACATCTATTCATGATTTAAAAACAAAAACACTTAGCAAAGTTGAAATAGAAGAAAACTTTCTCATTCTGAAAAGGGGCAACAATATAAACCCTTCACCTAACATCATACTCAATGGTAAACTAAGAACAGACAAGAGCTACAAGCAGTTTTATATACACGGATGCAGACAAAGTCTGCAGTTAGATTCAGGCAACTTAATTATCTAATAAAACAAAAAAATAATAATTTTCAAAGAATGTGACAGAATCTAGAGTAGCTACAACAATGTCCTATATCCAATCACAGAAATAGCAGCATAGCAAAGAAACTGAAGAGTAACCCATACTCAGGCAAAAAAGCAGTCAACAAAAACGAACTCCAAGTATGTCCAGATGTTGAATTTTTAAATGGGCAGAAGACTTAAAGAGACACTTCACAAAAGGAAATATGAAGTTGGCTAATAAGCACAGGAAAATGTGCTCAACATCATTAGTCATCAAGGAAATGCAAATTAAAACCAACGTGAGATGGCAATTCATAACAAATAGAATAGCTAACAAAAAAACTAACAATACCAAATATTGGCAAAGATGTGGAGCATCTCTCATATGTAAAGTCAAAATAGTACAAGGCCTTTGGAGAAATATTTGGCAATATCTTATAAAGTTAAACATACATTGACTCTATGATGCAGCAATTCCACTCTTGGGTATTTACTTAAGAAAAATGAAAGCATATGGCCACAAGTAGACTTGCACAAAAATGTTAATATGAGTTTTGTTTGTAATAGACAAAAATGGGAAGCAGCCAAAATGTTCATCAACAACAGAATGGAGAAACAAATTACAATATAGTCAACTGGTACTCAGAATCAAAAATCAGCAAACTAATGATACATACAACAATATGATTGAGCCTCAAAACCATTATGTCAAGCCAAAGAAGCAAGACACAGAAAAGTAGATATATGATTGCATTTATATGAAGTGCCAGCATAGGCAAAACTAAGCTATGGTGATGGAATTACAGGGGCAGGGAAAGGGAGAGTATCTGGAAAGGGATATGGAATTTCCTGAGGTAATAGAAATGTTCTACATTGGGAGCAGCGGTGGCTCAGACCTGTTGTCCTGGTGCATAAGGAGGCGAGGTTTAGGCGTTCGAAGCCAGCCTGGGCAACATACAAACCTCTCATCTATATAACCAAGAAATGTTCTACATCATTATTGTTGTGTTATTTGATATACATTTATCAAATTCCATTGAAATGTAAGCTTAAAATCTGTTATTTTACTGTGTGTAAACTGTACGTAAGAAAGAATAATTTTTCAAAGCTACATTTAATTTTATAGCCCTAACATTTTCTTAGTTACACTTGAAAATAACTAGTTGGCTTTTGAAAAAAAAATATTCCACTGAAAACTTTGATCACAGAAATCTTTTCATACAGTTTGTGTCTGCTGCTATAGAATCCTGAGAACTTACACACACACACACACACACACACACACACACACACACACACATTAGACTGACCCATGTGAATATAACTTTCCTGGCTCCTGCTTCCTTACCATCAAGGAGGGTATGGAAATGACGTGAGTTACTTGGGGAGAATATCTGCTTTCCTGATAAGATACTTATGTTTTTATTTATTTATTTACTTATTTTTTCCTTTTTCTTTCATTTTTTTAATTATTATTATTATACTTTAAGTTTTAGGGTACATGTGCACAATGTGCAGGTTAGTTACATATGTATACATGTGACATGCTGGTGCGCTGCACCCACTAACTCGTCATCTAGCATTAGGTATATCTCCCAATGCTATCCCTCCCCCCTCCCCACACCCCACAACAGTCCCCAGAATGTGATGTTCCCCTTCTTGTGTCCATGTGTTCTCATTGTTCAATTCCCACCTATGAGTGAGAATATGCGGTGTTTGGTTTTTTGTTCTTGCGATAGTTTACTGAGAATGATGATTTCCAACTTCATCCATGTCCCTACAAAGGACATGAACTCATCATTTTTTATGGCTGCATAGTATTCCATGGTGTATATGTGCCACATTTTCTTAATCCAGTCTATCATTGTTGGACATTTGGGTCGGTTCCAAGTCTTTGCTATTGTGAACAGTGCCACAATAAACATACGTGTGCATGTGTCTTTATAGCAGCATGATTTATAGTCCTTTGGGTATATACCCAGTAATGGGATGGCTGGGTCAAATGGTATTTCCAGTTCTAGATCCCTGAGGAATCACCACACTGACTTCCACAATGGTTGAACTAGTTTACAGTCCCACCAACAGTATAAAAGTGTTCCTATTTCTCCACATCCTCTCCAGCACCTGTTGTTTCCTGACTTTTTAATGATTGCCATTCTAACTGGTGTGAGATGATATCTCATTGTGGTTTTGATTTGCATTTCTCTGATGGCCAGTGATGGTGAGCATTTTTTCATGTGTTTTTTGGCTGCATAAATGTCTTACCTTTTTAAAAAAGGTCTTCTGGAGAGAGGGCTTTAAAGCAAAGAATAGAAAGAATTGCAGGCCCCATGAAAGGACGAAATTAGAATTAGTGAGGCCCCAGAAGATCTGTCAAAAGATACCACATAGACTGCCATTGCTTCTTTGTTTAGAAAGGTGTAGACATAGCCACACATTGCAGAGGACCAGCTGGATGAAGCTCTAATTCTGGAATCCAGAAAGTAAATATCTAATTGGCAATATTTGTTATGAAAAGTTATGCTCCCAATTAGCTGAGGTTTTTGGAAAAGATATATTCAGATTGAAAAGTAAACAAAAATGTATTGTTTGCTTTCACTTTATTCAAAAAATGACTAAAACTTTATCTTAAAATCTATATATGGAATCTACTCTGTATTTGACTATGAAATATTCTATTGAATTTCAGCAGTAAAAGGAAATTCCTGCCACTGATGGTGAAATCATCATGAACTTATACCTAGACCATAAATATGTTTTCAAATTAAACAACTCTTTTCCAGATATGATAAAGCTTGAAACCACATTCTTGTCATTTTGACCTTTTACAAAACTAGACTTATTAGAAGACCTAAAAGCACCCAACATATGTGGTTATATCTTTATTTGTTATAGCCTACTTCTTACCAATGTCCTTCCTATTACTAATATGTGTGTGTTATAATCCTCTGTTAATAATATGAGTTATCTGTCATTGGTTCCACAATACAGAATAATAAATACTGTTGGGAAAACAAGCTATAGTTCTCTGTTTATGTTGAATCCAAAGTTTGCCATTTACTCACTGTAAAGGAGTATATTCCATATGTTGCATGGCCTCTGGCCTCAGTTTCCTCATCTGAGTTAAACTGAGATGAGGAAACTCATCTGAGTTAAAAAGGGGGTAATAATAGTACATTCTTCACAGGGTTATTGCAAAGAGTAAAGTAGAATTGAATGGAAAAAAATTCAGCACCTTAATATCTCCTTGACATTTCAATTGGATTCTACCAATAACTCTATAAAAGTAATCTACCAATAACTCTAGAGTAATCTACCAATAACTCAATAAAGCACAGAGAACAGGGGCCTTATCTTTCCATACTCCTCCCTCCTTCATGACAGTACCCATAGAAGAGGAACTTTGTGTTTCTATAATGCTAAAAGCCATAAAAATATTTTTTAAAAGGAAAGACTCTAGCTATATACGCTATGGCTAAGTCTGTCATCCATTTATTCATTTACATAGTTTTGAACTTTAGAATCAAGACTTCTGATTTCAGTTGAGAAGTGTGCAGCAAATAATTCTCTAATCAAATTGTACTAATGTAAAAAGCAAGGCAAAACCCTTCAGGATCTCCGGCTAGGCAAAGAGTTCCTAGACGTGACACCAAAAGTATGATTCATAATAGAAAAACATAAGTTGAACCAGGAAGGAAGGAAGGAAGGAAGGAGGGAGGGAGGGAGGGGGGAAGGGAGGAAAGAAGGAAGGAAGGAAGGAAGGAAGGAAGGAAGGAAAGACACGTGTAACACACCCACCTGCCCACCCACCATTAGGTTTTGTTTTTTTTTTAACTGATGATAAAATGTCAGGGATGTGGATAAGATGTCTTTCAAGGAGCCAAATTCTTTGGGATCCAAGTTAGAGAGAGCTGGTTGCTTTGTTCACAACAAAAGGCTTTGAGAAGCCAAAAGGTGACTTACTAATTCTACAAAGAATTTACCAGAAGGAAGGAAATGTAGCATCAGTGAATGATGCCAGTAACCAACACCTGAAGAAATCATCAGCTGAATACCAAAACGGGGCAAACTGAATAGTGGAGAAAGATGTGTCAAAATTGGGCATGGAATAAGGTATAAAGTAGGGAAGAGATGATAAGGAATTTATAATAAATCTCTGAAGTATTGGCTATTGCTTTATGTATAACTTGTCATGTTCCTGCAGGAATAGGATCAGGTCTTAAAGAGTTGCCTGTGGGCCATCCTAAACTGTTAAATGCATTAGGAATGATGTGTTAGATGTGTTAGAAAACTGTTAGATGAATTCAAAGTAATTGTTACTAATTACTTCACAAAGTGATTTTGAGGGCTAATGAGAGAGCATATTTAAATCATCCAACAATGTTCAAACTGCTATTCTTTAACATGAAATAACTTCCTCCCATCATACTACTAGAACAAAACAAAAACATAGTCGCAAATAAACAGCCTTAACAGAAAAGAGACAAGACAGCATAATTTTTTAAACTGTCAAATAGGTTGACAGAAGAAAATACTTATAATAGTGAATATAAGTGGCCTAAATGCTCCCATCAAGTCATAGAATTTAAGACTGGTTTAAAAAATCGAATCTGAGTGTATATTTCTTATCAAGTCACCAAAGGTGAAAAGATACAGAAATTATCAAAGTACAGTGTCAGATAAATTTTTTTCAATTTAACTTTTTAAAAACTAGGCACAACAATGTAAATTTAGAAAAATTGGAGTTTGGAGTTTTTCTAAAATCATCAAATTATAAAAGGTCATTATAACTGATAATTCATAATTCACAAATAGTTAATACGCACAAAATAGGATAAATAAAAATAGCATAAAGTAAGAACTATTCAAAAGTAAAAGGGAAAGAAGAACATTTGTAATCCAGTCCTATAGGTCTACAACAGATTCAATAAACAAAAATTATAAAAGGGCTTAAAGAAGAAAAAATAATATGATTAGAAAAATCATTATAAAAGACATTAAAAGAAAAATGCAAAATGAAACATGAGCTTTGAGTTTAAAAAAAAAAAGGCTGATATATAGGAGTGGACAGGACAGTCAGAGATGCTGGCCAAAGGGAAGGGAGGAACTGTTCAGAGACAAAGTCAGGGTTCAGAGGAGAAGCTATCCAGTATCTACAGGAAAAGAAAACTGAGTCATTAAAATGCTCATAATAAGTGCCTATATGGTAGGTAGAAACTGACTCCTTTTACTGCACAGTCAACACTCAATAAAATACACCACTTCTGATACCAGATGTGTAGGAGGTTTTCCCCACACACCAAGCATTTCACCAGCAGACACCAACTGGGTTTTCTGCAATTTAACTCAGTTTTGATGTTAACTGGTTATACTGTCACAAAACCCTTATCACTACTCAGTACCATCAGTATTTTTTCTGACAGGAAATCACAATTTATTTTTAAAAATTTCCTATACTAATAAATTTAAATTTTCTACATATGTTCCTTGACTAATTGCATTTTTATCTAATAAAATTTCAGTCTTTTGATTATTTAAAAACTGGATGTTTTTTTCTTAACATAGGGTGTGGACTCCATCAAAAGAAAACATTCATTCAGTGTGTTAGTCAGCTAGCACTGCTGTAACAAAGCACTACAAATGGGTTAGCTTAGCAGGAATGTATCTTCTTCCTACAGCTCTCAAGGTTACAAGTCTGAGGCCAACATGTCAGCATGTTAGCTCCTTCTGCGGTCAGTGAGGGAAAATCTGTTCCATGGCTCTCTCCTAGCTTCTGGTGTTTTGTTGGCAGTCTTTGGCATCCCTTAATTTGTAGATACATCACTCCAATCTCTGCCTCACATTCACATAGCATTCTTCCTGTGTGTATGTCTGAGTCTCCAAATTTCCCCTTTATATAAGTACATATTAGGGCTCCATCCTATGCCCGTATGGTCTCCTCCTAACTAACTAGATCTGCAATGTCTCTATTCCAAATCAGGTCACATTCTGAGGGTAAAGGCGGTTGGGGACTTCCACATAAAGACTTTGGGGGGACATACTTCAACTCATATCATTCAGTAATTCACTTATCAATATATTTAGGCAGAGAACATTTATGTCATGAATCCTACAATGCTTAGCCTTATGTTGTCATTGGAAGGAAAGAGGAAACTTCCAGTTCCTGCCCTCACTGAGCAGACAGTTGAGATGTGGGACCTGCCATTCTGTTTTGCTCACTCTGCTCCAGCCACACCAAGCTCCTCCATGTTCCTGGGCACAGTTAGCAAGCTCCTTCCTCAGGGACTTTTCACCTTCTCTTTCCTCTGCCTGGAACGCTCTTCACTAGATCCTTCAATTCACCACCTCTGTGAGATCTTCCCTAACTATCCCATTTAAAATAGTGACACCACTCATCTCACACTGCTTATTTCTCCTTCTAATTTTCTCAAAAATGCTTCTCATCTTCTAATATAGTCTATAACTTACTTCTTTGTTTTGTTTATTTTCTGCCTCCCCACTAGAATTAAACAACTTGAGAATAGGGATTTTTGTCTGTTTTGTACACTGCTGTAACCCCAGGGCCTAAAATCATGCTCAGATAATGATGATGCAATGGATTAAGTGCTATGAGAGATACTACAGCCTTAAGGTTTAAGTTCAATAATCTCTTATTTATTTTATACATATTTATTGAGCACCTACCTATTTAGGTACTGCTTGTGTAGTAGTGAGTCATACCAAATTCACTTTCATTTTTTTATTCT
Organism: Homo sapiens; assembly: GCF_000001405.40. Taxonomy (NCBI): domain Eukaryota; kingdom Metazoa; phylum Chordata; class Mammalia; order Primates; family Hominidae; genus Homo; species Homo sapiens. Next base: position 116,029,547 of record NC_000006.12, read on the forward strand.
CTCTTTGCTCTTCAGAATAAAAGCTTCCTAAATCATCAATTTAATTCAGTATTGTTCTATTGCATAAAGTAAGGGCCAGGCACCGTGCAAATTATTTACATTAACTATTCATCTATTCTACAGAACAACCCTATAAGGGAAGCACTCTTACAATCACTTCCTACACAAGGAAACTGAGATGTTTTAAGCCTTTTCTGAGGTCAAATTAGCAAGCCACAGTGCTAGAATGCAAATCCAGATCTATCAGTCACCCCTTTTCCATCTGAAGGTCCTTTCATTCATCATCATCTATCTAAAAATCAAAATACTCTGATATTGTGCCCTTAATCCCTTTTTTAACCTGATTTTTAAGGAAAATTTTTTCCAATTATTTTGTATTTTTGTTTGTTTTAGTTTAACTTTATTAATTCCAGATCCTATTTATTTTCTAGCCATCTCAGAAAGTACTGTATAAATTCTTACTCTTTGAAATTGAATTTCTTCATGGCCTACAATGATCAGTTTTTATTTATGAACCACAGACCCCTCGGAAGAAGGTATAATCCATATTTGTGTGGTACAGAGTTGGTATCTGAAACAGGTGTTTTCCTGGCCTCATAGTAGAACAGAGTTTGAGATTATAATGAGCCAGCCACTCCACAATTCAGACCCTCTCAATTTCTTTTTGATCCTTAGTCAGGGACAGAGGTAAGGGAGAGAGGATGATCCCTCAGGTGTCCCATAAAATGCTAATTCCCTTGGTCCAGTGTGCCTGACCACTCGTGGTTTTGCCAACTTACTTTGGGGAATCCGAGAACTCAGCCAAAATCATTTCCCAAATATTAAAATAAAATATGCACCTAGCGCTCCTATCACTCAGAAAATGATAAGAGTTTTAGGAGCTCTCTGGCACAAAGCTCCTAATCCTTTGGAATTTCCTGGGTGATAGGAGCATCTTTTGTTCTAATGGGGTAACACATGGTGGGCTTCTGAATCAGGGCTGGTCACCAGAAAGAACAAGCCATGAGGAGGGAAGAGCTGGAGATCTAATAATTGATCATACCCACGTGATAAACCCTCCATAAAAAAGAACATGTGGATGTGTCTGGAGGGTAGTGCATTTGGGGAGGGTGTGGAAACCCTTCATTGCTTTCCCCATACCTCACCCTGTGAATCTCTTTCATCAGGCTGTTCATCTGTATCCTTTACAATATCCTTTGGAATACATTGGTAAACGTGTTTCCCTGAGTTCTGTGAGCCATTTGAGCAAACTAATCAAACCCCAAGAGTGGGTCATGGGAAGCACCCAATTTATAGCTAGTTGGTCAGAAGCAAAGGTCACAACCTGGGGATTGTAGCTGGTATCTGCAGTAGAGGACACTCCTGTGGGACTAAGCCCTTAAGCTGTGCAGTCAGTAGGATCCTTTACAAACATATTTGGCAATAAGCAGTAAGAGCCTTAAATCATTCATTGTTTGGCTCAGTAACTCAGATTCTTGGACTCTATCCTTAAAAAAATCGTGCAAAACATGGAAAAATCTTTATATGGGAAGAAATTTGTTGCTATGCTATTCAAACATTAGAAAAATAAAAAGTGTAAGAAAGTCTAAATGCTAACTGTTAAGATGAGGGTTAAATTATGATTAATTCACTGACAGAAATATGAAAATTAGAAAAATTAAGCTGAAGACTTGGTAGCACCTTAAAATGCATAGAAGTAAAAAAGTGGAATATGTACACTGATTACTTTCATGCAGAAAACATAAGCACATGAAAACTAAGATATTTTACTTTTGTATAATAAATTTGTTATACATATATCACCTGAAAAATATATTTTAGTAACATTCAAAAATGTCATTATAACATAACATATTACTTTGTGCCAAAAATACTTCAGTGAATTTCAGAGAGGAGGAAAATCACATCTAGCTCTAATGGTTGAGAAGAGATGTAATGCAGGAAGTTAGATTTAAAGTGGATATTGAACAATTTGGATGGCAGAGAAATGAGTACACATTCACAACAATACTTTTAATTTATGTTCCAAACTCCACATCACCCCAATTTGGAGTAAGAAATCAACTCAATGGATCTGTGTACATCTAAGCCAATCAGAATTAGAGTCCATGGACTCCCACAAAGCCATGTGACCCCAAGTCTGACATCAAAATTACATCAAGATCAGCTAGAAATAGATTCAGTTAGGTTTCTTTCAATTTGTTTCTTAAAAGATGAAAGTGTTATAAAAATACACCATGTCTTGGTTATCTTTAACCAATTTATCTATGAAATATGAAACAGCAGATTAGGAATAAAATTTATTTTGAGAAACAATATGATCATTCACATGAAAACTGTCCCAAACTCTCAGATATTTTTAAATTCCTAAAAGATTTTCCCAGACTTACAATTATTTCTCATTACTTCATTCTAACAGACTGTCACCATAATTCTGACATTATAACTAAATTCATATCCAAAATATACACAAGAGGAAGCTGTAGAAAAATTTCCAACATAAGGTTCCTTCCTAATAAAATGAATCCCTCATTGTATTCTAAGGCCTACAGGGTCAGGAACTGTGTATCATTTCTCAGATTCATCCACATATGGAGCACATGGAAGACAATAAATTTTTTCTGAGAAGATCAACACAGGTAAAAATCATAAAGTGAAAGACTAATAGGCAATATTATAGAAATATTTTTAAAATTTTGTGTAGCAAAAAAACATAATAAAAGTCAAAAGGCAAGCTAAAACTGAAAAACATTATCTGCAACACATGAGAAAAAAGAGATGCTTTTCTTACAATGTTCTCTTACATGTAAATGAGAAAAGATTGACATTTAAGATAAAAAGAGGCAAACATGCAGCCTATCCCCAACACCACGATATCCTAAGGAAGGAGTGATCATTACAGAATAAGTATAGAGAAAAAAAATCAAGATTCACATGGCAGGTTTAATAAGTTTGCTTAATAATACAGAATTTGAAGAGAAATCTTTAACAAACATGTGGTGTATTGATGAATGTGCATAATCCACTCAGCATTGTTATTACAATCCATGTTTAAACACTTTACATTGTTAATTAATGTTGGTTAATATTGGAAGTTCTGTTAATTACAACTAAAATGTCAAGTAGCATTACTGCAAATACATATTCATTTATATTTCATGGCCATGTTTAATTTCTTGAGGGAGGGAGAAACATCTTTGAGATGCAGAGAGTAATTTTATGTAATAGCACCGCAGAATTGATTCACATTGTTTTTCCATGTTTACAGCTTTTTTGGGGTGTGTATATATTGCATTCAATTCATTAAAAAAATTCTTCTTTGCAGACATAAATAATGGAATTCATGCCTGTGATAAGCAAAAAAATAAAAATAAAAATTTTTAAATTATGGAAATAAGAGAAAAGCAAATGCAATCAAGGGTTGTGAAATGCCTAGGACTGAAATCTAGAAATCTGTTTATTAATAACGTAGCCTTTTGTTGTCATTTTTAGAAATACTAGAGACTATTTTCACCTCTCAGATTGTCCCTTCTTGCACTCAGCATACTTGAGCAAGAAAGACTGTGTTCTCCAGACTCTATGATGGATCACAGGCAGCCAGTTATTAATAAGATCAATTTGAACTGCCAGGCAGGATGAAACATCAGCACAAGCTAATTAAAAGGTTACATTTCAATTCAAATATCTAAGTAAGAATAATAGTCATTACCACAATATCAATAGACTTTAAAACTGGCTATGTTTACCAATATCCTCAGGATAAATGTACACATACATGGACCAAAAAAGACACTTTCCCTTTAATATAAAAATAAATTACTTAGGGATAATTTGTCCTAAGCCCATAGATCAGTGGTTCAGGATAGAGCAAGGTATTACATCTATGAGACCAGTTCTTCAGCTTTTAAATTCTAATTGAGCCAGTTATTTTTCTCTTTATTTTGTACAAATTTATTGAACAATAAATTTTAAAATCTAGGCTCTAAACAAATTTTATAAAATCATTTTTCAACTAGGTGTCTACTTTTCTGCCTCATAAAAGTCCTGTGGCAGAAGTGGAAGAAGCCAAGGAAAAAGAAATGAGGAATTAAGTCAGAGAAGTGATGGTGTAAATGAGAGATAATTAGGGCCTTGAAAGGCCCTGCAAGGAGACTCAGAAGTCAACTCTAAGTCAGAGAGAAAACTGCTGGAGGATTTTGAACAGAGAAGTAATTTTAATTTTTTGGCATTTTAATGGGGTCACTCTGCCTGCTGGGTTGAGCATAGACTGTATTTAAGGTAAGGGTTACATCACAGAGGCCAGTTAGGAAACTATCACTCTAAGCCAGATTGAAAGTTCAAGGTAGGTTGGACCAGATGGGGACAGGAGCTGGTGAGAGATGGTTCATTTGTGGACACTGCTGAAGGAAGAGGCAAAGCAATGTGTCTGGAAATGAGGTATGAAAAGAAAATGGAAATCAGAACGATTCCAAGGTATTCGGCCTGAGCAAATGGAGGATATTTGCTGTTGACAGAGCTGGGGTAACCTTTGCGGGGCCAGGTCATGGGATGAATGCTCCTGCATTCATGGGATGAACAGAGGTTGTTTACTGGGTAAAAACATACAGTTAGACAGAAGGAATAAGTTATAATGTTTAATAGTACAGCATGATGTCTATACTTAACAGTAATTGCATATTTCAAAATACCTAGAAGAGAGAATTTGGAATGCTCCCAACACGGAGAATTGATCAGTGTTTGAGGTGATGGATATCCCAATTACCCCGACTTGATCATTATATATTGTATGCATGAATCAAAATATCACATGTACACCATAAATATGTATAATTATTATGTATCAAAAATAATGTAGATAACTAAAATGAGGACTAAGAGCTGACCAACAAGTATTACGATATGGAATTTCCTTGGTGACTTTTGATAAGAGCAGCTTCCCAGAGTAGTAAGAAGAATAGTCTAACTGCAGTGTGTTCAAGAGAGAATGAGTCAGCAAAATTCAGATTGTGGGAAATTCCACAGGCAAAGGAAATAAATTGCAAGGAAACTAACGCAGAGAGAAGATCCATATTAAACAAGATTAAAAGAGACAAATCAATTATAACAAATGGACTTTATGTGGACTCACAAGCAACCACAAGACATACCCACAAAAATCTGGATTCAAATAAACCATAAAAAACAAACTATAAAACTGTGAGAAGTTTTACCCTGGATACTTGGTAATATTAGGGTTATTTTATTTTTTAGGAGAGATTATTTTATAATTATGTTTGTTCATTAAGAGTATTTCATGTATTTTAGATATACTTACAAAATTATTTACAGATAGAATTATATGATGCCTAGGATTTGCTTCAAAATAACACCATAGTGGATGGAAATTGGGTGGGAAGAAGAAATATTAATATAAGGATGAGATAAGATTGCCATATGTTGAGAATTGTTGAAGTTGAGTAATGGTACCTAGTGGTACTGTTCTCTATCCTTTTTATATGTTTGAACTTTTTTATAATAAAAATTTTAAAATTGTGGTGTGGGGGATCAGAGAGAGAAGAAAAAAATAGGACCCTGAGTATAGGCAACTTTTTCAGAGTTTTGCTATATAGTAGAGATTCGTGTGCAGTAATCAGAGGGGAAGTAGAGTCAAGCGTTGTTTTTAAGAGTTAAGAATACTGATTTTGTTTGCTGCTGCTTGGCCTTCCAAGAAGAACTTAGTCCTGACAAATGATTTAATTCTTTACTAATGAGAATTTAAGTTATAGTGGTGACCTCAAGAGAGGTCAAAAATTGTTCTAAGAAATCAGTACACAAATATCCAATTTCAGTTGACCTCACAGGATGCTTAAGGATCATCCACATTATAACATTTCTAACAGTCTTATTCTTTTCCAATATAACTACAACCATTACTCACATCTACATATCCATCAAAAACACACATTCAGAAACTCTCTACGTAATAACATTGAATGAAAATTCTGTTTCAAAGTTATAGTCTGCTAATATAACTCACTAGCAAAGTATTAGCACATGACAGCTAGTAAATTTGGATTAAATATAACCAATGCCCAAATCAAAAAATGAAGAAGCAAGGAAAATTGTCATACGCTGTATGTAGCTATTCCTTAAAATCAAACTATCAACTCATTGGCTTATTAGTAGAATTAATTCTTAAACGTTTTCCTTAATCACTACTGCACTCACTTTTTTTTCAACATTGCTGGCTAACAAGTACTCAGTTGTTGCAACAACTACCCGTAAATAAATAGCGAGCAGGTGAATATCTGTTTCTATGGTTTCTATTTACAGTAGAGAGAGATTGTTTGACACTTGCTACTTTCCTTTTATAATAGAAATTTAAGTATTACCTTCTCCCTATTCTTATCCTTCTTTTCCTCCATCCTGTAATGCTATCTATTTTCTTTCTCTTCATCTGGCTCTCTTTCTCAATCACCATTACCTCTAAGTTCCATTAAAAGTGATTTAATTTCAGTTTTCCATTCTAGGAAAAATGTCTGGACAGAAAAGGAACAAGCAGTGGGAGAGCTGCCTGCACTTTTTTTAAAAATAAGTTTCAGCAAATATACTTTGCTTCTTAAACTAGATCAGCAACTTAAGAAGAAATGACAGAGTTTCCTTCTTTGCTTAGACAAAGCCTCTTTCTATGACAAATCTTCGAGTAACAGGGATAGTTCCCTCCACCTCCATCTTTCAGCAGTGTCTGATATCTGTTTGATAAGATAAGCTTCAGGAATGCAGTGAGCCAATTACTTGGGTTGCCCTCAGCAAATATACTTACTTACTGCTGGATCAAACTAAAACATTCATTACTTATACCCCTATTTCTATACATGGTACAAAATTACAGCAAACAAAAGTTGGTAAAATATAATGTTACATTGATAACAGAAAACATGAGTTTGAAAAATAATTTGGGATCATTTTTCTCATAATACCCTCTGTACAAAATTGAATCACCCAAGTGTGCTCAATGACCTGTCAGTGTACAATGATGCAATAGAAATGGTAAAACAAAATCCTTTATATCATCCCAAAACTGTTGAGCAAAGATTCCTGAGAGATAGTCTTCCCTTGCTTTTGAGAAAATTAGCTTCTGGGAAGTGACTTTCAAAGTCAAACAAGGTGGTAATATTCTTTTGAAAAGGAAAAAAATAATACTTTATTCATTAAATAAGTAAAATAACGTTACAACATAGATATCAATGTACTTAACTGTAAATTAAATGTACAGATATGTTGAGCAAATTAAATGAGCACTGTCCTATGTCAACATTGGAACTGTGCAGAAACATATGAACCTTCTCTAATCCAAGTTCAATTATGTATTCCTTTAACTCCTCAAAAAGCAATTTCATATTCTACATGTGAGCATGCCAAGAGAAAAAAAGTTACTTTTAGTATTATTAACATAGTATTTCTTTGAATATTAAGTCAGCAAATAACACATATTTCATGTTTGTCCTAATGGAGAATGTCAGGCACACCCAAATGTATCACTGCTTTCTTTGTAGACTTTCTGAATCACTCAGCCAAGCAAAGCTGTTAACTTACTCTAATACCCTACAGAAGCCTTTGGTTTTACCACCTTTAAAATGCCTGTACAGCCAATTTCCCATTAGCAAATATAAAAGATTTTTTATATTACTATTAAGTTGCTTTAACAAATTTAATTTTAGGTCCCTGAAGTCTCTTACTTGGTTCCACTGCCTGTACAACAGGTGTTCGTATTTTTGTGCATTGCTTTCTTTTTACATTAAGAAAGATAAACAACACCAAAGTGTAATAGATAATTTGGTTGATATAAAGAAAGTAGAATGAGGGAAGAAATGGGCTTAATTCACTTTCAATGACAATGATTAGAATTTCATTTTCTACACTACAGACCCAATGGTAAAGGAGCAAAAGCTCCAGGGACTTTAAAAATATAATTAAAATAATATAAGCACAGAATCATGAACTTTCTGGCATGCCCATATTTGTCTGACTTATTTCCATACTGAGCACAATATCCACATCCAGCCTTCCCTCAGCTACTGCATACTATTATCTGTCTACTCGTAAATCCCTTCTTATTCTCTATCGTTTCTCACACATTCTCACTTTACTTGTTTTCCTTAAACATTAGCTTATTTCTTTTATTTTTGCCTTTGGGATCATTTGTTTAATAAACATCTTCTTTTCTAATGTTTATTAAAAATTCACCTGCCTTTTTTACCCACATTTTAAACTAATGTGTCTCCTCTTTTTCTTTTGATTGTTTTCTCTACACCTCATATTTCTCCTCTACTGCACCTGGGTCTCATTCAGGTAGAGTGAAGAAAGGCCCAACTGAAGACACTTTCCTGCCTTGCTTTGCAGATTTGGAGGAAAACAGAATGAATCCTACACATGTGTACAAACCCGCAAATGAGGGGAAAGCACAGGGAGCTTGTGTCAAATTCTCCAGCAAAGATGTGCACAGTTAGAATTGAAAAGCAACGGGATAAACAAGGTAAGAGGCAGGGGAGACAGCACCAATCAGCATGAGAGCCACAGAAGCAAAATGGGAGCCAGGTAAGGAAGTAGCTAGAGGAGGTTTCTGGCCAACATTCATTAATTACAATTCTGTCAAACAGCCTGTCATGTTTGGTTTACAATGAGTCTTCCAACCAAGCTCAGAAAGGCAATTTAAAAATGTATTTTTTAATTAGTATATAGATTAAGATATAAAAAATTTTTTCTTTATAATTTAAGGTTCTAAAATGTAAAACATGTCAAGACTGATCATTATTATTCATGTATTAGAGTAGGCTAAAATAGCAGATGCCTATAAAACTCCACATATGTTCTATAGAATAACAATTTAAAAGAATTCAAAAAAAGAGAGTGTGAGAAGGAAGAAAATAAGCCAGACTTAAAGACAAATATGGTTATTATGAATAAGCATTAGCTGGACTCTGAGCTTCCTAGTGGCTAAAAATAAAGAAAACCATGATGTGTAATAAATTTTTAGTATCTGCTGTGAGGAAGCAATTCAACTTTTCAAGAGAAATGAACCTTAAGCTTTTGCCCATACTAATCTCACAACACAGGTTCTTACATTTTTTTTAACATGATACCTTTTAGAATATCATAAAACCTATAATCCCCAACCTAGAAAATCACTGAAGGCTGACGCTGACCTTCAGCACCTCAGCTCCAGCGCCATGGCGACCTCCAGGAAGTTCGTTGGGGGGAACTGGAAGATGAACCGACGGAAGAAGAGCCTGGGGGAGCTCATCCGCACTCTGAAGGCGGCCAAGGTGCCGGCCAACACTGAGGTGGTTTGCACTCTCCCCACTGCCTATACCGACTTTGCCCCAGAAGCTAGAGCCCAAGATTGCTGTGGCTGCGCAGAACTGCTACAAAGTAACTAACGGGGCCTTTACTTGGGAGATCAGCCCTGGCATGATCAAAGACTGCAAAGCCAATCGAGGGTCCTGGGGCACTCAGAGAGTAGGCATGTCTTTGGGGAGTCAGATAAGCTGATTGGGCAGAAAGTGGCCCATGCTCTGGCAAAGGGACTCAGAGTAATCGCTTGCACTGGGGAGAAGCTAGCTGAAAGGGAAGTGGCATCACTGAGAAGTTTGTTTTCGAGAAGAAAGAGGTCATCGCAGATAACGTGAAGGACTGGAGCAAGGTCGTCCTGGCCTGCGAGCCTGTGTGGGCCATTGGTACCAGCAAGACTGCAACACCCCAGAAGGCCCAGGAAGTACACGAGAAGTTCTGAGAATGGTGTCCAACATCTCTGATGTGGTGGCTCAGAGCACCCGTATCCATTTATGGAGGCTCTGTGATGGGGGCAACCTGCAAGGAGCTGGCCAGCCAGCCTGAAGTGGATGGCTTCCTCGTGGGTGATGCTTCCCTCAAGCCCTAATTCGTGGACATCATCAATGCCAAACAATGAGCCCCATCCATCTTCCCTACCCTTCCTGCCAAGCCAGGGACTAAGCAGCCCAGAAGCCCAGTAACTGCCCCTCCCCTGCACATGTTTCTGATGGTGTCATCTGCCCCCTCTTGCGGCCTCATCCAAACTGTACCTTCCTTTACTGTTTATATCTTCACCCTGTAATGGTTGGGACCAGGCCACTCCCTTCTCCACTTAGTATAATCGTTGGAACTAGACGTCACCAAGGTGGCTTCTCCTTGGCTGAGAGGTGGAAGGGGCAGGATTTGCTGCTGGGTCCCCTAGGCCCTAATGAGGGAAGGAGAGAAACCATCCTCTTCCTTCTTACACCCTGAGGCCAAGATCCTCCCCTCGGAAGCCATGAGTGCTGCCCTCTCCCACGGTGCCCGCGCCTGTGTGTGCTGTGTATGTGAACCACCCACGTGTGAGGGAATAAACACCTGGCACTAAAAAAAAAAAAAAAAAGGAAAAAGAAAATCAAAGAAATTTTATAGACATTTTCAAAGATTCATGAACTGTTTCAAGCCTATCCTTGGAACCTCTAGAAGTCCATGATCTACATATTAAGGATTCTTGTCATTAGAATGCACATGGGGGAAGTCTTAAAAGTCATAGTGAATAATGACAGCAGAAACTGCAAAATCTGTTTTAATGTCTTTCTTATTTAAGAGCATAATATTAAGGGATAATTTAGTGAAAATAATTGTGTAAAGAAGGGAAAGTCATATGTAAATGACTTTATGTAAAGAAGGTAAAACTACATATGTGTAATCACAATGTCTATATTTGACCTTATGGCCAGCATACTAGCTACCTTTATTTTTCATGGCATAAATAACTTCTAATAATTTCTTCTAATAATATCCTATGGAAGTATAAAATCTATAATACTCAAATAAGTAAATCTAATAGCAATCCATTTATAATTCTCTTACTATATTTTATAGTTTACTAACATACATTTGCAAACAATATATTATTTGGTTTTCCTTATTTGTGGGCTTTATAAAAATAGAATTATGTTACATGTAGTCTCTTGAAACTTTTTTCACCCAATATTATGCTACCAAATTGCACCCGTTATTATACATCACTCAATTCATTATTTTAATCTTGCATATTTTATTCAATAAATAAGCCATAAATTATTCCTCACCCATTAATAGATATTTGAATTGATTCCAGCATTTGCTATTAGAAATTTAGGTGGTATCAACATCTTCTGGGAAAAAAGATTTACTCTGACAATGGAAACGGGAAGAATTCATAGGCTCATTACTAGTAATAGTCTAAGTCTTGGGCTAGCTGGTTATATGGATGTTCATTAATTATTATGCTTTAGAACCTACCTGAAAGTTACATATATTATTTTGTATTTATAAAATATATTTTAAGATAAAATTGATAAACTAGAATATTTTATAATACTAAAAATTTTGGATAATGGAGATTCATGCTTTAAAAGATGGTAGAAATTTCCTTAAGCACCAAAATTTTCAAAAGTGAAAAATTATCTATTGGGATTCTTTGGTCTCCACTAATTACTATGTAATAATTTTGTTTTCTATCATTTTCCCGGGACCTACTAAATCAATAGCATGTCTTTCCATTTTCCTCAACTATCGCTTCCCTGAGTTAGACTTTGATAAAAGATAGCACAGAGTTCAAAGTGATTCATCATCAAAACCAGTACCTGTCTGTTTTGCTATAAACTATTGCATAACACAAATGCAAGGTATTGAGTTGCTTTTTTATTGTTTTTATCTGAAATGTCACTGTATTCTCTGGATTATAACAGCCTAAGGCTAAACAGAGGAATACTCTATAACCACTGTATACCAGAAAAGAAAACCAGGGCTTCTTAATTCATTCCCTATCTGTCTTCTAGGAAAGTGCAAAGAGGATCATGTGTTGTTCTTGTGTATAAAAGATTCCTTGAAGCATCTTGGATTAAGTCGTGCGCAAGATGGCTGAATAGGAACAGCTCCGGTCTGCAGCTCCCAGCAAGATCAACACAGAAGGTGGGTGATTTCTGCATTTCCAACTGAGGTACCCGGATCATCTCATTGGGACTGTTTAGACAGTTGGTGCAGCCCACAGAGGGCAAGCAGAAGAATGAGGCGTCGCCTCACCCAGGAAGCTCAAGGGGTCAGGGAACTCCTTACCCTAGCCAAGGGAAGCCGTAAGGGACTATGCCGTGAGGAACGGTGCACTCCAGCCCAGATACTACTCTTTTCCCACAGTCTCAGAAACCCACAGACGAGGAGATTCCCTTGGGTGCCAATGCCACCAGGGCCCTGGGTTTGAAGCACAAAACTGGGCAGCCGTTTGGGCAGACACCAAGCTAGCTGTAGGAGTCTTTTTCATACCCCAGTGGTGCCTGGATCACCAGCGAGACAGAACCGTTCACTCACCTGGAAAGGGGGCTGAAAGCCAGGGATCCCAGTGGTCTAGCTCAGCAGATCGCACCCCCACGGAGCCCAGCAAGCTAAGATCCACTGACATGAAATTCTTACTGCCAGCACAGCAGTCTGAAGTCTACCTGGGACACTAGAGCTTGGTCAGGGAAGGGGCATCCACCATTACTGAGGCTTGAGTAGGCGGTTTTTCCCTCACAGTGTAAACAAAGCCACCAGGAAGTTCGAACTAGGCAGAGCCCACCACAGCACTGCAAAGCCGCTGTAGCCAGATGGCCTCTGTAGCTTCCTCCTCTCTGGGCAGGGCATCTCTGAAACAAAGGCAGCAGCCCCAATCAGGGGCTTATAGATAAAATTCCCATCTCCCTAGGACAGAACACCTGGGGGAAGGGGCAGGTATGGGCACAGCTTCAGCAGACTTATACATTCCTGCCTGCCAGCAAAGGGAGGCCCACTAGACTAGCAGCAGATCTCTCTGCAAAAACCCCACATGCCAGAATAGAGTGGGGGACAATATTCAACATTCCTAAAGAAAATAATTTTCAACCCAAAATTTTATATCCAGACAAACTAAGCTTCACAAGCAAAGGAGCAATAAAATCCTTTACAGACAAGCAAATGCTGAGAGATTTTGTCATCACCAGGCCTGCCTTACAAGAGCTCCTGAAGGAAGTACTAAATATGGACAGGAAAAACGGGTTTCAGACACTGCAAAAACATACCAAATTGTAAAGACCATCGACACTGTGAAGAAACTACATCAACTAATGGGCAAAATAACCAGCTAGCATCATAATGACAGGATTAAATTCACACACAACAATATTAACCTTAAATGTAAATGGGCTAAATGCTGCAACTAAAAGACACAGACTGGCAAATTAGATAAAGAGTAAAGACTCATTGATGTGCTGTATTCAGGAGATCCATCTCACGTGCAAAGACACATACAGGCTCAAAACAAAGGAATGGGGGAATATTTACCAAGTAAATGGAAAGCAAAAAAAAAAGCAGGGTTGCAATCCTAGTCTCTGATAAGACAGACTTTAAACCAATAAAAATCAAAAAAGACAAAGAAGGGCATTACATAATGGTAAAGGGATCAATGCAACAAGAAAAGCTAACAATTCTAAATATGTATGCACCCAATATAAGAGCACCCAGATTCATAAAGCAAGTTCTTAGAGACCTACAAACAGACTTAGACTCTCACACAATAATAGTGGGAGACTTTAACACCCACTGTTAATATTAGACAGACCAAAATGAGACAGAAAATTAATAAGGGTATTCAGGACTTGAACTCATCTCTTGACCAAGCGGACCTAATAAACATCTACACAACTCTCCACCCTGAATCAATAGATGTACATTCTTCTCAGCACCACATTGCACTTATTCTAAAAGTGATCACATAATTGGAAGTAAAACACTCCTTAACAAATGCAAAAGAATGGAAATCATAACAAACAGTCTATCAGACCACAGTGCAATCAAATTAGAACTCAGGATTAAGAAACTTACTCAAAACCTCACAACTACATGGAAACTGAACAACCTGCTCCTGAATGACTACTGAGTAAATAATGAAATTAAGGCAGAAATAAATAAGTTCTTTGAAACCAACGAGAACAAAGACATAACATACCAGAATCTCTGGGACACAGCTAACCCAGAGTTTAGAGGGAAATTTATAGCACTAAATGCCCACAGAAGGAAGCGGGAAAGATCTAAAATTGACACCCTAACATTGCAATTAAAAGTATTAGAGACGCAAGAGCAAACAAATTCAAAAGCTAGCAGAAGACAAGAAATAACTGAGATCCAAGTAGAACTGAAGGAGATAGAGACATGAAAAACCCTTCAAAAAATCAATGAATCCAGGAAGTGGTTTATTGAAAAGATTAACAAAATAGATAGACCGCTAGACAGACTAATAAAGAAGAAAAGAGAGAAGAATCAATTAGACATGAAAAGTGATAAAGGGGATATCACCACTGATCCCACAGAAGTACAAAATGCCCTCAGAGAATACTATAAACACCTCTACACAAATAAACTAGAAAATCCAGAAGAAATGGATAAATTCCTGGAAACATACACCCTCCCAAGTCGAAACCAGAAAGAAGTTGAATGCCTGAATAGACCAATAACAAGTTCCGAAATTGTGGCAGTAATTAACAGCCTTCCAACCAAAGAAAACCCAGGACCAGACGGATTCACAGCTGAATTCTACCAGAGGTACAAAGAGAAGCTGGTACCATTCCTTCTGAAACTATTCCAAACAATAGAAAAAGAGGCACTGCTCCCTAACTCATTTTATGAGGCCAGCATCATCCTGTGACCAAACTCTGGCAGAGACACAATAAAAAAAGAAAATTTCAGGCCAATATCCCTGATTAACATCAATGCGAAAATCCTCAATAAAATACTGGCAAACTGAATCCAGCAACATATAAAAAGTTATCCACCATAATCAAGTCGGTTTCATCCTTCGGATGCAAGGCTTACTCAACATATGCAAAACAATAAGCATAATCCATCACATAAACAGAACCAATGACAAAAACTACATGATTATCTCAATATATGCAGAAAAGTCCTTCAATAAAATTCAACACCCCTTCATGCTAAAAAATCACAATAAATTAGGTATTGATGAAATGTATCTCAAAATAATAAGAGCGATTTATGACAAACCCACAGCCAATATCATACTGAACGGGCAAAAGCTGGAAGCATTCCCTTTGAAAATTGGCACAAGACAAGGATGATCTCTCTCACCAATCCTATTCAACATGGTATTGAAAGTTCTGGCCAAGGCAATCAGGCAAGAGAAAGAAATAAAGAGTATTCAAATAGGAAGAGAGGAAGTCAAATTGTCTCTGTTTGCAGATGACATGATTGTGTATTTAGAAAACCCCACTGTCTCAGCCCAAAATTTCCTTAAGCTGATAAGCAACTTCAGCAAAGTGTCAATACAAAATCAATGTGCAAAATTCACAAGCATTCCTATACACCAATAACAGACAAACAGAGAGCCAAATCATGAGTGAACTCTCATTCACAATTGCTACAAAGAGAATAAAATACCTAGGAATACAACTTACAAGGGATGTGAAGGACCTCTTCAAGGAGAACTACAAACCACTGCTCAAGGAAATAAGAGAGGACACAAACAAATGGAAAAACATTCCATGCTTATGGATAGAAAGAATCAATATCGTGAAAATGGCCATACTGCCCAAAGTAATTTATAGATTCAATGCTATCCCCATCAAGCTACCACTGACTTTCTTCTCAGAATTAGAAAAAAACTAATTTAAATTTCATATGGAACCAAAAAAGAGCCCACATAGCCAAGACAATCCTAAGCAAAAAGAACAAAGCTGGAGGCATCATGCCACCTGACTTCAAACTATACTACAAGGCAACAGTAACCAAAACAGCATGGTACTGCTACCAAAACAGATATATAGACCAATGGAACAGAACAGAGGCCTCAGAAATAATGCCACACATCTACAAACATCTGATCTTTAACAAACCTGACAAAAACAAGAAATGGGGAAAGGATTCCCTATTGAATAAATGGTGTTGGGAAAACTGGCTAGCCATATGCAGAAAACTGAAACTGGACCCCTTCCTTACAACTTATACAAAAATTAACTCAAGATGCATTAAAGACTTAAACGTAAGACCTAAAATCATAAAAACCCTAGAAGACAACCTACTCAATACCATTCAGGACATAGGCATGGGCAAAGACTTCAAGACTAAAAGAAAACCTAGGCAATATCATTCAGGACATAGGCATGGGCAAAGACTTCATGACTAAAACACCAAAAGCAATGGCAACAAAAGTCAAAATTGACAAATGGGATCTAATTAAACTAAAGAGCTTCTGCACAGCAAAAGAAACTATCATCAGAGTAAACAGGCAACCTAGAGAATGGGAGAAAATGTTTGCAATCTATCCATCTGACAAAGGGCTAATATCCAGAATCTACAAGGAACTTAAACAAATTTACAAGAAAAAAACAAACAACCCCATCAAAAAGTGGGTAAAGGATATGAACAGACACTTCTCAAAAGAAGACATTTATGCAACCAACAAACATATGAAAAAAAGCTCATCATCACTGGTAATTAGAGAAATGCAAATCAAAACCATGATGAGATACCATCTCATGTCAGTTAGAATGGTGATCATTAAAAAGTCAGGAAACAATAGATGCTGGAGAAATAGGAATGCTTTACACCGTTGGTGGGAGTCTACATTAGTTCAACCATTGTGGAAGACAATGTGGTGATTCCTCAAGGATCTAGATCCAGAAATAGCATTTGACCCAGCAATCCCATTACTGGGTATATCCCCAAAGGATTATAAATCATTCTACTATAAAGACACATGCACACATATGTTTATTGCAGCACTGTTCACAACAGCAAAGACTTGGAACCAACCCAAATGCCCATCAGTGATAGACTGGATAAAGAAAATGTAGCACATATACACCATGGAATACTATGCAGCCATAAAAAAGGATGAGTTCATATCCTTTGCAGGGACAAGGATGAAGCTGGAAACCATCTTTCTCAGCAAACTAACACAAGAACAGAAAACCAAACACTGCATGTTCTCACTCAAAAGTGGGAATTGAACAATGAGAACATGTGGACACAGTGAGGGGAACATCACACACCAGGGCCTGCAGGGGGGTAGGGGGCTAGGGGAGGGATAGCATTAAGAGAAATACCTAAGGTAGGTGATGGGTTAATGGGTGCAGCAAACAACCATGGCACGTGTATACCTATGAAACAAACCTGCACATTCTGCACATGTATCCCAGAACTTAAAGTATAATAATAAGAAGAAGAATAAACATTCCTTGAATAGATAGATCTGAGTACATTCTTTTTCTTTTTTAAAATAGTACTACTAGTATACCAGACGGAGGGAAAGGTATTAAAAATGTAGATTCAAGGTTTATAATTAAATATTCAAGTACCCCTGACTCAGCATTTCCAAGTTGTGGTCCTGATGCCCCCATAATCTACTGCCTGTATCTGTATTGTGAAGTTTCCTTCACAAACTTCTTCATGAGTTACATATATATATGTATGTATATATATTTATATACATATATATATATTTGCTGCCTCTACTTTAAGACCTAGGACTGAACTCATTCTTCCCACAACATGACCTCAAAATGTGAGAGGTCACCCATGACAAAAACTGATGAATTTTTCTAATAAATTTGGGAAGGCCAAATCCATGGAGCTAAAGATGAACCTTCAAACTAGCCTCACTCTACTCCAACCTCCAAATATCTAACCCACCAGGGGATACTGAATACTTACCAAATCTGATGCCGTAGAAAGGGTCAAGCCTTTGATAAATCACAACCAGACATCTGTAGTTTTTTTAGGAAACTGCAGACTCTACCCAGAGATGGAGGCAGCTGTGTTCCACTTCCTCTTTTTTTTTTTTTTAATTGAGATGGAGTCTTGCTCTGTTGCCCAGGCTGGAGTGCAGTGGCTCAATCTCCACCTTCCAGATTCAAGTGATTCTCCTGCCTCAGTCTCCCAAGTAGCTGGTATTACAACCATGTGCCACCATGCCTAGCTAATCCAGCTTCCGGATTCAAGTGATTCTTCTGCCTCAGTCTCCCAAGTAGCTGGGATTGTTAGGCTTTGTTCCATCACAACTATTTAATTAGCTCATGAGTCTGAAGGTTACCACTTTGGGATAGTATCTGCTGATCTTAGCTGGGCTTGCTCAGTCAGCTGATGAGTCAGCTGGGCCAGTAGGACATCTCTTCACATAGTCTCACTTCCTCCTGGAGGTTAGCTTAGGATTTTTATGGCAGTTGCAGGACTCCAAGAGAACTAAGAAAGAAAACTCCAATGTGCAAGTGCTTTTTAAGTCTCCACTTTTGTCACATTTGCAACTGTCCCATTGGCCAAAGCCCGTGATTTGGCAAAGCCAAGAATGAGTGTGGGAGGAGACTACCCCAAGAATGCAGATGCAAGGAAGCACAAAAAGATGGGACAGTTACTACAACTTACACACCACTTATTCACCTAAACTACAGCTATTTAAATCTAAAGACTTGATCTTTGCCTCATTGCTCCTGTTAGACTCTCATTGTTTGATTCTTAGAATCCTTGTGAAGTTTAAAATATTCTGCAGTTCTTATATTACTGTGACATCTATAATACCTTGGTGTGAATGCTTCAAAATCCATTTTTACAGAATAGAGTTGGCTCTTTGCCTTGACTTTTGTGTTTCTAAATTTCCTTTGGACATTTTCACTGAGATGTTCTACTGGGGCTTCAATTTCGACATGAACTAAAATTGAATGTATTATCTTCCTCTCTGTTTCAACCATTCCTTCCTTGTCTGCTTCAATAAAAATTACCATATGACACATGTATTTATCTTAATGTTTCACCTGGTCCCAAGTTACATTTTTTGTTGTTTTGAGACAGGGTCTTGCCCTTTCACCTAGGCTGTAGTGCAGTGGTGAGATGCCAGCTCACGGTAACCTTGACCTCCCAGCTAAAGCAATCCTCCCACCTCAGCCTCCTGAGTAGCTGGGATTACAGGCAAGTGCCACCAGGCCCAGGTAATTTTTGTATTTTTTTTTAGAGATGGAGTCTCGCCATGTTGCCCAGGCTGGTCTCAAACTCCTGGGCTCAAGTGATCTTCCCACCTCAACCTCCAAAAGTACTGGGATCACAGGCATGAGCCACCATGCTGAGCCCCCAAATTACATATTTTTTGTGTCAGTCTCTTTCTCCTCTCCTCTTCTACATCTAATTTGTAGTTTTACTTCTACCATTTACCAAATAAGAATATATGAATTTACTTAAATTTTACCATTAATTTCCTTACCCTAAAAATAGTGATAAGAAAATTTGCCTTGCAGAGCTATTAGAAGGATTAAATTAGTTTTGTATGCTTAGCGCATTGAATGTATTCAAAAATGTTATTTTCCTTCCCCTTAAGTCTTCTTGATCCTTATTCTTGGGATTGTTCACATCCCTGCACTTCTTTTTTTTTTTTAACAGTACCACAAATTAAAATTAAGCCCTTATAACCTCAAGCCATGGACCTTTGAAATATAATTTCACTATACTTCTCTATAACTAGCTTATCTCTTCTCTAATCCATTCCTACCTCCTCGTAGTCTTTTCAAAGCCCTGCCTTCTATCTATTTCTATTTCCCATTAGATAAAACCCACTCTTTAAACTATCATACATGCTCTTTTCCAAAACTTGTTCCTGGCTATTTTTCCAGATTTGTTTCCCATTGCTCTTCTCCATGAATGCTTCAGCTAAACTCTACAACTTGCCATTCCCCGAATACACTTTTACTTTCCCTCCTGTATATTATTCAAGGAATTGTACTGAATTGTTCATCTCTCTAGGCTTTTAGAAATTCAGCTTGGTAAGCATTGAGTAAAACTAAATAAGACAGTCTTTCTGCTCCAGGAAATTTACAATCTCAGGAGAAAATAGATAGTCTCACTTTCTGAGATTATAAATTCTCTGGGGCACAAAGAGTCTTGCATAGTTTTCCAGGCAATCAAAGACTTTACAGCCTCATAAGACAAAAGTTTTATAGCTAGCTGTTATATGATAAAAGTACAGGCTCTGAGAGCAAGCTGGAGGCAGATAAATCTCACTTCCATCATTTACTAGTTGTGTGGACGTAAGCAGTTTACTTAAACTCTTTCAGCTTCAGTCTCCTCATCTGCAAATGGGGGTAATAAAAGCATCTGTCTCATAGGATAATAATATAAGACAATGCAAGTTAAGTTATTTGTATGGTAAGTGACATAATGGTATGCTCTCAGTAAATGTCAGTTATCCCTGACCATTGCTCTACTAACAATAAATACAAAATCATGGGAAAACAAAATAAATTAAGAATTCTTTCTATGAAGGTTAGAAAACTTTTAGGAAAAGGGTCATATGAGCTGAACCCTGAAAGGAAGGTATGATTTCCCCCAAATCAGGACTGATCTCTTCTATCTCTGCACTCATTCTTCCAACTATTTGTGTCTTCATTCATGAGTTGAACATTGTTTTTTACATGCACACTACATGGCAGACAGTTTTTGACACGCTTATGGCATTTATCAGCATCTGTCTATGCTAACTGAGGAAATGAAAATTAACTCTTGATATCCTGGACCTGGACTGGCACTTAACGGCTAGACCTTGCTGTCTTCTGTTGAACATAAATAATCTCACAAAACATCAACTTCAGACGAGGCTACACTGTGACTATGATGGATCAAGACAAAAACAAGATCAGATCATTCCATAATCAAGTCTCAACACCCACAAAAACATGGATATTGTCCATCCTAAAAAATGACCAAACATCTACTTATCTTGGCTAACCTGAGTGACTGATGTTTCTTAACCAATTCTAGCTTTATTCCCAAACTAATCTTCCATCTTTCTCAATAAGATTTATTAAATACCTAATTACACAGTTATTCCCATTTCTTAACAATATCCAAAACAGAGCAACGCCTGCTTCCTTAAAATCTCCCCAAAGTCACATCCCTAGATCTAATAGTGGGCCCTGTCTAACACCCTCTTACTGAAGCGCTCTACTCTTCACCATGTGTGTTCTCCTTCCCTGCAATGAATAATAAAACACTACAGATGTGTTCCTGATGTGCTTTTGACAAAGGGCATTGTCACAACATTCTTGGTTTACTAATCTTACCTCCTGAAACTGTAAAATTCTCTGGAGAAGAGTATTGTCTTATTAATTTTCATATCTCCCACTACACAAAAACAGTGTCTTTAATAGAGCAAATACATACAAAAAGTTTGTTGAATGGATAACTGAATCTCATAGAAACTATTTTCTTCAATGACCAGAAATGGTGAAAAGACATTGGAGAAAGTGTCCTGAATCCTGCTTCTCAAAAGTGCAACTAGGAGTATCCAGAAATTATTCTCTAGCAGTGACTTTGCAGGCAGTACAATGCTGGAAGTTGCAGGGTGGTGTCTTCGTATGTCAGAATTAATTATTATTCAGAAATGGTAAAAAGATATATGTGAGATCAAAATAGCATTACAATTACCTTATAGCTATCAACAATACTGGCCTTTCAGAGGAACCTTAAAGTGGGATCTTCTGAATCTTCCAAATCATGCTGCCAATGTGGTATACAACATTTGTGTTAACAGGAATATTTACTAAGAAATAGTATTCTAAATGTCTTTCAAGTAAGATACCTAGTATAAAGTTCAAACGTTCCTATTAATTTACTGAATTGCATTTTTATTTTACCCATAAAAAGGCACGGAAATCATGAAAAAAGTATTTGATTGAGAATTTAGTCTGAATTTAAAGGCACTATAAAATGCACCATCTGAATATTAAAAATACGTTAATAAAAACATTAAAGAATCTGACATTCAATCGACTCAATTGGTAAATAGAAAAATATTCAACTAAAAAACTTTGTAGAAAAAAATTGCATCATGACAGAAAGATATTACACAAGGGACAGTCTATGACAGTATCTGAATTTATCCAAATAAGCAATAAAGTAAGTGATCCAGAGTATATGATCTACATTTGCATCTATGCATTTTAGCAAATTTCTTCTGTTACATTAATCTTCAAGGGAACAGCCATATAAACTAATACTAAAGTTGCAGGCTTTAGGAAAATATCTGTAAGGAACCCTGCAATATCGTTAAAACTGCTATTAATCTATATAACTACCTTCCCTAGGGAAACTGGCTCAATCCTTTCAATGCTAAGAAGAGCTAAGAACCCATATTTAAAATGGGAGTCAGAGAATGCTGCAGAGAAATTAGTAGTTAATTAGTGAGAAAACTAGTAAAAAGAAGATAAAATTATTTTTTGGTAATGTTAGAATGTACAGTAAAAATCTATTAATATTCAGTGAAGAGTCAGACTTTCAGCTTATGTAAGCTGAAAAATATTTCATACACATAATAATTAGAAATTATGTATATTGAGCATAAAAACTGAAATTACAAGTCTGGCCCCACAACATTAATTTTGTAAATTGGATCTAGATTTGCTCTCCATTTAAAAGCTCTGGCCAGTAAATCCTCTACTTTAAATATAACCATAGTATGGTTTAATATGTGTATATGTGATTTTTAGACGCCATTTCAATGAGATTTACAGTCTGTTCCTGACTTGATATTCAGTCTACATTACAAAGAATATTTGAATTGGTCTACGACTCTTAAGTATTTTCTCCCCAGAGGTGGATTAGAGCAACTAATTTCTGAGAACCTGGGAATTATGCTTTTATGACTGTGAGTCTAACCAAATATTAAGGCATGAGCAATTTCATTGAGAAATGAATAAAAAATAGCTTATGCCTTTAATGTAGAATTTTCTGGTAGGTAAAAATGCAATTCAGAGAGGAACAATTAAAGAAGAGGTGTCTCTGTGGGCTGCTCTTTAAAAGACCTGAGATTTGTAGATAAGCAATCATTCATTTAGTTATTCATCTACCCAATCAGTGCTTATTATTCACAGGTATCATACTAAGCTCTGGGAGGAGCAATGGCTCACCTTTCCACTACCCACATCCATAGTTTACAGCACTGCAGAAAATAAATTAGCAGTAAAGACAAAGGGTGCTAACAACTCTAGGCAGGAACACCTCATGTAGTCTAGTATGTCAGGAAAGGCTTGGGGAAGGAGGAACAAATAGGGTGAGACTTGAAGGATAAGTTAAGCTGGTCAGGAAAAAAAGAGGAAGGAGAGGGTTATAGGCAGAGAGAATAGCCCATCTGAAGACCAAGGCTGCAGGTGAGGGAGAGTGCAGACGGTCGAAGACTGAAAGACACTCAATGTCCAGGACACCTGTTACAGGGAAAGAATATTGTGAGCTCAGACTAGAGTGGGGGTGTAAAGTATGATCCATTTAGACAGAAGTAAAAGAGGAGCTGCCAACTAAATGAAACATAATATTTATTAAACCTTACTATGTGTCAGGTTCTCTGCAGTGCACCCTTTCTGCACAGTCTCATTTATGTCACATAATGATCCTATAAGATAGGTGTCACTGTGATTCCTATTTAACAGATGAGAAACTGAGGCAGAGGGGTCAAGTAATTTGCTCAGGCTCACACAGCTAAGACATTACAGAGTCAAATTCAAATCTAGATCATCTGAGCCTATATTTTATGTTCTTAGGCATACCATAGGCTAGGTCAAAAAGGGTAACCAGCATTATATTTCAGTAAAACTCCATACACTAATGTTTGGATCTAGTTGAAACATTCACCAGAAGAACCCAAAGGCTGCTCTTATTTATATTGCCCATATAGGTTCTCACTATTGTATTGGTAGTTAGAAAATCTGAAGGGAATTTTCTGAGCTGCAACAAGAATTAATTGAGGCAAAGTTTTGTTGGTTTTTCCTCTTTTGGTAACCTCAAGAACAATGAAAGTGCACAGCATATAGTAGCTGCTAAAAGAATTTAGTCCTGCTTTACTGTATAGAAGGTTGTGTCTACTTTGACAATCTCAGTTTGGTGAGATTCTTGACTTCTATTCATCAAAAAGCAACACTAGGATGTATCTGCAGAGACAAACCATGGAATTAAATTAATTCATTTGAACAAAAGTAAACCAATTTGAATCCAATAGAACATTTTCTTTTCAAAGAATAAATTTGATCAAGTTAAAATTTGGGTTCTAATCTTTAAGACTGGAGCTCAGTAGTTAATGATTTATTTCACTCACATAAGATTTTTCCCATTGTTAGTAATTTGTAGAAAACCTGAAAAGCAAAAATAATCAATACTTTTACTAAAGAGTGATTCTGAATGACATATTGCAATTGGAAATTTTAAAGTATTATCAATGTTGCTACTTTTCCTAGAAAAGACTCCTAACTCATTTTAATGATGCCATACTATGTCACTTCACTGGTTCTCAAAGGTACTTTGAGATGCATGTAATCAAGCTTTACTGCTATTAATTACTTGACACAGGTATTAATTAAACTTCAACTGGGATTTTAACATAGTTGAATTGGTTGCTCTTTTCTTCACATCTATGATTTTGCTATTATTTTTATGAAATATATTCTAATTTAGTAGTTAATTATTTTTCTTAAAAATAGTGGCAATTTATGTAAAAATTTATTATATAACAAATTGAGTTAGTTATATTAACATAAACAGTACAATTATATTAACATGAAGTCAAATAATATTATACCTGAGATGAAATTTTTTGATAAATTATTTTAAAAACGTATTTGTCATATTCTTATTTTACATCATCATAAATAACATATGGTGAAAAATAAAGGATGGGGACAGTAACGCTAATTAATCTCATGGCATTTAAATATGCTTTTGGTTGACTTAAATGATTTGTGCTAAAATTTTTATCTTGATTAATCCAAAACACTTGATAAACAACCATATGTATATTTATAGTGTATTTTTTATAAATATAGTATTATTTATATAGTATATTATATATTATTTATACTATATTATATATAATATAATATATATAATATATAATAGTATATTATACTATTATAATATTATACTATATATTATATATTATATAGTATAATATAGTATAATACTATATTTTATAAATATAGTGTTATTTATATATATAAATACCTTTTTATTTCATTTCTAAAATTATAGTAAGTATACTTTGTCTTAGAGGAGAGAACCCAGAAATGCCAGGCATTATTTTCAGGCATTTATTACTAGGTATTATTTTCATTTTGACACATGGGCATTTAGTCTTCCCTGACAACTTACACAAAGGGAACAAAATAAATGATCTAGATAAAGAACAATTGTGGAACTGATCGCACACTGGTGACTTTTAATAATTCAAACTTCTCAAAGTAGATAACATCTATTATGTCAGAGTGGATTATGAATATTCTGATGACTTTTAAAATGTATTAAGGGTAATGTTAATTTTTAAACCACATTGTTTCTATACCTATAATTAAGATGCAAAAGCTGGTCTCATATCCCAGCTAAGAAAAAAATCTGCTGACATTTAAGTTGAAAATGATTAGGCACACTATGTACAATTTGTATTCAATAATTATTAAATTCCACAGCATTCAAATGACAAAATAGCAAAGCCTCACTCTATTTTAAAACGGTGATATAGGTGATATAAGAATCTTTCCAAGAATATACCACTTTGTTTCACCATGCTGCTTTCAAGCTCGACAATGGCAATCATCATAGGTTAGATAAAATCTTCAAAGAACTCTAGTCTGACACACTAAAGAGCAGCACAAGCAGGAAAATATGGCCTAAATACATGGAGAAAAATCCCATTACTTTTATACTTCAGAACATTCTAACATTTTTATACCATAATCATAAACTACCAACAAAACTACAAGTTACAAATATTTATTCTTGCTTTCTTTTTCAAGGAAGCCACTGAAATGATGAATAGATGAGGAATTGGAAATTATCTACCTTTCACAGTAATAAGAGGAGAAGAAAAACTTTCTACAAAATCCAGTACTTTGCTTCTTCCCCTGCTAAAGTGCTAACAAGAGATACAAAGACACCATCGTAGGTCAGTATGGGTGGCTCCTCTAGCCCTCCTACCCACAAAGGTATGCCATGCTCAAATTTAGGAGACAGAAATAAACTTTATGGCCTTTATTGTTTCACACATAAGTGTGGAAATATTTCTTAACATAAAGCCAAATTATATATATATAACAAAGCAAATACTAATTCCTCTGCCTTTGCTGAGTCATTCACTTAGCACCATACCAGGCCTATAGAATGGACTTAAGACAAAATTACTGATTCACAAGTAAGAAGATACACAAGAATATGACCTAGAAAAATGTGGAGCTTAATAAACAATAAACTTTAGAGATGATTGTAGTGATCTAATTTTCTTAATAGAATCTTCATTTATGTCTTTGAGAAGTGTATGGAGTCAGAAGTTCAGCAGCACATTTCATTGTTGTTATCATAACTTAAACTTAACATGCAAAGGGGAGTCAAATCAGCTATCTCAACTGCTGCCCTTGGCTTGCGTGGTCAAGTTGGCGAAGCAGAAATCATCAGTGGCTGGCTTATGTGATTATGTCCACCCCATTCCCCTCCTACCAATCCCCTTTCTGGGAGATTAAACTGATCTCATCTCTGACCCTAGTTCAATTTAACACAAAAGTATGTTAGACAACACCTAAGGTACACTTTAACAATTAAGCAAAAAATTGTTCATTTGGTTTTTTTTTTTTTTTTTGGTTGGTGGGGATTCGAGATAGGGTCTGGCTCTGTCACCCAGCCTGGAGTGCAGTGGCACAACCATAGCTTGCTGCAGCCTCAACCTCCCAGGTTTAAGCAGTCTTCCTGCCCCAGCCTCACTCTCTCGAGTAGCTGGGACTACAGGTTTGTGCCACCATGCCTAGCAAATTTTTTAATTTTTTTGTAGAGACTGGGTCTCACTATGTTGCTCAGCCTGTTCTTGAACTCCTGGACACAGGTGATCCTCCCTAAGCAAAAAAACTTTTTAAACTCTTTGCAGATAAATGATGCTACGTCTAATATTATTGCTGATCATATTGCTTTTTATCAATATTTTGCAATACTTGAATTTTTTACAATTAAAGCAATGAAATTTAAAGCCATTACTTTTGGTTCTAATATTTATATGTTATTTCCACATCATTATTTTTATGTGAACTTTATATCTTTAAAAACACCATAAATAAAATATTAAAGAAAGTTCTGATTAATAAGACCCTAAGGGCAAGGTTTTCGAGGGATTTCACATTGAAGATGTTGAAGAAAAAGACTCATCTCTAAAATGAGCTAGGAATAAATTCAAGTCGAAGATAAGATAAATCTAATGATTCTTCATAAAGACAAAATAAATCTTCAAGAATTGGTTTATTATATCACTTAGTGGAAGATATTCAGTAAAGGTGAAAAGCATTTCTAAGTGGGATAAGAATTAGTAAATTGGGCTTTTTAAACAATAGTTTGTTTTTCAACATCTCTACTTCCAAGTATAAAAGAAAACAAACAAACTGCAAACTAAAGCCTTAAACTAATTTTCCCTGGCACCAATAACTCCAGAAGTATTTGCAGTTTCTTCTTACAGATGCACATCAAAAGTAAAGACATAAAAACACAAATACTAACATACGTTGCATTAAACTGGTCTAATTAGGAATTAGATGACAGCTTTCATTGGTTTCCCATTGCCTACTCATCCCATACATGTGGATATAAACAATAATCTTTCCTTAAGTCAACTTACTGAGCTCATGATTTTAAAAAATTACGTTAATTTTCACAGCATTCAGGAGAAAAAAATAGACTTTTGAAAAAACTCACTGAAGAAAAAATATTAAAATAAGTTGTTTTTATATAATTCTTCAAGTGTTAAAGTACTGTGTGAGCCACTTGGACACACTCACGCAGAAGGCTGTTCAGTAAAAATCGCTTCTATTTGAGATGGAGGGGAATTCTAGAAGCTACAGCTACTTGCACTAAGAGTATTGAAGCAATTTTGCCTTACGGTGACAAGAAACTTCAGAAGTAAGCCAGGTTCACAGGTGAAGACCATGGTGTGCACTTAAAAGAAAACAAGTAGCCTGTTCCAGCCAGGAGGCAGAGTGGCAGCATTTTCTGGGCATCATGGTTTTTATTCCAGTGGATGTGAAGATCCCAAGGAAAGCTAACTACAGAGATCTAGAATGGTACTGACAGGTAGGAATGCTGCTGAGAACCAATTCCAAGAAGAAAGGTCAAGGTAATGTGCAGAGGGAAAAAATATTATTGGCTACAAATGACTCTGAGAATCAAAAATAGCCATAATAATTTAGTTGCCTTATTTTGTGTTTGTAGGCAAAGAAAATCTAAATTAATAAGAACACTGCTCTCAAGCCTTTTACCCAGAATATGATACCTTCGGATTGCTTGACTTGTTTCAGTTAATTTGCTTTCTTCAGCATTTCTAATACAGTCAAGCATGAATGTAACTGAACCACTACATACGAACATAAGAGCTCCTGTTCCCAGATAGTCAGGAAATCCATTGGTCATGGCAACCCCAGAGAGTTGCAGATGAGGAAATTGAGGTCCTAAGTAGTTATATGAGTTGAATATATTTAAAACTAACAGATTATGAATTCAAGGCATGAAACATTAATATATTATTATTATAATATACATGTTATGCCAAATATAAAATATGCATAATGCCATACAGGACATAGAAATCATAAAGTAGTGAAAACAGATAAATGCACATAAGTGTATCCAATATATAAAGATATTTCCTGTAGATTATCACAGAAAGCAAATGTTCACACAGGTGATTTTCCCACTTGATAACTGATCAATTCCATTCATTAAAAGTATATTTCAATTCATTTCTATTTAAGCATAAATTAAGACCCTTCTAAACATTTATAGGTTCTTGGTGTTGAAAAGAATCTCAAAACTCAAAACTCGTCAAACCTCCCTTCATATGTGATGTATGAGTTTGGAAAGCAGAAACAATGCTCTATGGCTATTTATTATTATCTTATTCCCTGGACCAGTAAGGGACGCTCACATAAAAATAAGAAACACTTACATGAGAACATAAGAGAATCTCCAATGGTTTCCCTATTAAGAAACCATTCTATAAAATGAGTCCATTTTGGCCGGGCGCGGTGGCTCACGCCTGTAATCCCAGCACTTTGGGAGGCCGAGGCGGGCGGATCACGAGGTCAGGAGATCGAGACCATCCCGGCTAACACGGTGAAACCCCGTCTCTACTAAAAATACAAAAAAATTAGCCGGGCGTGGTGGCAGGCGCCTGTAGTCCCAGCTACTTGGAAGGCTGAGGCAGGAGAATGGCGTGAACCCGGGAGGCGGAGCTTGCAGTGAGCCGAGATCGCGCCACTGCACTCCAGCCTGGGGGACAGAGCGAGACTCCGTCTCAAAAAAAAAAAAAAAAAAAAATGAGTACATTTTTTGAAAGACATTCCCAGTCTAAGGTTTCACTGGATTCAGGAAGCAATGAGATCAGGGCCAATGACAGTCTCCATTTGCTTCCCAACCCACCAGACCCCAAGTATCCATTGTCAAGACTATGTTTTATCCACTTTGTATTCAGTCACTACTAGAATAATCTCCTTTACCCTCCCCAACTCACCAGGCCCACTACTGTCTATGCCTGGCACTTGGAGGGGTGGTAGGTGGATGGATGGATGGATGGATGGATGGGTGAATAAGTACATAAAAACTTTCCTCTTTTGTTGCAATATAATTCATATTTCATTCAAATACCAGGATAAAGTCTTTATCTCCTCTTCAAGGAGATGTTGTCCTTTTTCCTATCAAAATTTACCAAATGTCTGTAGCTGGCCAGTTTCTAATCATAATAAAAACCAAAAGATATCATAATTTGGGTAGCATATCTCAGGATCTGGGAATTAAAAAAAAATCTATATCATGATGTCACTGAGAACATTAGTATCTTCTAAGTGTTGTCTTCTACATTAGCCCTGTATATTCCCATCAGAATGAAAGGGATTAGGATTAGAGCTAGGGCTAGAGTTGATATATTACCCTGGAATGTTTCAAAAGTTTTTTTTAAAAAAAAGAATCTGAAGTTTAGATTTGAGAATATCATTAAGGGAAGTCTTATAATTTACCTTCAAACAAAATGCAATTTTATTGCTAAAGTGAGGCATGAGTTATTTTACAGCCAAAGAGAAGGTACAGTATTAAACACATCATTTGTTTATTTTGAAAATACACCCTGGACCTGTGGATGTACATACTGTAATTGAAGTCATCTCAACAACAATTACTGGCCAGTTTCACACTCACTTAGCGGGGGAGGTGTGTTTCAATTAGTGGTTTCTTGCCAGTACTTCCTCATACTTTTTAGGCAACTCTTTGGACATTAGGGGGTTGTAGAGAAGTAGAAAGGAAAACTCATTACCCAGCCCTCAGAGAGTTCAGAAATTAAGTATAAGTTTGTACTACTCACGGCTCTGCCTGTAGGCTTCTGTCCTCAGCCACGTAGTTAGAAGGAATATAGCCTTGTAGTTGCTGACTGGAGCCATCTCGTCTTTTCTCCAAGTGTCTGGCAAACCACCAGCCCTCATGCAAAGTGTCCAGAACTTGAAGTTTGTCACCTGCTCGGAAGCTCAAGTCCTCAGCAGTCCGAGCCTGGTAATCAAACAAAGCCACAAAGTAGTGGCCATGCCTCTGTGACTGGGGAGAGCAAAGGGCCCCTGGATTTTCAATCACGGTTGACTTGTCTGCCTCCGTGGACAAACAGGGGAGATAGGGTTCTAGGTACTCCCAGAGCCTCTGACAGATGTTGCTCATTGTGCCTTGGTGGGGAGAAGAGGAGCAGGGCTTCTCCCTCTCCCCTTAGTCTCTGCGATCCACCTTATCTTCCTTCACCAGGCAACTTTGAAGTCAGCACCAACTCACCATACTTCGGAGAGTATGCAAAGTCCCGTTTCAGATCAGTCCAGCAGCTGGGTTGCAGCAAGTCCTACCTGGAGAGACTTACCGGCTTGCTTTCTGTGGCTGGAGGTGCTACCCCGAGGCAAAACTGAGCAGGAGCTGGGCAGCTGCTCACTAGGAAGGTGTCTTTTCTTCTTATCTGCTTAAGAATCCCACAACAAAAATAAAATAAAATTAAAAGGGCTTTATTTAGACAAATATCTGAGAACAGAATGGTGCCATCTTGCCTTTTGTCCCAATAAAAAGTTAGCAAGAGGAAGCTACTAACCCCTGGTAAAACCTCCACGTCTTGCTTTCGCCAGGAGCTCTCCCCCTGTTTCAAGTCTGTTCCTGTCTTTCGACCAGTCCGGATCTGGACGGCTCTCTCCTTTTTGCTAATGAATAACCAACCAGCAGAGGCTGTTGCCTTTAACATTCTGAGCTATGAACAGACTGTAATAATTTCCCCTTACTTCCTGGTTTCTTTCTGTCTGTGATCTAAATGGTATTCTGACCTCTTTACCCCTCCCATCTCCCACACCCAAGATAGACCAGATCCTTTACCAAACTGTTAAAGCAGCCGCTAAAATCTATATTCCTTTTGTTTCATCCTGGAGAAACAGGCTAGCCCAGGTAGCTTTTTGTCTTGTTATGTTCCCAGCACTGAAATTCACGGCAGAGATTTTTTTCCCTGACAAATAGGAGTAGAATTGTTTTGCCACCACTAGGGGAAATTTAAAAAGGCAAATTAAAGTATTTAGGTATTTCTTGTCAGACACAGAGCAATTGGAAAAGAACCATCAAGTCACTCCCTTTTCTCATTACCAAGAATAGATTTTAATAGCTTCAAAGAATAGTCACAGTCTGGAAAAGTAAGAAAGCAGCTGACTAAAATGCTGAGAACCCAAAATGTTGCTTTTTCCCACAGACATTTAATTTCCTATCCTTCAAGTACTATTTGGGAAACACACACACACACACACACACACACACACACACGCTACACACCAACTAGGTGACCAGTAGAGAAAAAAAGAGTAGAACAGAAAAAGAGCTCTTTGCACACTGCTGTGGGGGCTCTTTCTGCTAAACTTTGACCTCCAGATCTATGCTAGTTCTTACTAACTTGGCAAGAACTCAGGAACTAATGAGACTGACATCAGGACAGCCATCTCTAGACAGGCAGTGGTTTTTGCTTGACCTTCCCTAGTTCGGAGCAGCTGTCTCACAAATATGTGCCCTGGCAAAAACAGCCGGGCAATGAGTCTGGCAGATCAACGTACGGTCATTTATACTAGTAGACAGCATTGCAAACTTGTTTATGAAGTGTCACTGATCTCTCTATAAGACTTTTTTTTTATTTCTTTCTTAAAAACAATCTTTCTAAATGTTGTGAGACCCTTGAACCTGGCTAACCTATTCCTAGTACAAGCTCATAACTTCTGTTCTTTTTCAAATTGCAAGGCATTTAGTAATCAGAATAATCAAACTCAAGAAAAAGGAAGAAAGAAAGGAAGAAAGAAAGAAAGAAGAAAGAAAAGAAAGAAAAAGAAAGAAAAGAAAGAAAGAAGGAAAGAAAGAAAGAAAGAAAAGAAAAGAAAAGAAAAAGAAAATCAGAGAACCATGGCATCAGCCCAACCTGCTATTACTTTGTGCAAAAATCAGTCCATAGCAGTGGACAGATCAATTGGTTAAAATAAAATCTTGTGTTATGCTCCCAAGTTTCTCCAATTGTCTTTGGAGTCAGAGTACAAATAACAAGTTGACAGAAGTATAAAAGCCAAAAGCTGAGCCAAATTTTTGTTGTTGCTGTTGTTGTTTTGTTTTATAATGATATGAGACCTAAAATAGACTGTATATGTAATTTCATATTATATACAAAACAGAAAATATATAATACCAAATGACCATAAAGGATATTTTGTTCCAAATACAATAATGGATGTAAAAGCATAGGATTCTATTAATGCCCCAACAGAGGCACAGATGCTGAAGTCTTCCCTGAGACATCTACATGATCTAAAAATGAAAAAAAAAAAAAGAAAAGAAAAGAAAGAAAGATTTGGAAGCAACCTGAGAGATGTATTCAAACCCAATTTGTAAGTGGGGTTTTAGATTTTTGAATTGTCGGGGTTCTAAATTCAGATATACCTTTACTATAGTTATGACAAGGCATTCTGGAAAAAGACAAAGCAGCAGACCTGCACACCACAGTCATTGAGCAAGTGAGTGAAATTCAAAAAGCGGCCAACCATCCAAAGATGTCAGGTGAGCAATGGCCTGAGAACGCAGAGCTGAGGGGTGGAAAGAGAGAAGGTTTCTTTGTGTCCATAGTACCAGAATTCTCCAGTCACTCAATCTCCAAGTCTTGCAGTTATCTTTCGTTTGCTCCCTGGTTTCTTTGAGCTAATCAATCACTGAATTCTGCTCAGTCTTCCTTTTCATTTATTCCACAAACTTTTTTTAAAGCTCCTTCTGAGCGACAGCTGGGCACCAGACAGAAAACAGAATATTCTTTCCTAGATTATTCCAGAGGCCTCCTAACTGATCTCCCTTCCTCCAGCTTATTCCCATCTCTGGCTCATCTTGCACACCAAGATGAGTGGTGTTCATAATAGTTTATAGAGTAGTTTTTATAATAGTAACAATGACTGAGGTGATAAGTCATTCCTAGTCATTACTAGTAAGAGTAGCTATCTGTTTGGAAAGCTTTCTATGTGCCAGGCACTGTACTAAGAATGTTAGAAATAACATCCAGGAATTCTACTCCAGGGTATGTATCCAAAAGATTTGAAATCAGGAAGTCTGAGAGATATTGAACTCCTATGTTTATTGCAGCACTATTCAAAACAGTCAAGTTATGGAATCAATCTGAGTGTTCATCAATTGATGAATGGACAAGAAAATATGGTATATATACACATTAGAAACCTATTCAGCCTCAAAGAAGCAGGGAATCTTGTCATTTGTGACAACATGAATGAACCTGAAGGACTTTATGCTAATGAAATAAACCAGACATGGAGGCAAATACTGCATGTTCTGACTTATATGTGGAAGCTAAAAAAAAAAAAAATCCAACACATAGAAGCAGAGAGCAGAATGGTGGTTACCGGAAGCTGGGGAATCAGGGGAATGGGGAGATGTTGGTTGAAGGGTACAATGTTTCAGTTAGACAGGAGGAATAAATGATAAGTATTCCATTCGAGACTGTGGATATGTTAATTAGCTTGAGTCAATAATTCTACACTGTATACATGTATCACAGCATTACTTTGTACCCCATAAAATATACAATAATAATTTGTCAATATCAGGTAAAAATAAGAGAATGTTACAAATAACATATCATTTAATTCTCACCAAATAAAAAACAATGCCTACAAAGAAGGTAGTATTTTTTTTTAAAAAAAGTATTTTAGAGAAGAAACTGAGGCTGAAAGGCTAGGTAATTTGTCCAAGGTCACACGGCCACCAAGTGGCTAACCCTGAGTAACACTCTGTTCTCAATCTGACTCCAGAGCCTGAGAGTATAAATCCTCAGTTTTGCTGACTCTAAAAATATCTGATATTATTCTTCTATGTAAAATTCTGGAAGAACCTCCAACACATTTGGAATAAACCTTAGTTCTTCAGCATGATACACAAGGCCCTGCTAACTTCTCCAATCATGGTTCATCACTCCTGCACACAGGTCCTGTGACATAGTTCGCCAAATGACCAGCAGTTCCCTGCTGCACCTCTGCATCCTCCTCTACCTGCTCCCCTGATGACTTCCTTGTCATTTTTCTAGGTTGGGTTCAGGCGATGCATGAATATAGATGAAAGGCCTCTATGCACCCCTAAATTCTGGCAGAAACTTCTACTTGGTTTGTGGTTGAGCCCCTCTTTGGTTTTCCAAGGAGAACTGAATTCCCTTCTCTGAACCTTTAGTGTCTTGTACAATGTCCATTATGTAAATAATAAATATTTGATGAATTAAATAATTAACACAGAAATAAAGAAAAAGAAACAGTGTGGGAGAGACAGAGATAAAAATGGGGAGGAAATGGAAGCAGGAAGAAACAATTGGGGAGAGATAAACATTTATGTGAATATTCATGATTGAGAGTGAAAGTTCTATAGTGTGAAAAGAGCCAGGAGCACAGAGGAGGGAATACATTCTGTCTATTGCTTCTCAGTCCCTTCCTTTCCTCTCTTATTGCTCCCTGAATGTTAGATTCCTTTGCCAGCCTCCTAACCCAGTTTTCCTGCCTGGAGTCAATTTTCTTCTCATCCTTATAGCAAATTGCCACCACATTAATCTTAATCACTCTCCTACACAATAACCTTCAACAGATCCTCATTGCTTGGAAGATATGACTTGGAATTCAAGGCTAAGGAATTTGTACTTTATCCAAACTTTATCAGATGTACCCTTTCAACACCCCCTCCATTATGGCTTTATGTTAGCCAGACTGGTTTATTAGATCTCCCATATGCCTCATCTGTTCCCACATCTGATCCTGTATCCTTTGCCATTCTTTTACTCAGTATTCCTTCCACTGCTAACTTCCCCTCCCAGTAAGTCTACTTACTCCTGCCTGCATTTCAAGATCTGAATAAAAATCCCTCACCTCCTTAGACCTTCCTTAACCATTCCAGCCAAAAATCACTTCTGTCTTCCTTGAATTTTCTAGCTCCCACAATCCCCACTCCTAATATACACAATATTAAATGAATTGAACCATGCTCCTATACCTGGTATGCTGAATACTGCTACAGAAAATCCAACAGCTATTCAGTTTTATACCAGGACGAATTAATGATCCCCAAACCCTGCTAGGCCTCAGCACTAGGGCTTAGAGAGAGCTATCATAAAGGAAAATTGGACTCTGTCTCCCCAACTCACACAGTAACATATTCCCCCACACATAGAAAAGAGGATTATGGCCTAGGGAGCCATAAAAAATAAAAACAAAACTCTCCACCACATAGTCTTCCTCCAAACTCTTGCTGTGAACCCATATAATCTGCAAATGTGCACTTCTTCTGCATACCTGTTGACCTTTGCTCAATCCCCTTCTTTTGCCTGATGTGATGACCCCAACTTCTCTCCCTTTTCCTACATTAACCATCTTCCAACTTATTTGCCAGATAAATATGGGTTCTTGTCTATCTTTTAAGAATCGAATAAAATGTCTCTGTCTTTATTAATTCTTTCCCAACTACTTCATTAGACAGAATTGACCACTCTCTCATTTGTGCCCTCCCAGCATAACCTATACCCATTTTTGTCATTTATTCCATGTGTGATTCTGATCTCTTTATGTACTTAATGTAGTGTTCTTTTGTTCCTATATTGACACAATGCCTAACACTTAATGGACACTCAATAAATATATGTTGAGTGAAATCTAATGAATGTCATTCTCCTAGAACACAGTTTATTATATCTTATGTAGTCTAATATCTGCTTATATGTAATTGTGTTGTTTCCCCAAGCATATTGCCCTGTCTTTGAAGACAAGTTTATGTCTTATATTTCTCTGTATCACAAGGAAAATCTAGAATCTGTCCTATGCATAGGAAGTCTCCCTACTTTCACTCTTGTTCGATTGCAATTGTGATGTTTAATATTGAGTGTCAACTTGATTGGATTGAAGGATGCAAAGTATTGATCCTGGGTGTGTCTATGAGGGTGTTGCCAAAGGAGATCAACATTTGAATCAGTGGGCTGGGGAAGGCAGACCCACCCTTAATCTGTTCGGCATCACCTAATCGGCTGCCAGCAAATAAAAAGCAGGCAGAAAAACATGAAAAAGCGAGACTGGCCTAGCCTCCCAGCCTACATCTTTCTCCTGTGCTGGATGCTTCCTGCCTCGAACATCAGACTCCAGATTCTTCAGTTTTGAGACTCGGACTGGCTCTCCTTGTTCCTCAAGCTTGCAGGCAGCCTATTGTGGGAACTTGTGATCATGTAAGTTAATACTTAATAAACTCCCCTTTATATATATATATGTGTGTGTGTGTGTGTATGTGTGTGTGTATCCTATTAGTTCTGTCCCTCTAGAGAACCCTGACTAATACAGCAACTTATTCTCCAAATGGCAGCCAAAATAATCTTTGTATAATATCAATCAGACCTGTGTTTTTCAATAGCTTCCCATTGCACTTATGAATTCCAAATTCCTTATCTTCAGAAATAAGGCTCTGCTGGGGCTGTCTCCAGCCTGTCCCTTCCCTCCATCTGGCACCACTCTTCTGGCTCTCTATGGGCCAGCCACAGTGGCCACCTTTCTGTTCACCACGGCAACAGCCAAGCCCTTTTTTCTGACCATGGATTCTTTCTCACTATTCTTCTAATCAACAACATTCTTGTCCAGATTCTTCATTTGGATGGATCTTTCTGTTCTCAACCTAAATAATGTATCATTAAAAAGGTTACCCCTAACCACTCTGTCTAAAGTAGCAAAACTACCCAACCTAGCTTCTCTCTTAGCATGTCTCATGGGTTGAATTGTGTCCTCCAAAAGGATATGTTGAAATCCTAACCCTCAGCACTTCAGAACGTGACCTTATTTGGAAATACGGTCTTTACAGAGGTAATCAAGTTAAAATGAATTCATCAGGGTGAGCCCTAATCCAGTATGACAGGTGTCCTCATAAAAAGGGAAAATTTGGACACAGACAGGCACAGAAACAACACCAAGCAAAGATACACAGAGAGAAGCCCAGCCATGTGAACAGAGTAATGCATCTGCAGGCCAAGGAATACCAGCAAACACCAGCAGCTAAAAGAGGCTAGCTATAGAGCATGGCACTGCTGACAACTTGATTTCAGACTTCTAGCCTTCAGAACTATGGAAGAATAGAGTGCTGTTGCTTTAGGCCACTCAGTCTTTGGTACTTTATTACAGCAGCCCAAAGGAACTATTACAGCATGTCACTATTTTTATTTTTATTTTCATTTATTTATTTATTTATTTATTTTTTGCAGCACTCATCACACTCTGTATTTACGTCTTCTATTTATTTGCCTACTGAGTACAGTCTCCTCTACTAGAAAATGTTCCAGTGAGATGGCGGCTTCATCTACCCTCTTCACTGCTATGTCCCTAGAGCTTAACCTGTTATAGGCAATCAACCAATAATCATTACATAATGGTAAAAATAACAAAAAACATTTTTATTGATAAAATAATATCACTACAAATGCAGTAGATACAAAGACACTGCTATTTCAGTGGAAAATTCCTATTTCTAGAAGGAAAGTTGGGGCCACTTATACTAATTGCAAGAGTCTTGTTGTTGTTGTCATTGTTTTCTATAATAGAACAAAGTGAAATATCTCTAAAGATTATTTTATACCAAAGGCTGAATGATAATGTCTGGCTACTACTGCTGAGAGGCTGATGATGGGATTTATGTTATTCTGAGGTTTAATGGAAACTTTTTCAGGCTTCAGCTGTCTTCCATGATGCCATTAAATAAGCAGACCGCAAACAATTTCATCTTATCCCTTGGACTTGAGTCTTGGCATCAGCTTAATCTTTTATTCTCTTCCAGACAAAATTTAGATACTTCCTTTGGCTATAATACAGCTTGGTACCTTGGGATTCTCCATCTCTTTCATCTTAACCTTCACCAATTCCTCTTTTAGTCATCTCTTGTAGGACCAAACACTAGCCTGACACTAGGGGAAATGACAAGAATCCGTTAAAATGAAAGGAAATGAAATATGGAGCTCTTTAGTTATAATCAGAGGAAAACAATGATGATGATCATGATGATGATGAAAAGATGGCCTTTAATATTTGCAGCAGATGGTAACAACTTAATTCTAAATTTATTCCAGTTTTCTTGGCCAAAGAGTATAATCCTCAGACTGGAAAAAGAAGACCAGACATATGTGAGTGAGTCTTGGAATTTAAAGAAAAGCAATGACTATTAGAAGCTAATATGGGCTTAAAAAGAAAAAAAAAAGATGCCGAATTAACCTCAATTTCCTTTTTCATATAGAATTACTATTGTAAATAAAAAATTGTTTAATTACTTCGGAACTTAGAAGACATCAAAACCAAATGCTGTATTTTACAACTGGTTCTATCTAACCAGCTGAAACCGTTGAAGAACATGAATTTTGAGGTGTGTTGGCATGCCATGTCCTTAATATCCATAACTGTAGCAGTTTTCCTGACCAATGATGACGGACTACATTAAACATCCAGCCAACATGGGATGCTGGACTCATTCTCTCCTAAACAGAAGGTGTGTTTTCAATACTTACAGAGCATAATCATGAAACCCTATTTCTATATTTGAAAATCCATGAATTTTACCCTCAATAAACTATAGCTACTCAGTGAATTTCTTTACTGATCTGAGTTCCCTTACTTGCAAGTATATCAATTCAGGTTTAAAAAAAAAAAAACTTTTTAAAGCTTTTTGTTTCATTCTTTGGCACTGTCAAAGACACAAAATAGGCACAGTATATCTAGATTTCAGTAAGATACTGAAAAAAATGATCTAGCAATATCCGCAAATGGGATTAGAGAACTTGCTTTCCAAAAAGACTGAATATTCTTGTATATGCAATCTCCCAGAAGCAGCTGATAAGCCTTTCCTAAAATATAGTTATCCATGGTTTACCCAGGTGATTTGTTCTTGCCTATTAAGCAGATAATTCATCAATCAAGATTCACATCTACCTAGCAGCAACATTATTTTAGCAATGCCACAGAGCCTCTCTAATCTGTTAGACACTATCAAATTTCCCCAAAATAACAG
Source organism: Homo sapiens (assembly GCF_000001405.40). Lineage (NCBI taxonomy): Eukaryota > Metazoa > Chordata > Mammalia > Primates > Hominidae > Homo > Homo sapiens. The sequence goes on from NC_000006.12 coordinate 116,069,204, forward strand.
AAAATAGAAGCACCTGAAGTCTCTGAGGACTTTTTTCTCAAGAACTTCTCTTTTGATATTTCACCAAGTTTGGGATACAAAATTTGTGGCTGGGCTGACTGAACATGAGGATATGTAGTATGACGGCATAGTTCTTACTGTTCATCTTCAAGTTTCTTGGCTAATTCCAAACTCTATGTGCAAAGTAAGATGAACAGAGTCATGCCTCTCTTGCAGTTAACTCCTATGAAAATATTTATATTATTCAATATTACTGTGAAAAAAATATTTTTAAAGCTTTCATTTGGCCAGGCATGGTGGCTCACACCTGCAATCCCAATACTTGAGGGGGCTGAGTTGGGAAGATCACTTGAGGCTAAGAGTTCTAACCAGTTTAAAAACTAAAAATCAATCTCACTTGGTTTTCCTAGAAGGTCTTATCCAGGTATAAAAGTGGATTAATTCTGCTTAGTTTCGTAGATCAAACAAAAAAGGATGAATATGAATGTCATTCTGCACTAGAGCAGGGGAAAACAAAAAGGATTCAGGCTGGTGAGACCTGCAGATGGTCAGGGGAAATTCCTTGGGGATTTGGGCTTCCTCCTGTCTCTCTCACCTTTGACACAAAGCATCACAAACCACCCAGGGATCCTGTAAAAACTTGGATTCTAATTCAGTAGATCTGGAGTGAAGTCTGACAGTCTGCCTTTTTAACAAGCTCCCAGGTGATGTCCATACTGCTGATCTTAGGACCACAGTTTGTGCGGCAGGAATTTAGTGACTCAATTTATAGCTTGGTTCTCTGAGTGAGAGACATCAGCAAATCCTCACTATCACCCACGTTTGAAAGCATGATCATCTAATCCCTTGGATTTTTCACTTTGAAAAAATATTTTAAAGACCAACTTATCTAATTATCTCATTTTAGAATGAAGGAAACAGCCCATTATTTAAAAAAAAAAAAAAAAACCTGCTAAAGTGACTTGCTTTAGGTCACAGCTATTAGTGAAGATAAAATCAGAAATAACCAACCCTGTACAAGAGAATCTTCTCTTTACCACACAGCTGCTTCTTCTCAAAAACTCCAGTCAAAAGCAGATTCTGGACAATTCTTGGCTAGCATAGGTGGCAGGGTTGGGGGGCTGCATGGGTAAAGAACTCAGTGAGTGGAAGAAGAAAAGTATGTGGCCAAAGAACATTTTTACATAGAATGTGACCCATACAAGATTCCAGGACTGGGATCCCAGGCTCCTGATTCTCAGTCTAGGTTTATCTTGTGCTAACAACAATTTATTTTGCGTCCTTTGAATTATGATGTCCACAAATCATATAACCTGAACCATGGGCTTTCCTTTCTTGGAATGCTGCATTTATGATGCAGCTTTTGCAAAATCTCAATAGTATTAACAAAATCCTAATGCAAGAAGAAGAAAAAAAAGTCATATATCCAATCAGTATTTTCCAATTAAAAGACATATGTAATAGGTTAATTTCTATCACCCATGTTGTAAAACTTTTAGTCATTAGCAACAACAGCAACAACAAATGCACCGTTTCTTACTTATATATACATGGTCTTTTATAGAAACAAAGAAAACAATTCTTATGCCAAAGTTTCCAGATTTAGATTTTTCCTATGTCTATGCCAAGAAATTGGATAGAGCTTCAAGAATTTCTTGTCCTGCTAGGCCTTTTTTTGTCTCTTGATACATAAGAAGTATACTTGGCATTTTTTATTTTGATATTGGACATTTTTAAGTACCTGGTACTTTAATAACTAAGTTCATAATAATGATGTTTTAGCAATGTTTTTATTGAAAATCTGTTAAACTTATAATGCATATTGTCATCTATGGCACACAAGTAATTGGTGCCTTGGGCCTTGGAAGATAAGAGTAGCTCATTTTGGAAAAGTAACTGAGTCTTAGGGGCTTATTATTTCCTGGTGAATCATCAAAGTAAACATGGTCAGTATATAATAAAAGCCTATTACAAGGCAGTTTGCTTTTCCTCAAAGTTAAACCACAAGTCATACCTTGTTGCCTATGTACATAATGATATGTATGCATTTGGTTCACTTTAGCACAGAAAGTCTGTAATATGTGCTCTACTCATCTTCACAAAGGAAGGTATTCGCTACTGGTTGACTGTACACATTTTCACACCTTCACAGTCAATAGAAATTTCAGAATATCAAAGAAAATATACGAATTGAGTTACAAATCCACTCAACAAACCTAGCCCTACATTTACAGAATGTGAAAAACCTCATCATTCTCCACTTTTGCCTCCAGCAAATGTGCCATCTTCAGCCACTGGAGGTCATCTGCTGAAATTTCATTGCCCAGTTCGTATCAGATGCAATCAGAATTTGTTTGATGACAAAAACACTTATCAGCTAGTCTGTCAGTGCTTTAAAAAAAGATTAAACCACATGTCATTAATAGACCAATTAAAGGAAGCACACTCTGGTGTGCCTGCCTATTAAAAATTATTTATTTCAGTAGTCCTTGAGGCTTACCTCCTTTGCTTCACTGATTCAACAAATATTTATTGAGCTCCTGTGTGTCAGGCACTAGGCTAGTGCTTGGGGATATAAAATTAAATAAAATAAGCCTAGTCTCTCCTATACAAGGAGAGTCTCTCACATTGCAAACAAAAATGTGACCAGATAAATATTGTCAGTGCAAAAGGAGGTACAAATCTAAAGAAGCATACATTTGTTTGGAAAGATTGTCTCCCTCTCTGACTACCATAGTAGTTTTCTTCTTTTATAATTTACTCAACACATAATTGTTGAACATCCCCTGCTAGATATCAGGCAGGGTATTTGCTGTTGAGGATGTAGTCATGAAAAGAGGTACAGCCTGTAACCTAAATAGAATTTGTGAAACTACTAGAGCATTAGATAGCATTAGACAAATAGTTGTAGAAATAATTATAACCATCCTGCTAAAGCTATGAAGCAGAAGTATCAGGTACTATAAGAGGACTATTGCACTCTATTATACACAAGAGTCTTTAGATCTATACTTGTTTCATCTTTGTATCATCCACAGAGCTTGGAAAAAAACATTGAAAAAATTGATTCTTAAATAAATATATGTTGAGTGATTGAGTCCTGAATCTGAGGATGGGGTAAAAAATGTCATTCTTTCTAAATAAAAATATTAACCAAAATGACTTGATGTGGTATTCATTATTGCTGTTCAAAGATATTTCCAGTTCTCATCTTCTAAAATATGGCAGAATTGTACTTTCCTAACCCTTTGAAGATAAGCAAAGACATATGATTTGCTTTGAGTGATGAAATGTTAGAACTGATTACATCACTTCCAGGTTAAATAAACACACACACACACACACACACACACACACACACAAGATACCTTTCAGAGGAAATGTGCAGTTACACGTGTTTCCTTCCCCTACCATGATGACAATGTTCCAGATGAGGGGTGATCTATTAGCCTGCATTGTTGGCTAAGCAAAACATGGAAGAGCTTCCACTGACCTGATAGGTACATATAACCTAATTGAAAAATAACCTTTGTTGTTTTAGGCCTCAGAGAATTAAGGGTTGTTATCCTGTAGGAGTTTAACCTAACCCATACTAACTGATAACCTAGATAAGGTGAGATATCTGTGGAAAGTATAACAGGGAAGAAAAACATCCAAAGAAATAGTAAGTAAACTGCTGGTAAGATTAGCAAAAGGCTTAGGGTGCTCCCTGGAAAATAAAATATCCCTCTGAAATGGATGCTAGAAAATGTAATGTGTTTGCCATGAGGAAGTTTGTTATGTAATTTTAAAAATTTTTTATGTGTATGTGTGACATTTAAAATATTGAAAGAGAAGACTGGCACCAGAAGAATGTATCAATATGTCTCCACTGTACCCTGATTTTAATTATGAGTTAGTATTGCAGAATTTTGGTAAGAAGAAGAAAGGGTCACACTGGTATATCAAGGTGAGGAGATGATCTGCTTGATACACTCAATTTCTTTATTCAGATTCTCTATGCTCTAAGTAACTTTATTTTCTCTGTCTTGGACTTCAAAATGTGTCTTATCAGCTCTGCCAAGAATACTTCTAATTTTATACTTAGAAATTCAAGAATGGAGCACTAATTCATGTAACAGAAATTTGATGTGCAATGACCTTGACTAGAGAAATATTTATTTTCTTAAGTGATGAGTTTCAGCAATTATTAAGTAATTAAACATCTCCCTAGTACACCAGAAAAATTTCAGTGGAGAAAATCAGTCAGTGATTTACAAATTCTAACTGGAAACAAAGAAATGTATTGAACTTAACAGCAAACAAAATGCATCAATATGTAACAACAATAATAAAATTAATTTAGCAGAAATTATTGTTGAGAACATTAAATAACAAAAGCACTAAACATATTAAAAATGAATAGGGAAGCAGCAGGTAAGTGATCGCCACTTAAAACTCTCGCAAGAAGCCTCTACAGCCCATGACTTATTTTCCTTGTACATATTATGTAGGAAACTATTTTTCAGTTCATGCAATAATACTTACACTCCATTTTTCCATTAAAATGTGCTCATAAGTATTAATCAATTCCCATAACAGCAAAGAGATAGCAAAGAATTATCCAGAGTTGACAGACTGAGAGCTTGAAATGATGTTTGACTATAATGCCAAAGACTGCTGGGGGAATTAATAAGAGCTGACACGAGAGTTCCAAATTCTGGCTCCTGGCTGCTGCCAGGGTGAAGGAAGCTGTGAGCAAGTTAACTTATCCTGTCCTCTGCCCACCACATTGACACAAAGGAGCCAAGAGCACCTGCTTCTAAATTACCCCTGCATGATCAGCAAAGCTACTGCAGACGCTCTTTCTATCTTAGCTCTTGGTGTCTCAGAGTTAGGTATTTCACTTAGAAAAGATTAAGAAAATCTTCAAATCCACAATTCAATGACCTGGGTCAAGAAGTCCTCCACAGGTCTGACTTAGAGCTTAAGAAATAATACTGTTATATCCTAAAGCTAAAACCAGGAGACTGGGGGTGACTCATCTGTCCTCATAATGACTAACACCTTTGTGTACATGCTTTTAATGTTAGGAAGCTTGAGATTTGTACATGGCATACTGGTTACCAGGGACTGAGGGTCTCCAGCTCTGCTGGACTTTCAGTTTTAAAACTGAGGAAGTCCCAGGCAAACCCAAATGGTTGGTCACCCTTCTTCTGGGTAATGAAATATGCCATGCTTCTTCATTTTATGTAACTGATGAAACTAACGTAACCAGTTGTCTTATTTCTTCGAGTAATCAGATATACATGGGGCAAAATTAAATTTGAGCAAACACTTTTAAATTATTTATTTAAAAATATATTTTAGTGAGTTATGGCTACATTTTCATAGATAGCAAAATTTCACTAACAATATTGAAACTGCCATGAGGTAGGACCATCCATATATATCAAAGCCTATACCAAAAACTTGTCTTGAGATTATTTCTTTGCATAGAAGTCAGACGGGAGGAGTCTAATTCCCTTTGTACCATCCCAGGTCCACTTCTCATCTGTGGCCCTCAGCCAACCTACATCACAGCCCTATGAAGGGATGTGAAAAACTTCCTAATGCTCTCCAGTGCCATACCAGGGCACAAGAGAATCTGAGGGGCTGCCCTTAGTTTTCTATGTCATGCCTGTCCCTCTGTTGTGCCATGCTGTGTTCCCTTTGACTTTATGCCTTGACATTATGGCCTCCTAGGGTTACAATCTGGGAAGCCAGGCAGCAATATATACTGCTCTGGGACCTATCCGATTCCCCCTCCCTTGTGAGTGCTCAGAGAGAAGGAGAAGGGCAGAGATTAGGGTCATTTCAATCATCCAAGGGGGTTTTCAGCTCTCACCAAGGCCCCTCTGATTCTCTTTTTCCCACTTGCTTGTTGAACTCTTCTCTCCTTTTGGAAGAGAAACCAGTTCTTACATGTCACCATCCACTCTTTCTCCACTGTGAATCATGAACAGATTCTATGCTAGGTCCCAGGCTTTGGCTTCTCTATAATTACTTTCTATTTATGTGACTGTGAGTAAGTATTTCTTTTTAAACTTCTTATGCCCAAGTCCTCATCTGCAAAAATAGGGATAATTATAGTATCTACACCATATGGATCATTGTGAAGATTATATGAGTTAATAGGTATAAAAGGCTTACGAAAATTTTGACACAAAGTAAGCCCCCAAAAAAGCTAATAGTATTTTTGATTTTGGTGTGATTATGCAAATGTAAGCTTAAGAGCTGGGGGAAAAAAAAAAAAAAAAAACCTGGAACTTTTTTTCCTCCCAGAAGTTGGTACAAAGACTTTTCATTTTAAGATGATTGTTTCAGTCAAAGGATCAAAGGCCCACTTTTAAACTCAGGTGAGAAATTAACGCTCTTCATTGGGGTTCTTTTGTGCCCTCCTTTCCCTAGAGACCTAGACCTCAGTCTTTGGCTCTGTTTTTAACAATAAAAAAGTGCCCCACCACCACCCACAATTAAGGAGTAAAGGGATGAAATAATACCAGGATGATATTACGGTCCTTTGCTAGCTGTGTGACCTTGGCAAGTGGCATAAATTCTGAGCCCTACACTTTACAGGTGCTCAAAGAAGGCTGTTAAGGCTGGACTGAACAAAGTGAGGAGAGTGACAAGAGGTGACAATGAAAGATAGAGGGATGAGATCTGCAGGGCCTGTAGACTGTAGAACACAAAAATTTAATGAGATGATAAATGTAAAATTTTGGCACATATCAACTCTCCTTAACATTGATTCCTTGCATACCTTGACATTGACTTCTTCCTGGAAATTCCTTCTGCAACACAGAATTTCTCATCCTCATCTTCATTATTGTTTTCTTAGTGCTCTTCTTGTTTTAAGTATTTTAAATTGAGTCACTTCGTTTATAAATGTCCATTTTCTAAGTGTCTTGCATATCTGTTTCTGTATGAGAACTCTCACCAAAAGTTTATATGATGATTGCCAGATGATAAAAGATTTTTCTGAAATTATTTAAAGGAAATTATTCATTTTTTTCTTACAGTATGTTATGATGGATGTCATATATATGCAATGTATATCAAATTTATTTATGCAAATATAAAATACTAAACAGCAAAGTTCAAAATGATTTATTTTCTTTAAATTATTTGAAAGTATCCTTTTCTATTGGACCACACTTCCTTTTGTATTTCACATATTTTAATTTCAACTATTGAGTCATTTTCTTGATTTTAAAAATGATTTCACCATTAGATTTTTGCTATCTTTTTATAACAAATGAGAAATTATTATTTTTTTCATCCATTTCAGCCCTTGTAAAAGTATAGCAATGATAAGGAAGCAAAGGGTATGAAATAGCTTATAAACACCTTGCTGAATTGTTCCTGATTGGTCAATGACAGACATGTCTAATATCATTGTTGCACTTATTTTGAGGATGAAAGCTGATAAGTGAGCTTAACTGCTCAAGGGTCACACATTTCCAACCAATTCTCATGTGTTTTTCTTTGACTAAGGTGGTGCAGTGAGCTGGCTGCACAAATGGCCATGCAGACCCAGGCGGTGTTTATACTTCTGTTGTTCCATGAGTGCCCTATGCACTGATTCTCTAAGTTAAAATAATAATAGTAACAATGCCTTTCACTTTGCTATCAGTTTGAATCTGAACTTGTCCAAGAAAGGTGTTTACCAGATCAAGGAAAGAAGGGTGATAACGTTATAGATTATTTTTATTGTACTCTATCTGCATTATCTTGAAAAATCCATCTCCCAATTCATAAACATTTTCAGTTGCCCAAAGATAATTCCGAAGTATTCATATATCAGATTGACTATCCAAAAGATGAAAGAAATGAAAATCAAAAAGTTGTAAGTTCCTACCACATTTAGATTAATGAAGTAATTCATATAGAAATAGAGGTACATTACAAACTCCATTTTACATGTTTTTACCTGTAATGTAGTTACTGTCAGTCAGCTTTATAACAAAATAGAAAAACAGAGGCTTTAGGTTATTTACTGAAGTCACACATCAAGAACCAAGCAGGAATTAGTTCCCAATGCATCCAATGCCGAAGGCTTCATTCCTTTATGATGTTGTGGAAGGAATATTTCACATAGGGCTTAGCTGTGCCTGTGAAAATGCACCCTAAGACACCAGCCCTTCCCCACCTTGATGGGCCCAGGGTTGCTTTTCCTTTCACAAAAATTACAGTTGACTTCAGCTGCTCCTCAGGTAAAGTGGACTTTAAATCCTATAGCTCCCCACCCAACTCATTCAAATTTGTAATTTGATCCTTGCAGATACATGCACGGTGCTAATTCAGTGTGATCTTTCTCTAAAATATGGCTTCTCTCCTCTGATTTATTTAAACTGTAATTACCCTTAATTTCTTTCTTGATCACATATTCATGTGTACATTACCTTACTCATTGAACAGTTTTTTGAATATTTCCTAAATTCCAGGGACTATCTAGGTACTGGAGAAAGCTTGTGCTTCTTTCTTTCAGAGAAAATGGAGACTCTCCTTTGCTTTATTATAGATCTCGATGTCATCATGCCTATGACCAGACTCCTTTATTTGTTCCAACCCTGCCAGATCAACTAATACTATACAGCAGTTATGCAACTGGATGTTGACATGTCTTACAAGACAGTCTAAACATCTGAAAATTGGCCAGGTGCAGTGGCTCATGCCTGTAATCCCAGCACTTTGGGAGGCCAAGGCAGGCAGATCACGTGAGGTCAGAAGTTCAAGACCAGCCTGGCCAACATGGTGAAACCCCATCTCTACTAAAAACACAAAAATTAGCAGGGCATGGTAGCAGGTGGCTGTAATCCCAGCTACTCTGGAGGCTGAGGCAGGAGAATTGCTTGAACCTGGGAAGCGAAGGTTGCAGTGAGCTGAGATCGCACCATTGCACTCCAGCCTGGGCAACAAGAGCAAAACTCCATTTCATAAATAAATAAATAAACATTTGAAAATGAAAATGAACAAAATGACTTCTTTACTCAGGAGTAGTGTCCCAACTTCTGGACAGCAGTTATGAACGTGGGAGGATTTGTTAGAGGTGTTTAACTTGTTGGATAATATTGTTTTTTATTACTAGGACTAAAGACAATACAATAGTCTCCTGGGAACAGTCCTGTTTTTCTTCTAATGTCCCTTGACCAATCTGGGAAAATGAGTCTAACTAGCCTAGTGTCCAGTTATTAGATATCTGAGGTCCCTAAAGAGCTTGGGATGGACACATAGACTCCTAATAGCTAATGTATGTTAAGGGGTTGGTTTGTTTGTTTTAATGGGGTCAGGGGTAGTGTTAGTTGTTTTAATTCTCAAAACACCCCATGTGAAATAAATACCTTGTTTTGTTAAATTTTCAAAATTGTGAGATAGAGCTAACATACAGAAGAGTGCATAAACTTAAACATATAGCTTAACAAGTTGTCAGATGCGTGCTCATGTATTATAACACAGATAAAGAAACAAAACATTATTGACACACTAAAAGCCCCCTGCAGGACCGTCTGGATCATAGCTCTGTCTACCTCTCCCAGTGCCAAACACTTTCCTGACTTTTACAGAATTCAACTTCCTTTCATTTTTTTATTGTTTCACAACAGAATTAACCATCCCTAAAAGCATAGTTTAATTTTGCCTACATTTTTGTTCATACAGTTACCGTTCTGTTGTCTCTGGCCCCTTTTGCTTAGCATTATGACATTAAGATTCATCTAGTTTGTAACATATCAAAAGTCCATTCCTTTTCATTGCTGTGTATTGTAACTTTGTGTGGATATTCTATAACTGTGTATTCTGTTGGGATGCACTTTTGGGTTATTTGCGGTTTGGGGCCATTTTGAACAATGCTATAAATCTACATGCACACATTTTCTGGAGCGCAATGTGCACATTTCTCTCTCTAGCGGTGAAATTGCTGAGTAGTAGATTATAGGCATCTATACTAGATATTACCAAAGAGATTATTCATAAGAGTTCCTCTTGCTCCACATCTTTGCCTGACTTGAATTATCAGACTTTTAATTTTTGCCAATCTGATGGATTATAGTAATAGTTCCCTGAAGATCTTAATCTTCATTTTTCTGGTTTCCAGTGATATTGGGCATCTTAATTTGTATTCTATTTATATGTCCTCTTCTTTGATTCAGGTCTTTTGCCTATTTCTGCATTGGGTTTTTTGTTTTTTTTTTCAGAGTTCTTTCTGGATAAGGGCTCTTTATCAGTTATGCATGTTGAAAACACACATTTCTTCTTTGAGGCTTACTTCTTCACTATCTTAGTTGTGTCTTTTAATAAAAAGAAAACTTAATTTCATTGTAGGTACATTTAAAATGTTTTTTATGGATAATATTTATTATATTGTTTAATAAATCTCTTCTTTTTTGAGACAGAATCTTGCTCTGTCACCCAAGCTGGAGTGCAGTGGCACGGTCATGGCTCACTGCAGCCTTGACCTTCTGGGCTAAAATGACCCTCCCACTGTGTGCCCTGAGCAGATGGGACTACAGACACATGCTAATTTTTTAATTTTTTGTAGAGACAGGGTCTTACTATGTTGCCCAGGCTGGTCTCAAACTCCTGAGTTCAAACAATTCTGCCTCAGCCTTCCAAACTGCTGGGATTACAGGTGTGAGCCACTCTCCTTGGCCATAACAACTCTCTTCTTATTCTAAGATTATGAAAATAGTATCTTATGTTACCTTTACCCTACCTCAGCTCAAAATGAATAATTAAAATGTAATCAATGAGAAAAAGAAGACCTATTAAATAAAGGGTATATTGACCCAATTGACTATCCGTTAAAAATAGTAATGTGAATATGTACTTTTTTTATAATAAAAGTATTTGAGTTAGATTAAAAGTATAATGCAACGATAGCATAAAACATTAGAAGAAAATATAAGAAAAATGTTTTTAAAATCTAGGTAGAGAAAAAGCCTTTTTGTTTGTTTGTTTGTTTTTGAGATGGTCACCAGGTTGGAGTACAGTGGCATGATTGCGGCTCACTGCAACCTCCGAATCCCAGGTTCAAGCAATTATCCTGCCTCAACCTCCTGAGTAGCTGGGACTACAGGCACCTGCCACCACACCTGGCTAATTTTTGTATTTTTAGTAGAGATGGGGTTTCACCATGTTAGCCAGGATGGTCTCAATCTCCTGACCTCATGATCCACCCACCTCAGACTCCCAAAGTGCTAGGATTACAGGCGTGAGCCATTGCACTGGGCCAAAAAAGCCTTTTTAAGTATGAAACCCAGAAGCCTTGAACCCAACATCTGGCAGATTTGCCTACGCAAAAATGTTAAACTTCTATAACATACCACATTTATATAATACCACAAGGAAAGCTACAACACAAAGTTGAAAATAATTGCAGTCTAGAAAATAGACAATGGATTAATATTTATACCATATGAAAACTTTCCACACGTTAGAGAAAAAAGAAATAACCCATAAGAAAATGAGCAAGAGATATGAACAGACAATTCATAGGCAAAGAAACATAGAAGGACTTCTAAGCATATAGCATATGCTCAAAGTCATTAATAATGAGAGAAATGCAAATTAACACTACAATGAGATCTATTGTTTGCCCTTGATTGACAAAAAATATAAATATTGATAATATCCATTTTGATATGGATGTGAGAAAATAGATGTTGTATTAGTCTGTTCTCATGCTGCTAATAAAGACATACCCAAGACTGGGTAATTTATAAAGGAAAGAGGTTTAATTGACTCACTGTTCAGCATGGCTGGGGAGGCCTCACAATCAAGGTGGAAGGCAAAGGAGGAGCAAAGTCATGTCCTACATGGTGGCAGACAAGACAGCATTGCAGGGAAACTGCCCTTTTATAAAACCATCAGATCTCAAGAGACTTATTCACTATCTCGAGAACAGCATAGGAAAAACCTGCCCCCATGATTCAATTACCTTCCACTGGGTGCCTCCCACAACATGCAGGGATTATGGGAGCAACAGTTCAAGATGAGATTTCAGTGGAGACACAGCCAAACCATACCAGATATCTTCAAACACTTTTTGTGGAGGTGCAAATCAGTACCATCGTTTTGGAGAGCAATTTGTCACTATTTATGATATACATTCTGTTTGATCCCATAATTCCACTTGTAAAAAATGATTCTATAGGCCAGGTGCAGTGGCTCACGCCTGTAATCCCAGCACTTTGGGAGGCCAAGGTGGGCGGATCACCTGAGGTCAGGAGTTTCAGACCAGCCTGGCCAACATGGTGAAAACCCTGTCTCTAATAAAAATACAAAAATTAGCCGGGTGTGGTTGTGGGTGCCTGTAATCCTAGCTACTCAGGAGGCTGAGGCAGGAGAATTGCTTGAGCCTGGGAGGCAGAGGTTGCTGTGACCCGAGACCATGCCACTGCACTCCAACCTAGGCAGCAGAGTGCAACTCCATATAAAAATATATATATATATATATTCCACAGACATAAAAGATAACAATAATAATAATAATGGTTACACTTACTGAGCACTTGTTATGGGTCAACTGATATTATTAAGAGAAAACAGCAAATATCTACACATTAATCAAGTGTTTTAATTGAATCCCTATTATGCATCATATGCTGTTCTAGATGCTGGAACTTCAGCATAGGCACACACCAAAAAGAAAAATTTCTGTCCTCATGGAGATTTACATTATAGTGGGAGGGGAGAGAATAATAATAAACAATAATCATAATAAATCAATAACATGCTCTATTAGAAGATGGTTAAGTACTAAGGGAGAGCACAGCAAAGATAAATGGTGTGTGGGAAATTTGAAATCTAATCACCCAAGAGGGTATAATTTAAGCAAAAATATAAAGAAGTTACACAGATATCTAGGAAAAGAGCATTCTAGGCAGAGTGATAAACCGCTGAAAGATCTCTGAAGGGGGAGCTTGTACCGCATATTTGAGGAATAGAAAGAAGGCTGGTTTGATTGTAGCAGAGTGAGAGAAAAGATATAGTAAGAGATAAGAAAGGGTAACAGAGACCTGACAGTGTACACCTTGTTGCACCATGATGACCTTAGACTCGATTCTGAGTGAGGCTAAAAGCCACTGGAAGGATATAAACAGAAGGCAAAATCTATTTTATGCTTAAAGAAGCTCTCTGCCTTGGGCTAAGGACAGAATTGGGATGGAGAGGGATGAGGGTAGAAGTAGGAGGACCAGTTAGGGGCTATTGCAATATTCCAGGCTGGAAATGGTGGTGACTTGGATCCAGGTGGTAGCAGTGAAGCAGTGTAACCACCTGGATCCAAGCAGTGAAGTTAGAAATGGCTAGATTCTGGATATATGTTTAAAGTGGAGGTGCAGCATTTGATCATGAATTAGATGTGAGATGTAAGAGCAAGAAAGGAATAAAGAATGGCTCCAAGCATTTTTGTCTGACAAACTGGAAAACATAGAGTTTCTATTAACTAGCTCAGGAAAGACTATGGATACAGCAGGTTTTGGAGGAAAAATTAGGTCACTTTTAGACAGTAGAGCTTAAGAGGTCTATTAGATCTCCAAATGGAGATGTCAAGTGGACAACTAGATCTATAAACCTAAATTCAGAAGAGAGGTCAAGGCAAGGAATAAAAATGTTGGAGTTTTCAAAGTATAGATATATCTTTTAAGTCATCAGATCAGATTTAAAGAAGAGAAAATAGGAGGCAGAAGGAAGGGGAGGGAAAGGAACAGAGATGTTTAGACATCAAGAAGACAAGGAACCATCAAGACATCAAGAAGATGAGGAAGTTCAAGGAACGCAGAAGTTTAGACATCAAGAAGATGAGGAAGAACCAGCAAAGGAGACTGAGAAGGATCAGTCAATGAAGAAGGAGTAGGGTTCCTATAAGCCCAAAGGCGTTTACCAAGGAGGGAGAGATCAACTCTGTCAAATGACGGTCATGGATAAAATAAAATAAAATAATACTGAGGATTGACCATTGGGTTTAGCAAATAAATAACGTCAGTGACTCTACAGTTTTTGTGGAATATTGAAGGGCAAAGTTCACCTTCATGTGCTTAAGAGAGAATGGGAGCGAAAACAGATTGCAAACAGTGAGACAAACAACTATTTCAATCAGTTTTCATCAAAGGGGAGCAGAGAAGCAAGTTTGCATGGGAAAAAAAAAGCTTTGTTTTGTTTTAAGATGAGAAAATTAACAGCATGTTTGTATGATGGTGAGAATGATTTAGCGGAAATAAAAAATATCATCAGAGGAGGGGGGAAGCAGTATTTTTGAGAGGATGCATAAGTCTAGTGCCTAAGTGAAGGGTTAGCTTTACCTAAAAATGCAGATAATTTATAGCAATGATTCTCAAATTCTAATATACATTGGAATCATCTAGAGGTTTTATTAAAGTACAGATTGCTGGGCCCGACCTCCAGAGTTTCTGATTCAGTATTTCTCGAGTGGGACCCAAAAATTTGTTTCTAACAAGTTCCCAGGTACTACTGCTAGGAACCACAAGATAAGAACCACTGCCTATAGTAACAATCATAGTTTACTGCAAACTCAAACTACTGGGCTGGAGTGATCCTCCCACATCAGCCTCCTGAGTATGTGGGAGCCACCATGCCCAGCTAATTTTTTTTTTTTTTTGGATAGATGAGGCCTCATTATGTTGCCCAGGCTGGTCTCAAATTCCTAGACTCAAGTGATTGTCCCACCTTGGCCTCCCAAAGCACTGGGATTACAGGCATGAGCCACAGTGCTTAGCCCTAAGGAAGCTTTTTTGACTGCTTATATATTCACAGAAAAATAAAAGTTCGGTCAATATCTGAGAGTGAAGATGAGGGTGAAGGTGGTAGCAGTTTGATGAAAGGAAAAATATGAAATAATTGCTAGGATACCAGCAAAGCAAATGCACCAAGGCAATAAAATATGATTACCCACTAGCACTAACTACTCATCGAATGGTTATATATATTTTCTTTAGGCAGGATCAGTTGCTCAAGTGTGAATGCAGACAATAAAAAGAGTCAAACTTATACATCTGTTAACCAAAAGAAGATAACCAATGTGTATAAGTATTGCTACACAAGTAACCCCAAAACTCGGTGGTTTAAAATAGTATTTATTATTACTCAGGAGTCTAAGGTCAGTTGGTAGTCATATTGATCTGGACCAGGCTTGGATGATCATGGCTGGACTCATTCATGGTCTGCAGTCGGTTCACAGTTCAGCTGGGGACTGACTGTTTTCAGATGGCTTTGCTCACATGTCTGGCAGATCAGTGATTACAGGCTGTGATGACTGGGGTGACTGTAATAATCATCTCCTAGCAGTCTAGTTCAGCCTTATTCAAATAGCTGTAGCAGAATTCCCAAAATACTGTGGAATTCCTCATGGCCTCTTGTGACTCAGACTCAGAACAGGCAAGATGTCACTTTCCACTTGATGTTATTGGCCAAAACAGGTCACAAAGCTAGATCATATTTAAGATGGAGAGAAACAGATTCTTTGCCTTGATGAGAAGTGTTGCAAAGTTGTATTGTAAGGGGCATGGATACAGGGAAAGGAATAATTATGCCTAATTTTGATTGTGGTTTTTTCTAGGAATACAAAGAGGTGAGAGAGGAATATCAAATTAGGATATATCAATGAAGTGATTATAATGATTCTCTATGAATATTCATAGCTTTGCAAAAAGAAGTGATAAGATAATGGCAGTGAAGGACACAGTGAAAAGGAAGTGGGGTTCATTAGATTTTAGATACCAGTGGCCTCTAAGGATTGTTGGGGTAGGATACTTGAGAACATGAGTGGGAAAGATAGAAGGGGGCAGTTAAGAGAGTGGTATGCCTGCTTTGAAATTATGAAGGATGTGTGAAAGCGTGGCTGAGGTTGTGTGGGTGACAAGAACATCACAGAAGTTAAAGGAATTGAGAGCCTAGAGTATTAGAATCATTAAAAATTAAGAAATAAGTAGGATGGAAAAAATACAATGAAGTAGGAGCTAAAATTTTAAAGAAATGGGAAGTGTGGGGAGTTGAGGGATGACTAGGATAGGTTGGTACATACCGCATACATATCTGTATTTTGTGTGTTGGAATAGATCTTTAAGGACATTCACTCAACTGCTATCAGCAGTTACTTCTGGGAATAATAATGATGATAAATGTGTGAAGTAGTGAAAGGGGATTTTCATTTTAAATCTATTTGCTTCTCTTTTTTGTTGTTTCATAACACATATGTATTATGCATAAATGACTTAGTCTAAAGAAAAGGTTCAAGTAAGAAAGCAAAAGTGTTGAACTTCTTGTCACAAACATTGGAATTTGAATTATATTTGTAAAATGAGTGTGCATTTACCTATTTCCATGCTGTTACGATGAGTGAGGTAATTATCTACTGTTCTTAATACAATGTCTGGCATATTAGAAGGAGCTCAAGAATGTTTTCTATTTCTCTACCCACTGACAAATCCCCCCATCACCACATGCACCACATGCACAGGCCGTGTGTGTGTGGGTGTGTGTGTGTGTGTGTGCATGCCACAGAGAGAGAGGGAGAGATGGTACAGAGAAGGTTACATATGAACACGGAGATTCTGTAGCACTTTTGTATTCTCCTTGGAGTACTCTCAGATTTTGAGATGAAAAGGAAGAAAGAAAATGGACATGTTTTTGTTTATATAACAATTACCTGGCTAATTTCCAGAAGAGAATAGTAGTAACAATAAATTACACATACATTGACACTTCCATTGTAAGCTGTAAGCAGCATTTATTCAACCATTCTCATTACCGTTTGAATGTCCAAATGACTTTTTTTTTTTTTTGAGACAGAGTCTCACACTGTCGCCCAGGCTGGAGTGCAGTGGCATGATCTCTGCTCACTGTAAGCTCCGCCTCCCGAGTTCACGCCATTCTCCTGCCTCAGCCTCCCGAGTAGCTTGGACTACAGGTACCCACCACCATGCCCGGCTAATTGTTTGTATTTCCAAATGACATTTTAAAAATACAGCTTTAAAAACAAGTCGCAGGGGACAAAAAGTACTATTTTCCAACAGTCAAAAGTCACAATGAAGAGAATTTAGTAGGTAGTATTATCTCAATATAGATAAAAATCTATTAATAGGAACTAAGGGAACACTATGAATCTCATGATAAAATCCATAAACCTAAGTTCCTAAAATAAGTATTTTTCTATGTGATGTACTATTTAAAAAGTAAGTGCTGCTGGGTAAGCTCATTCTCAGTTTCCTAAAATGTTAGCTTAGGCTGTCTTTATGCTGTAATTATTTATATAGTCTGCCCATCAGTTCTTGGTGTGGGAAATGGTCTACCAAAGGTCAAATTAAAAGTAGTAGCTCATGCACTGATACTAGTATTTGACAGAACGAAAAATTAATGGTTGTCAGAACATTTCCTGAAATTGGCTCCAAGCAACTGAAATCTTTATTCTAAATCTGTGATTAATTGATTACTAAGGACATGGGATTCAGAGTTTCAGTGAAATATGGGTGCCTATGGCCTCTGAATAAAAGCTTCTTTGCAGCCATTGATAACTTCACAACTGAAAAGATGAAAATGAATAAATGGGAATTCATTCATTCATTCAATGGATATTATGTGCCAGGTTGTGTGCTAGGCACTGAGACACAAAAGTGAACAAGACGAAGTCCCCATCTGAAATAACTTAGAGCTGGAGGAGAAGACTGACATGAAAACAGGTTATAATACCACAAAAAGATGTAAAGATAACTTCAGGTTCCTGCAGCTAGACAAAATACTTGATGTCGTTTCTAAAGGTAATGTGGGAGATATCCTGCATGGGAATGGAAGTCAGGAAATCAAGGGAGAAAAAATATTTTGAGCAGAGCGCGCAGCATGAATGAAAGAAGCATTGCCAAAATAACGTCTCCTCTTTATTTTATACACATTGTTTTATTGTAGTTATCAGGTTATGTGCCATCTCTTTCTCTAAACCGCAGGGCCCTCTAGGCAAGGTACTTACTTTGTCTATATTTTTATGGTAGCTACCATAGTGCCTGGCACGCAGTATATTCTCAATAAACATTTGCTAAACTGAACTGAGAAGTAAGAAGCCAAGAGTTTACTAGCATTTAAAAAGAAAAAAATAGAAGTTTATTCAATAAAATATTTCAACCAATGTACCCAACACATACCAGGTTATATTTATGCTACAATATTGATCAGCCCTGCCCTCTGCACCCTAGAGTAACCCCAAAGCCTAAGCTGCCCCACCTAACTGGACCAGCTTTTTCTGTGTGTTCCAGCATGCTAAATAAACTTCACCATTTTCTATGTGAGTCATGACACGAACACGTTTGGAAAGCACTAAACTATTTATGGTAATTTCCACTGAGTTGTATTACTTTGCCTTGGGGCAGAGAATACAGAGTAGCCCACAGATGGAACAGAAAGAGAAGATACAGAAGGAACAGGGGGTTAGAGACAGACTGGCCAACAGATGGAGACACCATTCCCAGCCTAATTCTTATAGATTGGAATAAATTTTGTGGACTATACTGAAGTGAATGAGCTTTTACAAGAATGGCCACTGTAGCAGATGGCACTGGTACTCTGTTTCACATCCCCTTAGCCCACTTTTGATTTCAACCACAGCTCATACATGCTCATTTTCATGTAAGTACAGACTTACAGCACACTAGCAATGACCCACCTCAACAGAGCTCTGCAAGGTCTTTCTCCTTTGTGCCCAAGGGCCTTCTCTGAGGCCATAGGAGCCCAAGTACAAGCACGGCCTGAAAGTTGGTGAGTGGATAACCCTCAATCATGACAACAGGAGCCAGCGGGTAAACACTCAGCCTCTCCTCCTTCCAGTGGACAATTCCAGGAAGTATCCTCTGTGTTTCATGGGACATGCCAGCAGAATTGAACCACCGTTGCCTACAACAGTGATCTTGATGTTGCTTTTTGGTATTGTTACTGGCTTACTCTCTCTCCATTAATTTACTGTTTATTCCTGGGATCATCTCCTAACATACCACCTGCAGCCAAGTCCTTGTCACAGGCTCTGCTTTTAGGGCAACCCATCCATGAGAAAGATGCAGTAAAGTAACTTTTGAGAAATTATAAATTTTCTGCAAATAGTAATAAAAAAAACAGACATGAGAACTCAATACCTCAGTGCACAATGGTATAGGACAAGAACTATAAAACAAGCTAACCCTGGAAGAAGAGAAAGCCTGACCTAAGAGCATTCTCTTACCCCAAAAACATTTCCTCTGATTTCTTAAGGGCAAGGAAGTTGAAAACAAATGTCATAATCTCACCAAATAACATTTATATTTTGTTGCATATGTACACACATATAATTGTACACTACAGAGTATGTGATATGTACTATGTCATTTTCAGCTAAAATATTTAGCACCTTGCTAACATCCCTGGTTCAAGGTTTCTTCTTATGTATGGTCGTAGTTCAATTTCTCAAGTCTAGCTAATATTGCAGATGTGATTCTGGTGCTCAGAGCAAGCAAAGCCAGGGACAATGTCTGACAAATTCAATAATAATTTATGAATGAATGATTGATTGGTTTTTTAATATGATTAGCTCTCCTTGGATGCTTTCAGTCAGTTAAGTCATGAAAGTAAACACTTTCTGAGTTAACTGACTGAAAGGTGCCCAAGAGGTCTGAAGACAAAGAAGTTATGCACTTAAGACTGAGCCATGGGGAGCCCCACATTGACTGGATCACAGTTTATAAGGGATTCCTGAAATATGTTCATATTTGGCATACCCTTAAATAATCAAAAATTTAACTCACCTAGATATTTGAAAAATTGGAATCAATACATGAGGCAAAAGAGGAAAGGACAGACATGAGTGTAAGAACCATTTCAGTCTTCTTACATATTATTTATACTGCTATTACCATCAAAATGCTGACCACACTCCAAAACTATCTCACAAATTTCCCATAATCCCTCAGAGACACCAATCCCTAGATAAAAAGGCTTGGCTTAAATGCTTCCATTATATCTTTGTTTATAGATTTTGCTCATGCTGCATAACATTAAGATATTGACTGAGATATCTTTGCTTCAAATTTCCCCCCACTCAGAAAGCAGCAATAGTTTTCTCAGCCCAGCCCTAAAAGGAAGATCTTCTAGAGCAGAAAAGAGAGACAATTCTTAGTTTTGTTTCCCAAAATGAACTCTAGACTCTAATAGTAAATAAATAGTCTTGAATGCTGTATTAGTTTGCTAGGGCTGCCATAACAATATGCCACAGATTGGGTGGCTTGAATAACGGACATGTATTTCTTACAGTTCTGGAGGCTGGAAGTCCAAGATCAAGGTGTCAGCAGGCTTGGTTTCTTCTGAGGCCTGTTTTGTCTTGTAGACGGCTGCCTTCTCACTGTGGCTTCACATGACTTTTCTTTCTCACTGTGTCCTCACACACTCTTTGTTTGTGCATCTCTGCTGTATCTTTATGTGTCTAATTTTCTCTTCTTATAAGGACAACAGACAGATTGGATCTGGGCCCACCTTAAAGCCTCATGTTAACTTAATCACCTCTTCAAAGGCCCTATCACCAAGTATCATCACATTCTGAAATACTGAGGGTTAGAGCTTTAAAATATGACTTTTGGACGGACACATTTCCGCCTATAACAAACCCCAAGGCACATTTGACTTTACTTCTGAAGGAAAAAAAAAATACTAATTACAAAAATGTTTCCAAAAAGTTTGTTGCAAAAGGATATTGAGTCCCTGTCTCACAATGCCAGATTTAGCAAATAAAAATATAGAATATCAATTTAAATTTGAATTTCAGATAAATTTGAATTTCAGATAAACAAATAATTTTTTAGCATTAAGAAGTTCCACAAAATTTGGGGCATTCAAATTTAATTGGGCATTTTGTATTTTATCTGTGAATGTTAGTCTCAGATAAACAGGATGAAGAGCATGATAATGAGTCGTGTCATGGGTCCTACACTCTGTTCCACTGCAAGGTTAAATCCCTTGCACAGGAAACAACAGCACCCCCAACATGAGTTTGGGGGTCCCAAAGCAGAGAAAACTAGGTCCTGATTTGCATTTAGAATTCTGAGAGAAAACAGCTTTGCAGGGTGTAATGTGATGATACGGGACAGTGATTAGAATAGGAACAGTGGGTCACATCTAGAGACAGGGTCTGAGGTGGTGACCTCACCTTCCCCCATCATAGTACATACATCTTCTTTTTCTGTGGTTCCAAAACCAAAGGTTTCCTGTGATTGCAAGATAAATACAGAGGTTGGCTGAGTGTGGAGAGGCAGGCCTGAAATGGCCGCATGGTTTGAGTCAAAACTAAACATGTTTTAGACAACACTGTAACTGAAGTGTTTTAAAGTTTATACAGCAGTGGTGGTTACAGACAATGTGTCTAGAGGCAACCTAAAATCACCAGGGATGGTCTAGTCCAGGAAAAGCCATGCATATGGATGCCATTAACCAAGGATCAAAATTCTCTCCCCAGACCTCTCAATAGTATGTTAGCCCTTCTGCAATTTAGAAGCCCCACACCCCCAAAAGAACAGCCAAAGTCAAAGAGAGGTATTATAAAGTGACAGTCAAAGAGACATTAAGTTTAACCTGGAACTAGCTGAGCTTACCTTGAGTTTATCCATATTGTATTTCCATCTCAGCTGCTGGCAAATCAACATTCCCTATCATATATCATTAAAGTTGATTATTTGAACCTTAAAGCAAAACTTAACATTTAATTAAATTTCATTTCATTGCTCTACCATTTGAGATTTTTTTAAAATTGTAATCCTGCCACTTAATATCTATCCAAGAGGAATTCATTTCATATTCTAAACATTTTTTAAAATCTAGACACAATCTTTGTAAGAAGTTTCCTACAAAAGTGAGAGGTGAAGCCAGTTGGACTTCCTGGGTCATGTGGGGACTTGGAGATTTTTTGTGTCTAGCTAAAGGATTGTAAATGTACCAATCAGCACTCTGTGTCTAGCTAAAGGATTGTAAATGCACCAATCAGCACTCTGTAAAAACACAGCAATCAGAGCTCTGTGTCTAGCTAAAGGATTGTAAATGCACTATCAGCACTCTGTAAAATGGACCAATCAGCAGGACATGGGTGGGGACAAATAAGGGAATAAAAGCTGGCCACCCCAGCCAGCAGCGGCAGCCTGCTTGGGTCCCCTTCCATGCTGTGGAAGCTTTGTTCTTTCGCTCTTCACAATAAATCTTGCTTCTGCTCGCTCTTTGGGTCTGCGCCACCTTTAAGAGCTCTAACACTCACCGCGAAGGTCCGAGGCTTCATTCTTGAAGTCAGTGAGACCAAGAACCCACCGGAAGGAACCAACTCCAGACACATTTTGGCAACCATGAAGGGACTATTGCCTATCACCAAGCAGTGAGTACCATCGGACCCCTTTCGCTTGCTATTCTGTCCTATTTTTCCTTAGAATTCGGGGGCTAAACACCAGGCAACTGTTGGCCAGTTAAAAGAGACTAGTGTGGCCGTCAGACTGAAGACAGGGGTGTCAGGGTTTCTGGGAAAGGGCTCTCTGACAACCCCCGGCTCTTTGGAGTTGGGAGCATTGGTTTGCCTGGAACCAGCTTCCACTTTTCCTGTACTTCTGGGCTGAGCCGAGGGTCGACGGAGAGGAAAGCCATTCAGCTCTGGGGTCCAGACAAAAAGTTGGTTGACCCTGTAGCCATGTGTGGAACTTTCAAAGTCATGTCACCCAAGCGAAACTTGCCCATCTATCCTATCTAGCCTGACCCTCGCCTCTTGGGTCCTAATGCCAGTCAGACAAGCTTCCTCTTACCTCCATTCTCCGAGGCTAGTCCCACTTCTAAAAACCACTCCCTGTCTCTGGTGCTTTTCTAGTTTCTCCTATAAGAATGATTTCTAGTATAAACTTCAGGACTCTGTTACCTTCTTTAGGCACCTGGGCTTACCAATCAGAGGCATAATTTTTGCCCAAAGCCCTGTCGGGTGGGGACTATCTGGAATTTTAGGATCTCCCCTCAGACTAGAAGGCCTAACAAAAGCTATTCCTGAAGCTAGGATATGGGGAGTCTCAGAAATGATATCCTTCCTATCCATATGATGAGAAGTAGGACAAAAGGCGTCACTCTTCCAACCCTGGAGATCCCTTCCCTCCCTCAGGGTATGGCCCTCCACTTCATTTTTGGGGCATAACATCTTTATAGGACAGTGGTAAGGTCCCAATACTAACAGGAGAATGCTTAGGACTCTAACAGGTTTTTGAGAATGCATCGGTAAGAGCCACTAAATCCAATTTTTCTCGGTCCTCTTTGTGGTCTAGGAGGACAGGCAAAGGTGCAGGTTTTCAAGAAAGCATCAGTAAGGGCCACTAAATCCGACCTTCCTCGGTCCTCCCTGTGGTGTAGGAGGAAAACTAGTGTTTCTGCTGCTGCGTCAGTGAGCACAACTATTCTGATCAACAGGGTCCAGGGACCGTTGTGGGTTCTTGAGCAAGAAGGGTTTCTGCTGCTGCGTCGGTGAGTGCAACTATTCCGATCAGCAGGGTCTGGGGACCGTTGCGAGTTCTTGGGTAGCAGCAGGAAAACAAACAAACCAAAATCATGGGCAGATTTTTCTTTCACATGGGAAACACTCAGTCATCAACAGGCTCATCCTTGAAATGCATCCTAAGCCATTGGGACCAATTTGACCCACAAACCCTGAAAAAGAGGCAGCTCATTTTTTTCTGCACTATTGCCTGGTCCCAATATTCTCTCTCTGATAGGGAAAAATGGCCACCTGAGGGAGGTATAAATAACAATACTATCCTGCAGCTTGACCTTTGCTGTAAGAGGGAAGGCAAACGGAGTGAAATACCTTATGTCCAAGCTTTCTTTTCATTGAAGGTGAATCCACAACTATGCAAAGCTTGCAATTTACATCCCACAGGAGGACCTCTCAGCTTACCCCCATAGCCTAGCCTCCCTATAGCTCCCCTTCCTATTAATGATAAGCCTCCTCCAATCTCCCCTGCCCAGAAGGAAATAAGCAAAGAAATCTCCAAGAGACCAAAAAAACCCCCGGGCTATCAGTTATGTCCCCTTCAAGCTGTAGGGGGAGGGGAATTTGGCCCAACCCAGGTACATGTCCCCTTCTCCCTCTCTGATTTAAAGCAGATCAAGGTAGACCTGGGGAAGTTTTCAGATGATCCTGATAGGTACATAGATGTCCTACAGGGTCTAGGGCAAACCTTTGATCTCACTTGGAAAGATGTCATGCTATTGTTAGATCAAACCCTGGCCTTTAATGAAAAGAATGCTTTAGCTGCAGTCCGAGAGTTTGGAGATACCTGGTATCTTAGTCAAGTAAATGACAGAATGACAGCTGAAGAAAGGGACAAATTCCCTACTGGTCAGCAAGCCATCCCCAGTATGGATCCCCACTGGGACCTTGACTCAGATCATGGGGACTGGAGTTGCAAACATTTGTTGACCTGTGTTCTAGAAGGACTAAGGAGAATTAGGAAAAATGAATTATGCAATGATGTCCACCATAACTCAGGGAAAGGAAGAAAATCCTGCCTTCCTCAAGTGGCTATGGGAGGCCTTAAGAAAATACACTCCCCTGTCACCTGACTCACTTGAGGTTCAATTGATCCTAAAAAATAAGTTTATTACCCAATCAGCCACAGATATCAGGAGAAAGCTAAAGTGAGCCCTGGGCCCTGAACAAAATCTGGAGGCATTATTAAACCTGGCAACCTCAGTGTTCTATAATAGGGACCAAAAGGAACAGGCTGAAAAGGAAAAGCAAGATAAGAGAAAGGCCGCAGCCTTAGTCATGGCCCTCAGACAAACAAACCTTGGTGTTTCAGAAAGGACAGAAAATGAAGCAGGCCAGTCACCCAGTAGGGCTTGTTACAAGTGTGGTTTTCAAGGATACCTTAAAAATACTGTCCAACAAGAAACAAGCTGCCCCCTCGCTCATGTCCACTATGCCGAGGCAATCACTGGAAGGTGCACTGCCCCAGGGGACAAAGGTTCTCTGGACCAGAATCCCCCAACAAGATGATCCAATAACAGGACTGAGGGTGCCCGGGGCAAGCGCCAGCTCATGTCATAACCCTCACTGAGCCCCGGGTACATTTAACCATTAAGGGCCAGAAAATTGACTTCCTCCTGGACACTGGCGTGGCTTTCTCAGTGTCCTGTCCCGGACAGCTGCCTCAAGGTCCATTACCATCCAAGGAATCCTGGGACGGCCTGTAACCAGGTATTTCTCCCACCTTCTCAGTTGTAATTGGTAGACTTTGCTACAGATAGTAAGTATGCTTATCTAATCCTACATGCTCACGCTGCAATATGGAAAAAAAGGGAGTTCCTAACCTTTAGGGGAACTTCCATTAAATATCACAAGGAAACCATGGAGTTATTGCACGCAGTGCAAAAACCCAAAGAGGTGGCAGTCTTACACTACCAAAGCCGTCAAAAGGGGAAGGAGAGGGGAGAACAGCAGCATAAGCATCTGGCAGAGACAGGGAAAGACCAGCAGAAAGGAAAGAGAGAAAGAGACAGAAAGTCAGAGAAAGAGAAGAAGAGAGGGGAAGAGACAGAGACAAAGAGGGAATCAGAGAGAAAGAGAGACAGAAAGTCAAAGAGAGGAAGAGATAGACAGGGAGTAAGAAAGAGAGAAAGAGACAAAGAAGTCAAAGAGAAAGAAAGAGAGATGGAAGTAGTAAAGAAAAAACAGCGTACCATATTCCTTTAAAAGCCAGGGTAAATTTAAAACCTATAATTGATAATTGAAGGTCTTCTCTATAACCCTATAACACTCCAATACTACCTTGTTGTCAGTGTAAACAAGGGCATAGGCCGAAAATACTGAGGCCACTGACAACCCGTAGCCTTTCTATCAAAAATCCTTAATCCAGCAGGTTTCCTAACAGGGGATCTAAATCTTAATTAATTACCATCCAAAGGTCCAACCAGACCTAGGAAGAACTCCCTTCAAGACAGGACAATAGATGGTTCCTCCTAGGTGATTAAGGGAAAACGACACCATGGGTATTCAGTAAGTGATAAGGGAACTCTTTATAGAAGCAGAGTTAGGAAAATTGCCTAATAATTGGTCTGCTCAAACATGGGAGTTGCTTGCACTCAGCCAAACCTTAAAGTATTTACAGAATCAGGAAGGAGCCATCTATATCAATTCTAAGTTAATATGGACTGAAAGAGGTTTTATTAATAGCAAAGAAAAATTAAAATCCCAAACTTACAAGGTTTTCAACAAAAGTAAAGTTTGCTAAAAGTTAACAGTGTAACATGTATTATCCTAACGTCTAATCTTATGGACATCATACCCTATCAGTGCCCCTCAAAGCTCAAGTCCATCAGTGCAGGGTCATGCAACTAATACCCCTACTTATAGGGTTAGAAATGGCCACTGCTACAGGAAGCAGAATAGCAGGTTTATCTACTTCATGATCCTACTACCACACACTCTCAAAGGATTTCTCAAACAATTTGCAAGAAATAACAAAATCTATCCAGTAAGGATAGTAACTACAATCCCAAATAGACTCTTTGGCAGCAGTGACTCTCCAAAACTGCCAAGGCCTAGACCTCTTCACTGCTGAGAAAGGAGGACTTTGCAGCTTCTTAGGGGAAGAGTGTTGCTTTTACACTAACCAGTCAGGGACAGTATGAGATGCCGCCCAGCATTTATAGGAAAAGGCTTCTGATATCAGACAATGCCTTTCAAACTCTTATACCAACCTCTGGAATTGGGTGACATGACTTCTCCCCTTTCTAGGTCCCATGACAGCCATCTTGCCATTACTCGCCTTCAGGCCCTTTATTTTTAACCTCCTTGTCAAATTTGGTTCCTCTAGGATCACGGCCATCAAGCTACAGATGGTCTTACAAATGGAACCACAAATGAGCTCAACTAACAACTTCTACCGAGGACCCGTGGACAAACCCACTGGCCCTTTGACTGGCCTAAAGAGTTCCCCTCTAGAGGACAGTACAACTGTAGGGCCCCTTCTTTGCCCCTATCCCACAGGAAGTAGCTAGAATGGTCATCGCCCAATTCCCAACAGCAGTTGGGGTGTCCTGTTTAGAGGAGAGATTGAGAGGTGAAGCCAGCTGTACTTTGTGGGTCGAGTGGGGATTTTTTGTGTCTAGCTAAAGGATTGTAAATGTACCAATCAATACTCTGTGTCTAACTAAAGGATTGTAAATGCACTAATCAGCACTCTGTAAAAACACACCAATCAGCACTCTGTGTCTAGCTAAAAGACTGTAAACACGCCAATCAGCACTCTGTAAAAACGCACCAATCAGCACTCTGTGTCTACCTAAAGGATTGTAAATGTGCCAATCAGCACTCTGCAAAAATGCACCAATGAGCACTCTGTGTCTAGCTAAAGGATTGTAAATGCACCAATCAGCACTCTGTAAAATGGACCAATCAGCACTCTATAAAATGGACCAATCAGCGCTCTGTAAAATGGACCAATCAGCAGGACGTGTGCAGGGACAAATAAGGGAATAAAAGCTGTCCACTCCAGCCAGCAGCGGCAACCCACTCAGGTCCTCTTCCATGCTGTGGAAGCTTTGTTCTTTCGCTCTTCACAATAAATCTTGCTTCTGCTCACTCTTTGGGTCCATGCCACCTTTAAGAGCTGTAACACTCACCACAAAGGTCCACGGCTTCATTCTTAAAGTCAGTGAGACCAAGAACCCCCTGGAAGGAACCAACTACGGACACAAAAGGACTTTGTCCCATTACGTCCTCCCTCTCCATCATCGAAAATAAATTCACACACCAAAAAACCACAGTGAAATTTCTAAGTAGGCTTCTTCTTCTTGTGGTAAGAACAGAGTAGAAAATCAAGAGAGTAGAAAATGAAGTATTTTTTATTAAGAAATGTAAAGATTTTAAGATTACTAAAAAAAAATAAAAAATATTCCTCATGCAGGACTACTGCCATCTAAAGGCCTCAGCATAATATTACAAATAAGTATTTGGTTCTATGTAGCTAAATGTCTAATATTTAAGTGCCATAGAGTTTTATTTTTAGAAATTCATATTTTTCCTATTTTTTTCCAATTTAGTAAATGAACTTTTTTCTTACCCCTTAAAGAATTATATGTGCCACAGAAGATATGTAGATTGGCTTAGGTTATACAAAAAGTTGAACATACAATGTTTAATTAGGAATATTTAGAAAAGCATATTTTAAACTAATGAAAAAAGAAACAGGCCATTTCCCTCCTTCCCAAAAATGTATGGCAAATCATATTTACAATATAGATGTTAAAATAAAGTATTATAAATTCACAAAAGATCAGTTATTGAGATATTATAGAGTCTAAAGCTTAAGCTAGCTAATCACAAGTCACACCTAAGGTTAAAATTGCTAAATTATAGTACCACCTCAATTAAAAGCAGATCAATTGTAATAATGAAATTTAATTCTAGAAAATCGGCTGTAATATAACTTCCTGTTTCTGAATATTTCTAAATTATTACATAACTCATAAGTATAAGAAAAAACAGTACATGAAATACTAAAAACAAAAAAACTCTAAAACTTCACAGCATGGTATTAATGTTACACATAAGCAAAAGTACCCAACTTCAAGAAGTCAACAAATAACATAAACCCAAGTTCATGTCCTTTACAGACCTTTCAAATGGCAAATATTTCCTACATTTAACACAACACTGATTTGAGTCAATTATCCTTATTAACTGCCTTAGTTGGCTCAGCGTGCCTTAACAGAATACCACACAATGGGGTTTAGACAACAAAAAATTATTTTCTCACAGTTCTGGAGGCTCAAAGTCCAAGATCAAGGCGCTGTCAGGGTTGGTTTCTGGTGAAGCCACTCTCCTTGGCTTACAGACAGCTTTTTTTTTTTTTTTTTTTTTTTTTTTAAAAGACAGGGTCTCTCTCTGTCACCCAGGCTGGAGTGCGATGGCCTGATTCCAGCCCACTGCAACCTCTGCCTCCCAGGTTCAAGCGATCCTCCCACCCCAGCCCCTACAACAGCTAGGACTATAGGTGCCTGCCACCATACCCTGCTAATTTTTGTATTTTTTCTAGAGATGGGTCTCGCTATGTTGCCCAAGCTGGTCTTGAACTCCTTACCTCAAGCGATCTGCCTACTTTGGCCTCCCAAAGTGCTGGGATTACAGGTGTGTGCCACGACGCCAGGCAGACAGCCGTGGTTTTGTGGCTCCTCACATGGCCTTTCTTGTGTGCTTGAAAACTCTGGTGCCCCTTCCTCTTCTTACAAGAATGCTAATCCTGTTGGATTAGGGCTCCACCCTTATGGCCTTATTTAACATTAATTACTTCCTTAAAGGCCCTATGTCAAATATAAACACATTGTGGGTTAGGTCTTCAACACATGAATGAGTGGGGGACAAAATTCAGTCCATGATACTCAAAGAAACAGAAATTAATTGGTATCTAAGTAGAAGACTGAACTTGTAGTTGATAATACAAGAGCTGTGGCATTTTATCAGTAAGTGTGATAAAAGTTTAATGTGCAGGGAAAATGAAATATCTTTATCCAAAAATAAGCCTTATGAAACAATTAAACTGAGTGTTTGTATTTAAACTCAGGGTTATGTAGGGAATGGGAGAAGAGAAGGGAACCATCCCCTATATTTCTGGAAGAGTCAGACTGAGGTTTGAGGTACAAAGGAAAGGTGAGTGGGGCTCAAGAAAGAGTACAAGCCTCTAGGATTGGATCATTTGCAAAATTCTCCCACAAAGTTTAAATGATGTGGACTCTCTAGCACAAGAACTGTTTGTGCAAACATGCAGAATATATATAATTTGTTAATCAGCAAGTACATAAGATTGTTGATGTGCATGTAATAGCCAGATCCAGTCCCAGGACCACTTGGTTATCGACCCAGGGGTCTTTTTCTCTTTAAGAGTGCCCTGGTTCCCTCTCTCCCCTTACCCCAAGTCAATTTCCTGTTCACAATTCAGCACACTCAAGAGGTTTTGTAAGGAGAAGTTTTTGCTAAGTCAACAAAAAACAATCCTTTTATACTCTTCCCTCTTACAATGAATGTACTAGTACATTTGTATTACTAAGGGAAGTCCCTAAAGTACCTAAAGCACCTACTCCCACATGAAACAAGATATTCCCCAAGGAAACATGTGCCCTTCAATGTGGCATGCACCTGGAAGTTTGACTTTGGTAGCATTCTATTGCAAGGTGCAGAGGAGAATGCCAAGGTCAATGCTCCAGGGCCAACAAGCTTTTTCCAGCCTCTCCAACAATCCAGCCTTTTCTCTTTTGGTTCACAGACATTGAAAACATGATTGTTGGACTCATCAGTGAACAGCTTAATCTTCTTGAAGATTCTTTACTTTTCCTATTCCAGAGAGATTTGTTTGGGGCTTTTAAGTGTTATAATGGAACAAGTTATCAATTTTATTCAAATGGGTCTACTAGGTATAAGTGTCCTCCTACTCAATTGTACTATCTATTGCACTAAATTAATCCTCTGATTGGTCTATTAGCCTCAGAAGGATTAGTATTTGAAAGGGTTAAATGCAGTTCTCAATCAATTATATTTTCATTATGTCACGACTATTGATTTGTCCCATTAGACACATTGTTCCTTTAAATTGAGAACTGAAGCAGTGTAAACATAATAGATTTGTATTTTCTTTTTAAAATGAGGTACTATGTAATAAAGATCTCAAAGTGCTAGTCCTTCACATCCGGAAATCAGGAAGAGAATTAAATGCCCTAAGGCATACATTGTATGTAATGGATTAACTTTCTCTGCATCTAAAATGGTAGTAGTTATACAGTTCTTGAGAGAATTAAGCAAATGTCACTCAAAACATTTTGTGCTCTATAAACCTTAAACCCGGTTTGCAAAAGTTTTTTGTAGTATGCTCTATATATTTCTATGAAGTTTCTGATGCCCTTTCATAAAAAATTCATTACAATAACAAAATAGGATTATCAAGTAATAACCAATATTGGTTTCCATAACAAGTATCATCTTGCAAAATGGTTCTTCACGATGTCTGATACATTTATTTTCTAACGCACTCCAGGGTATGAAATAGTGAAAGGTCTGTCTTCCACTTAACCACTTAGGAAACCAAGGAATATAAAGTTTTTGGTTTAAACCACTATCAAAGATCACGTGGGTGAAAAGACCTTCCAAATTGTAGGCTAACTGGGTCAGAGGGATATTAGCGGATGAATTTTTTCTATGATCTTACTATTCCTCACACAGGGGTAAAAGGTCAGGTCTAACCTCATGATCTCCTGGTTTCCGAGGCGCCCTGAGGCGATGGAGTGTCCCGGTTAATTTTGTGGTAGCCCTCGGGAAAGGCTACGTGCCTACAGGTCTCAGCTGTGCAGCAGCGGCACCGCTCCTGGACCCCTACTGCCTTCTGGGCTCCTAGGCTTGCGGAACAGATCAGGAGTCGCCGGCATTGGGGTACCAGGAGGACGCGAGCTGACTACCTGACTCCGGGCGGCGCAGGACGCCCGCCGCGCGAGGGGCGGGGGCTAAGCGTATCGAGGGGCGGTGCTCGAGGGCGCGGGAGGCGGGAGAGGCTGCCGCGCCGTGTGCCCTGGCAGCCGCAGCCCCGCCCCGCCGCGTCCGGCCCGGTCCTGTCCCGCAGCGTCCCGCCAGCCAGCTCCTTGCACCCTTCGCGGCCGAGGCGCTCCCTGGTGCTCCCCGCGCAGCCATGGCTCAGCACTTCTCCCTGGCCGCCTGCGACGTGGTCGGATTCGACCTGGACCACACTCTGTGTCGCTACAACCTGCCCGAGAGCGCCCCGGTGAGTGGCGCGGGCTCCGGGGCGCACTGCGCGCAACCTCCATGGCGGCTGGGGCTTGAGTTTCCTCCAGGTTTGGGCAACGGCGGACGCTGCCCGGGGCCTGCGGCGGCCGAGTCTTGCCGCAGAGCGCGGCCTCCAGCGGCGAGAAGGGGCGGAAGTGTGCAGCCTCCGCTCCGCGCCGGTGCCGTGGGGACCGGCACATTTACCTCAGCCATTAGCTAATGTTGAGAGGGATAGGGAAGAACGAAGGAGGGGCAAACTGCGCAAGACCGGGCTGGGGAATCGGTGATTTCTAGGGCCGAGGAGGGGCGGGGTCAGGGGGACTAGGGCTGTCCTTGAAGATCTCACGTCGTGGAACTTTCTCTGCATGTCTTTCTGGACACCAGCTGATTGTGGACACAGCCACTTGATTTGGTACTTGCATTTTTTTTGGCTGCATTTTTCTGTTTGCACGATCAACCACCCATCAGTGTTTAAACTGCAATCTGGGAGAGATGCGTAGTATATAGTGTAGTGTATTGAAAGGAACACTAGTTGAAAAGTCATTAAGATCTTAGCCCTAGTTTTACCTTCTATCAAGAGAAGAAAATACATATTTATTGCGCATCGACTACGTGCTCCGTGCACTTTGAATACATTCCAGTCCTACCAACAGTCTGCGAAGTTTGGGTCCTCACTGTGCCCTGAGGGAGGGGGACATGGAGTATGCATGCTTCCAGACCTGTACACTCAAATTAATTGCCCTCCCTCCACTATTCCTTTGGTTTCCCAATTCCCAAGGAAACTAATTTTGAAAAGTTACCAGATTTTTTTAGTCCAAGATCTAAGCATCCAGACAGAAAAAGAGCTGGTTATGAGTACAGTGGTGAAAGCGAGGACTCCTCAGCCAGACTGCCTAGCTTAGGACACCAGCTCCACTGTTACTAGCTCTGTGACTTCGAGGAAGTTACTTAACCTGTGCTGCTTCTCAGTTTCCCCATCTGTAAAATGGAGCTAATAATTGGATTTACCTCACAAGATTGTTGCAAGGATTAAATGAGTAAGAGATGTATAATGCTTAGAATAGTACCTTGGCAAAGACAAGTGTTTGCTTTTATGGTTACCACCCAAACTATTTGGAAACCTCACAGTTTATGGGTAGAACTCTAGATCACTGGTGCAGACATCAGCCAGGGTTGTGCCCCATTATGGGCACCCGCCAGTTCCTGCACCCACCAGTTCAGGTACACGTTAAAGGTCAAAAAAGAGTGGCTGCCCGAATTTCTCGTGTGTTTTCTATGCCCAGATGCTAAATTTTTTTTTAAATGTCCTTTTTCTGCTGTTACACTTTCCTGCTTTCTTACCTTACAGGTCTGGTTTCCTTAGTCACATTGAGAATTAAGAAGGCTTTTTTACTGCTTGATTCTTTGGCCACTGCTTCCCCTAGGTCTTTGATACATGTTTTCCTTCCCTCTGTGTCTTTCGAATCCTTCCTGGTTCACAGTTTTGTGTGTCTCCTCTTTAGTTACCTTCATTTGGAGGTAATATTGTTAAACCACTGTCATGTTAGAGCTAGTGTTGTCCATAGGTGATCATAAAATTTCAGAATATAAGATTCTCAAAGACAAGAGGTTTTTTTACTGCAAACCTGGAGAATAAGTGATGTTTAAAGCTTGAAAACAGTAACCTATTGAGTTTTGGATCATGTTTGGTGTGGAAATCTTTTTTATTTTAAGTCCCACAGTGTGCTGAGCACCATGCTAGAGCTGAGGATACAGAGATCAACACGCAGGCCTCCAGGCAGCCTTACACAGTAGGCAAAAATGCTGAAGAGTTAGTCTTGGTCCCTTGTGGTGGGTAGTATGACCTGGGTCTTGCTTCACGCTGCCAACAGTGCCTGGAGGGCCTCTTTGCTCTGCACAGAAGCTCTTCATCCCATCAGGCCTCATCTTAAACATCGTTCCCCTTAGGAAGTCTTTTTGGCCCTTAAAGTTTGCCCTTCCATTCTAAGCCCACCTTCAGTTTTCCACAAAACCCTTCATTCCTCATAGCACATGCTGCATGATATTAACACTTCCTGTTTACTTGTTGGACTTCCCCTAGAGCCCAGCGTGATGACTCCATCAGTATCTGTGACAGTTTCTTGTGTGTTCTGTGTGCCGAGCTTAGTGCTGGGCACATACTGGACTCAATAAATAGACTGAATAGATAATAGGTATTTTAATAACAGAATATGATACAGCCATGATTCTAATAAGCATGCTGCTTATATGAATGGATTTAATCCTTACAACGTCCCTGTGAGGTAGATATTATCACCACTGTTTAATCACTTAACAGTGATTTAGTCACTGTTAAGAGAGCATCAAGCAACGGGGCACAGAAGGAAAGTGTATCCAGGGCAACTAAGCGAGGTAGTCCGGCTGTGGATTTCTGCTTCTTCCCACCTTGCTGTCTGTATGGTGCCCGAAAACACAGAGGAAAGGCCGGGAGCTGGCAGGTGAGGAGGTGGAGAGGAGTGCTTCACCCAGAGGAGTTAGAGTAAAGGTCAGAACCTCGAGGTGAGCAACAGCACCGGGAACTGCTGGGTGCAAGCAAAAGGTGGCAAGTTGCAGGAGAAGATGGTGGAGAAGTCAGTGGGGGCTGCATCATGGAGAGCTGTGAGTGCGTCTCCTTTCAGTTTTGTAGGCATTTAACAACTGCACAGAGTTGTGCAAACACAGAACTGAGTGTGTCCCCCTCACATGAGGCCTCAGGAAAGGCATTCTAGAAGAGAGGATGACACATGGTTTCTCCTCTCTAAGGTTGCAGACTCAGAAGTCTGATACCAGTCAGTTAACGTAGATGTGTGAGTGGGAGAGTGGGGTCCCAAATATTGCATGCTTATACTAAAAAAAAATTATTTGTTTTTTATTTGAAAGTCACATTTACCTAGGCATTTTTAAATTTTATCTGGCAACCTTAAGTGGGAACCAAACATAATTTGTAGGCTGCATATGGACCACAGGGTACCAATTGGCAACTGCAGTAGAACGTGTATTATTATTACTCCTGAGAGACTGTGAGGTGGTGATAGCTAAGGCTGGGGGAGGAATGTCATGGAGAGCCCTGTGCCATGAAGGCTTCTAGAGAGACTCAGCGTACTCTAAGGACAAACTGCAAGAAGCCTTCTGCCTAGACCAGGGGTTTCAGAGTACAGATGCCCCTGCTTTTCTTCACACTGCTTTTCTCTGCTTCTTTTCCTTGTCCATTGGCCCCCTTCTCTCCTGTTACAGAAAAATCTCCTCCACAAGGTAAGGAACACAGCTGTTGCTGTCCCTGTTGGCGTCTCTGATGGAAAGGGCTCCTTTCTTCCAGGAGAATTCAAGTGTTTTAGAATTACATGCCCATATCTTAGACTAATCACTTGAATAACTGGAGAAACTCAAAAGTGCCTCAATGAGAGGCAAATCTAAGGTGTACAATAGCTGGCTCTTAGGGGCTTGTGAAAGCCAATTGTTAACTATTCAGGAATTGTGCAAGCAGGTAAACTGCTGTTGGTGACTTGAAACAGGCCATGGTGGGAATATTTACACCGTGGAGATGGGCAAGCGCTACCTGTCAGGGCAGTGTTTTTGTTTTCTGTTTTTTTGTTTTGTTTTGTTTTGTTTTTAGCAGCATACAACATAATAATAGCAAATACTTAAATTGGATTTGCTGGTGTGCCAGGCTCTGCTCTAAGCATTTTACATCTGTTAGCCCTGCAGCACTGGTTTCTTATAAGCAGGATCGTGATGTGGACTTTTTATTGTCCATAGTACTTTGTACCACAGGGTGACTCAGTGTATTTTTTGTTGCTTTTTTCCTTTTAATGATTGAATAAAAATCTGTAAAACATGCAGGTCAGTGATTTTCAGTGTTCTCTGTGCTTCAGAGAGGGCCCTCTCTACCCTGTATGCTTGGAAGCTCTGGGTAGTTTTAAGAAGTGTCACCTATGGTTCTGAATCACCACCAGGGTTAAGAACTGTTGATATATAGTGTTAACATAATGTGGTTCAATTAACAGTTGACCTGGATAAGGTCACATTGCACTGGATGGAAGTACATGTGTAGTGATTTTAATTAGCTTTATGACAGGGAGCAACTCGATTTGACATTTCACAAGGAGCCTTTGCTTTCTCCATGCTCATATCCTGACACTCAGACCCCGACACCCCTACTCCAGCTGTGTGCAGGCCCCTCAGTTTCTGAACCTGAGTTGCCCCCCATTCCCTCTGCATTCACCCAGCGAACTGCTGCATCTAAGTATCAGTGTAAACCTCACTACCCAGGAGAGATTTCCCCTGCTCCTCTGCCTCCCTCTTCTCCCTAAAAGTATGACATGTTATCGAAACCTGTTGTGGGTTAATATCTGTAGAAGAAGGGTCAGATTGTTCAGTGTGTCCTTTTGGACACTGTGCAGGTTGACTCAGACAACTGTTCTGCTCAGGCTCAAGTTTACCCAACACTGGCCAAAGAACACTTCGAGGTAGAATAAGGTTGGACCATCTACCTTTTGTGCACTTTTTGTTTGGTATGTACAGTTCTTTTAAAGTTAGCCAGCACTTAAAAACCAGATATTTTACTCAAAAACCTAGCATTTTTTGTTGTTGAGAAATAAGATCTGTCAGCAATCAACAGAGTATTTATTATTGTAATTATTGTACTTGCTTCCAGAGGCTTTCTTTGTCCTTTGTCTTTAGATTTTTTTTTTTTAATGGTTTTTGTGTATGTGTGTGTGGAGAAACAAGAGTGATTACCTGTATCTGATAGAGGCATCATGACTTGTTTAGATCACCTTCCTGGTCCCCATATGTATTTCCCTGACATGGGGCCTTTCTGGCCAGAATGGACCAAGGATGGATGGATAGAGTGGTCATCATCTTTATCATCTTAGTGATGTATTAAATAAGTTTAAAAAGCTTTGTCAAGTCTTAAATTATGATCTCCAACCCATTAGAATTCAGGAGTAGGGTTAATAATTGTCTTTGGTTGTATAATTGTATGCTGACGGTATAATTTTGAATGGGACAGCTACCTGGGGCATGCAGGGGATGATAAATTGCTTGTGAAGGAGAATTATACTGCAGAACTTCACAATTACAGATATTTCCTTCCTCCTACCTGCCCCCATCAGCAATTCCATTAGGGTTTTAGGTCTGTGACATTAAGAATGAATAGTGGGTGTTATATTTAATCTGTTTTTCTTCCCCTTATTTGCAGCTCATTTATAATAGCTTTGCCCAGTTCCTAGTTAAGGAGAAAGGGTACGATAAGGAATTGCTCAATGTGACCCCAGAGGATTGGGATTTCTGGTAAGTTCTTTTTTTTTTTTTTTTTTTAAGTCTGTACATTTCCTGTGGTTCTAATTGTTACTGATAAAACTGTAATGCTTTCTCTTCTAAGAAGATGGAATGTGAAATGTGAGATTGAGTCAAAGGACAAATGCCTTCTATATTAAAAGTTTTGTATTTAATGAATTAAAGTGTTTTCTACTTTAAACAAGTTTAGACTTGCCTAATTAAATGTGAAAATAAGCTAAGAGTTTATGTGACTAATTTGGATATTTTCATATAGTTTAAGTTTGTCATAATAGTTTCAGAGGTTAGTAAGAACTGTTTCTAAAATTTGCATCTTTAAGAAAAAGGTTTGGTTTACTATCTTTTAAGAACTATAAGAGAAAAGGAGGAATCATCACATTTTGAGTAAGTCTGAATTAGGACAATTGCTTTTCTGTCATTTAGTTCGACATTCCTAAGACTCTTACTGGGAATTCCCTTCCTGGGTTAGGACTCTCAGCTTCCCAAAGCTTCGTTTGTCTTCCTCATTTAGATAACAAAACAAACAAATATCCTAAGCCACTTTAAATTGTTCAGTTTAAAATCAGGCCAGGCAGGCGTGGTGGCAATTCTGTAATCCCAGCACTTTGGGAGGCTGAGGTGGGCAGATTGCTTGAGTCTAGGAGTTGGAGACCAGCCTGGGCAACATGACGAAACCCCAACTCTGCAAAAAATAAAAAATAATTAGCCAGGTGAGGTGGCACGTGCTTGTATTTCCAGCTACTGGAGAGACTAAGGTGGGAGGATTGCCTGAACCCAGGAGGTCCAGGCTGCTGTGAGCCGCTGATCATGCCACTGCATTCCAGCCTGGGCTACAGAGTGAGAATCAATAACAATACTAAACCACATGAAAAATACCTACATTATGTTGATCTAGTATGCATTCTTTTGATATTTTGTTAGTCTTTTTTGATGTAACATTTTTGTAAAAGGAAGAAACAGTAACATGTTACTATATGAAATTACTGACTCTGGAAGTTTTACCCTGAACAAAAGTAAATAATCCTTCTAAAGTACCCTGTCATTTTTTGTTTAATTCCCTTGGTATTTGGTAGCCATTATACCACTTTGCTTTTATTATTCATAATAATGAATCTGTACTCACCTTTCTCCCCAAATCCCACAAGTCTTTTACAGTAAAGGAGCTAAAACAGTATTTGACTTTCTTTTAGTGGTTTTCTTTTTATTTTATTTTATTTTATTTTATTTTATTTTATTTTATTTTATTTTTGAGACAGAGTCTGGCTCTGTCGCCCAGGCTGGAGTGCAGTGGCGCGATCTCGGCTCACTGCAAGCTCTGCCTCCCGGGTTCATGCCATTCTCCTGCCTCAGCCTCCTGAGTAGCTGGGACTACAGGCGCCCGCCACTACGCCCGGCTAATTTTTTGTATTTTTAATAGAGATGGGGTTTCACCGTGTTAGCCAGGATGGTCTCGATCTCCTGACCTCGTGATCCGCCCGTCTCGGCCTCCCAAAGTGCTGGGATTACAGGCATGAGCCACCGCGCCTGGCCATAGTGGTTTTCAATGATATGCCTTGTCCAGATGGCAAGTTCTTGTAACCTGACCTAAATTGAGACGAATTCTAGAGTGTAGGAAAGACTGGCTAAGTGCTTAACTTGTAGAATATAAATGTGTGTGTGTGTGTGTGTATGTGTGTTTTATTTAGTGGAAAACATTTGTACATTTTAACAAAGTCATGGGATGATGTTCAGGTTCTTTTTTTCTCTTTTGAGTTTTAGATTTATCTTTTGAAAAGCCTAAAGATTTTACAAACTAAATATGCTGTCCTTGTTTACCTATATAACAATTTTCCTTTTATACCTGCTCAGTGATAGATATTTAATTTTACAGTTCTTAGATATTCTTAATTGTGTGATTAACATATCATTCCCCTGGGTGGCAGAATCCCTTTTTAGCATTATGATGTTTGGAAAATATAGGTTGTTATTTCTTAGGTTAGCTAAATATAGGAATTGATTAATAATCAAACTTTCCTATTTCAGTTGCAAAGGTTTGGCATTGGATCTAGAAGATGGGAACTTCCTTAAACTTGCAAATAATGGCACTGTTCTCAGGTAATAAAACTTAGTTGTGAAGTCTAAACTTTACCTTCTCTGAGACACTTTATTACTGAGTGGCATATGACCCTTACAGTATGGGTTAAATATGATTATTTTAATTAATCAGATGACAGATTGTCTGTCTACATGTCTTTGTATGAATTGTTTAAGCCATTTAAATATGAATTTGTGAGCATTAGATTTAAAGGTCTAGTTCCTTTAAGTTTACATCATTAGAAATATTTGTAGGACATACAATAGAAAGTTTATAACCTGCTACGTCTCATTGACCACTCCTTCTGGCAAAAGAGCCCAGGAATTTTACTGTTTTAGCTGACTGTGTGGCTGCCTAAAATAAAATTGGGATTCTTTTTGTTAAGAAAGAAAGAATGGGTATTGGGTAGGGGTTGGTGGTCTATACCCACCACCCTCTCTTTCTTCATTTATCCAAATTTGGCCCTGTCATGCAGGGATCATGTTGTGTCCTAGCTCCTTTTGGAAGTTTTTCTGGACTGTTCCAAGTCTCATCAACCTCTTCCTCCTCCCACACTCCAGGCTGACTTTCTTTACTTCTCTCCTCTCTGAGTGGGCCCAGCCTCTCAACGGTTGCTAAGGGTATGACAAGCAGTCCAGAAGCAGCTGCTGTCACTGCTCTGTCTCTCACAGGGCACCAGGGAGGGAGCATCTGTTTTTTCTCCAGTACTAATAGTACAGGCAAGTCAACATGGCTATGAAGCTATACCATTTATTACATACACAAACAGGATCAGAATCAAAGGAGAGAACTCCCAGACCCCTGATATGTACTCTCTTTTGTTGCATCATTCTTTTTGCATGATGCAAACTCCCTTCACACTTTCCCCCGACCTTCCCCTAAGGTGCATCTACCTAGAGCAGGTGTAGCCCCACCTTTGGTATTTTGTAGTTTGTTTCCATGTTTATTTCTCAGGCATTGAGAGATAGGGTATGTGTAAATGCAGCTTTGTCTATGACCTTTAACTCTTCTGTCAGATTCTCACAGTGTTCTTGGCTATCTTCAACCACAGTTAAAAGAATGAAAAGCTTTCTACAATTTTGTTTCTTTCTCTCTTTGTTCTATCTGTCTGTCCTTGTCCCAGTACCCCTCCTACAAGGTCTGTCTCTCTCCATCCAAGTCCTGGCTAACCTTTAGTTTCTCCTGAATTTATTAGCATACCTCCTTGATGCTTTCTTTCAACCAGTGTAGTAGATTCCTTTTCTGATCATATTTCCCATTCAGGATTCTTTGATCTTTACATATAGCTTTCTAAAATGTTAACCCCTTTATAAAAAGGAGCCCATTTGTGATTTTCCCCCATTTGCTTTTCTTATTTTATTTCTTTTTTCCTTCATATTATTTTGTTGCCACATTATAATACCAAGAGAATAATACTCTCAATCATTATAATTTCTCATAATAAACTACATTAACATTTCAACTAGTTCCTATAATGAACTACATTAACATTTCAACTACAGTAGTCCCTCCTTATCCTCGGAGGTTAGCTTCCAAAACCCCCAGTGGTTCCTTGAAATCATGGATAGTACATATCCCTATGTGTACTATGTCTTTTCCAATGATAAGGTTTAATAGATATAGTAAGAAAATATAAAATATAACAATAGAACTCAGAATGCTATGCAGTTTAAAACTTACGAATTGTTTGTTTCTGGAATTATGCCCTTAGTATTTTTCAACCCAGGTTGACCACAGGTAACTGAAACTGTGGGAGAGCAAAACTGGATAAGGGGGAACTACCATATTTCTCTGTAGCATAGGATTCTCTTAACTGGACAAAAGCAGTATTTCGAGCACAGAAAATACCTACTTTCTTGTCATGTTGCTCTGTTTTTCCACATTTCTCTTCGATTTCCCTATTTGGTTTTAGCCATGCTGTGTCCTTGAGTGGGCAGGTTGCTCCTCATCTTGTCTTCACAGTCCTGCGTGCTCACAATGATCCACCTGTGGGTGCCAGGTGCTTCCTGTGCCTCCTATGGGCCCGATGGACTCATGCTTTGACTCTGGTACCTACTGCTCTTTCTCCAGTGCTGCCAGAACCAGCTTCCCACTAATCCACACAGTTGTTTTCTAATTGCTCCAGGTATGTTCATCTTATTTGTGTAGTTAAACGACAACTTCTCTAAAAAAGGGTGGTATCTTATCCAGTGTTGACCTCAGAGTGAGTATCTCCTAATCACCTGCTACTTGATGGATTAAAGCGGGTAAGTGCTACAGCTGCCCACAGAAATGCTTTACAGAAT
Source organism: Homo sapiens (assembly GCF_000001405.40). Taxonomy (NCBI): domain Eukaryota; kingdom Metazoa; phylum Chordata; class Mammalia; order Primates; family Hominidae; genus Homo; species Homo sapiens. The sequence continues at coordinate 116,110,701 of NC_000006.12, forward strand.
CCTAAACAGGGAGGCACCCAGTTGAAAACAGAAAAAATACATATGTTTTTGTTAGCTCCAGTGGCAACAGGGATCAACAGTCACAATGATAGAGGAAGGGGCATTCAAGGAACCATTAATGAGCAATGTGCCTCCTCTCTCAAAATCAGGGCAAGCCATGGCACCAAGATGATGACTCCAGAGGTGCTGGCAGAGGCATATGGCAAGAAAGAGTGGAAGCACTTCTTGTCGGACACTGGAATGGCTTGCCGCTCAGGTATGACTCAAATGAGGCAGCTCCACCATCCGCTCCCTGTTTGTTTTGTACCCTAAACCTTTGATGTCAGGACAAAGAAGACCCCCCTTTCCCCTGCTGGGCAGGATGCCAAAGGGAGCAGCTTCAGCTTTATAGCAATAGGATGTATTTTTTCCAAGTGTATTTGACTTCTGTTTGGCAGATGGTTCAAAATACTGTTCACAGAAGATTTTATTGGCACTCCTTTTACCTGTACTTGTTCTGGTTTAAAGATTAGCACTTAGGAATAATACAATCCTTAGTTGTCCTGTATTTATCAGTTTTGTTTTGTCCTCAATCCTTACTTTTCTTTCTCCATCTCTGATTCCTCCAGGCATTCACATTACCTACCACTCCTATTTTCTATGATTATCTTCCTTACTGCCAGTTTAGTATCATCTGCCTTTGTCTCTTATTTTCCTGTTTTCCAGATGATTTTAACTATTTTTATTTTCTACTGCCTTTAAAGAGTTTCACCATGGGTAAACATGAAATGATTTTTCAGAAATGATTTATAGACATAGATGTGCATAATTAATAGGGAATAGTTAAATGTTTTTATAAATAGACCTTATTAAAAATCCTAATTATTAGTTTTTTTATTTGTTCCAATTTTTTTGACCATTTTGCAGTTTTCTCCCACACTACAGTATTGAATTGCACCTTTTCTCCTTCAGAGAATATAGTAACCTGAAAATAGTTGCAGTTACTCCTTGTTCCTATTGTGTTTGCTTTGTTATATTTGCTATCTTTTGAGAGTTCTGTTTTGTTTGCTTGTTTGTTTTTATAGCGAGCTGAAAATGTCAGGAAGTATGAGTGCTCTTGATAAAATTAGTTGATAGGAGAAACTAAGATTTCACACTGGGGTTAGATATAGAATGCCTTTGTATACCTATCAAGTCAGATGGGAGGAAAGCCTCTTACTCAAATGATGGTCGAGAACTGCTGTTGTCTCTCCAGATGTTGGCAGGTGTAAACAGGCTCTTCCTTTCTCCTGGAAAAGCCAGGCACATAGCTGAGTGTTTCACTCTGAAATTTATTAAGAATCCAGAGTATTTTAAAGAATAAAGTACCCAGCTGCTAAAAGAGCATTCACTCAGTAAGACACATCTGTTTACCCACTGTTTCGCCCACTAGAGAGCGCCACCTCTTGGAATCAGTAGCTTCATCTGGCACTTACTTGGTCAGGAGCCTTCTGAGAATGGTCCTGGGAGTTTATCTGTACCTACTTGGGTTAGTTAGGGAAGTGTTTCCCATCCAGGTACCCAGTGGTCAGGTTGTGACACATAATAGAGGCCCATTGTTTTTGCAAAATGAGGGAGAGCTAATGCCTTTAAAAAATAATATGAGTTTTTTTAAATGTAGAGAAGTATGGAAGAAGGAAAAAAATGGCCTGTGATACCACAGCCCAATTAAAGTTTGTTTACGTTAAATATTAATCTCAGCACATGGTTAGAAAATTTAAATATTATAGAAATGAATAGAAGGAAGAGTAATTGTCTTCAACTCCTGTCCTATTTTTTAAAGGTATACAAAAGGAATTATGTATTTACCTTGCTCTTTTCAATTTACATCTTAGAGATTCTGGCATCAGCACACACACACTAGGTACACTTAGTTCTTCTAAATGCTGGGATGCTCTGCAATTCAGTGCCTGTATCGTGATATATTTAATCAGGCTCCTAGCAATGGACATTTATGTTGTATCTGGTGTTTCACCATTACAAACAAGCCTGTGGTGATGTTTTCATGAATGTATATTTTGCACTTTCATACATATATCTAGGATAAACTCCTAGAAGTATACTTGCTCTAAAGATATACAGGTTTAAAATTTTGGTAAATATTGCCAAATAAGTCCTTTATTTTCAGGAACTCCAGTTGATTTTATATTTGTAGCTTTCTTCTACCTTTAAGTATATTAATCCTCAGAGTTAAGAACAGAATTGTAAAGTACATGCCCTATCAGTACATTTAGGAAATTTAAAGCACTGAGGGATGTAGAGATGTTTGATGACAACTTGTTTGATAATCTCTTTTCAGGTTGTTGACCTAACATAAGAACAGTGTTCCTTGCCAGCTGATCTCCAGAGAGCAAATCCCTTTGAACTTATCTTCCCCAAATGGTAGATTATGCAGAAACAGCTTGGTCTAGTGGAAATCACAAGGGGCTTAGTGCCAAACAGTCCTGGATCATATTAGCTCTGTTATTTGCTGGATAAAGTGTCTCTGGTACTAAGTCACTCTTAGCATCAGTTTTCTCATCTTTGAGTGGAGATAATACCACCTTTGCAGAAGTGAGAACCTTTGTTAACATAAATTGTTCCTTTCCCCTCAGTCCTTCATTTGCCATTCTACCATGGCCACTAAGACAAAGGGAGTAGGGTTGGTAGTAGTTTCTTGGGGAGCAGTTTTTCTCTGTGTAAAACTTAATGGTTATAGGACTTGATCTTGATTCAGAGGCTTGTTTTGTTGAACTGGGCTCACTAATCACTTCATTAGCAATGAGCTGTCTCTTCTATACAGAGGTGGACGTTGAAGCTTTCATGTGGTGTAGTGTCAGAGTTTGGGTGTTGGGTGAGGCATTGCAAGCAGCCTGGCCCAGTTAACAGCTCAAGGCTGAACAAGCCCTTGTGTCCACACAGCGGACATTCAGCCCAAGTTCAACAGTCAAATGACCTTAGCCTCTTGCATTGTGGGTGAAAACCAATGAGCTCTTCTCATTAGGTTCCCCCTGAATTATTTAATTAGAACTCAGCCCTTACTCAAAATCAATAGTTCAACTCTTAGACTGAATTTCATCTATTAGTACCCACAAAGGAAGAAGAATGGGAGGAGAAAAGCAAGGGTATGTAACTGGCAATGCTGGGATGCTTCCTGCTCCAACAGTGCCTGAGACAGCTGACCATGAAGTTGGGTCAGTCTAGTGTCAGGCCAAGCGATATGACAAAGTGCAGATTAATGAACCTTGGGAAGCTTTGCCCACTGTCCTAAGTCTTGGGAGTCCTGGAGTGTCATACAGTCCTACAGCATAGCAAAGCAGAGGCAGAAAAGCACATGGCATATCATCTTCCTTTTTTTCCAGATCACTGGTTCTTCACACTGGCAAAGCCATCCTAACCTTTCTTAGGAATTAAAAACAGCCTGAGAGGTTCCCCTAACAATTCAAGCTGTGAAAAAATGAAAAACAGGAAGACTATATCAACCAAAATATTTTTAACTGAGAGAATGGACACAAACTGGCACAGCCATTTTGTGAACTAACAGAAAACTTTGATTTTTTTTTTATACATTTTAAAATAAATTTACAGGAAGAAGTAAGAGGCAGAAAACAATATTCAGAGGAACAGAACCCTGGCTTCTGCATATGGTTTTCTTCTAATTTCCTTATAATACTTCTGCATTCCAAAGTAATCTATTTGCTTATTGGATTACTCATTCATTCATTCAGCAAACGTCTATTGAGTGCTTAGAATATGCTGAACACTGTGCCCAGTCAACGCTAAAGAACAAGACAAGTGTGTTCCATAACCTCATATACATAGCTTGCAAATTGGGGGGAGGGGGGGGGAGTCAAAATCAGGTGATTATAATGATGTATTCAAGCACCTTATTATTAATGTAAAATCTGGCTTTACCTATTGGTTCTGTTTGACTCTTCTTTGTATCAAGCGTTCTCTAGGGAACTGTATGAGGTTGGGTTCCCTCAAAAGCAGAGTGGTTACTCCTGATCCCAGTAGTCAGGAGTGAAGGAATGAGAGGATAAGACATGGAAGGAACAATGGTTGCTGGACTCCATTGGGACTTCCAAGGAGAAGCGCAGAGAATACCTCCTAGAGTTGTCTGTCCATGGAACAGGAAGCAGGGCATTCTTTTACTGGTTCCTGAACCTGTTCTAAATGTGAAGTTTGCCACATGGGCTCCAGAGCCTTTGGGAGAAAGAGAATCGACACAGTTTTGCCAAGGTGGGATGGTGCTATTAGCATAGCAGTGGCTGCAATCAGACGCAGGCCAAGGGGATGTGACATGGGTCATCAAAAGTGTCTGTTCAGGGACAGCAGATCCAAAAGTCACATGTGCCAAAGAAGGGCTCAAATGTAATTCTACCCTAAAGTCATACAGAATAAACCAAATCCCTCTCTTCCACGAAATCTTGGAATATACCTGTCCTATACTCTACAGTTTTTAAGCACACTGTGTCTTCACATGGCATGATTATATTCTACTTATCACCCCAGTTTTTTTCACATTATACTGAAATTAAATGGCATAAAAATAGAATACAGTACTCTAGGAGGGGTCAGCCAACCAATCTGAAAAAGCACTATTGTATAGAGCGCTTCATGGTACTCCAGGGTTAGGTAAATTGATTGTTTTGAAATTCAGTGACATAGATAACATCATATGGCTTTTTCATATTCTATTTTATTTTTTGCATATACTCTTTTTAGTTTTTACATTCTTTAAGATGACTAAAATATCTTCGAATACAATGCTTAACTTCTAGATATCATCTTTTAACTTTCTTGTGGTGCCCTCAGAGCTTAAATCTTTCTTAAAAGACAATGACAGCCAATAATGGTGCCACTTTGAATTGGAATGGAGGCTTCTTCAGATAATTAAACAAAATCTAGTGTCTCTTCAGCCATATTCCTGTGTATTTCACATGCATGCAGCATTATGTTGTTCCCAGTTTAAAATTTTGTTCTTTTTTAGGAAAGTATTACTTTTACGACAACTACTTTGACCTGCCAGGAGCTCTTCTGTGTGCCAGGGTGGTGGACTATTTAACAAAAGTAAGTGGGGACTCATTTTTTAAAACTATGATATGTAGTCAGTCATAAATTGGAGGACCTAATTATATATTGCTTCTGAGTTGTGATTTTGCTTAGTTTCTTCTTTGTGGTTTCAGAGCTGACTGGGAAAGAAAAACATGGTGAATTTGGTTCAAATATTTTTGGAAAATTAAATAGCAGTGACCTTTTTTTTTTCTCTCAGGAAAAATAAACCTATTCTCCAGCAGAGGGGGCAAAAGTTTAGAAAAAGAAAAGAAATACAGAACTTGGATCTGGACAAAACATTTTTTTTAGCAAAATAAATAGTTTCATTAGCAAAATAAAAAAGTTAGAGGTGATTAAGAAAATTCAGCGTGTCTTTAAGCATTCTAAATAATATAAAATAGAAAAATCGGATGAAATTTAAAAATTCACCATTTTGAACATCATTTAATGAATATAAATTTTTTCTTTTGTACTGTATATCAAGATTAAATAGATCTCTGGTTATACTAGTTTATCCTTAGGACTTAAGACCTATGAACATCAAACAGATTTATATGTCAGAATCACTTTCCTTTATGCATGTCTTTTAAAAATAACTACTTTTGGGGCCAGGTGCAGTGGCTTACGCCTGTAATCCCAGCACCTTAGGAGGCCAAAACAGGCGGATCACGAAGTCAGGAGTTCGAGACCAGCCTGGCCAATATGGTGAAACCTTGTCTCTAATAAAAATACAAAAATTAGCTGGGTGTGGTGGCGTGCACCTGTAGTCCCAGCTACTAGGGAGGCTGAGGCAGGAGAATTGCTTAAACCCGGGAGGCAGATGTTGCAGTGAGCCGAGATCACGCCACTGCACTCTAGCCTGGGCGACATAGCAAGACTGCGTCTCAAAATAATAATAATAATTACTATCATTTTGATAATAGAACCCAGGTAATGCTTTATTTGTGAATCAGAATTACATTTATGTGTTGTGAAAGTTTCCATTGAGCAATAGTTTGGGTATGTTTGTAGAAATCTTAATAACACAAGATGGAGTCAGTTTCTCATTCGGTAGTTACTACAAGGAAAGTGTATCAGTCTTTAAATATTTTGGAGTTTGTATAATTAGATATAAATATCTAGTAGTCTGTCTTTGTTTAGATAGGTCACTGGTTAACATTTTCAAGGAAGCAAAGGATCATAGGGTTGTATATTTTAATGTAATGTTTATTTGCTTTCTGATTTAAAAAAACTTAATGAAAACAATTTACAGTTCGGATTTGGAACCTCATTCATCTCTTCTGTTGAGACTTGCAGCTCTTTCATATCGAAATTCAGGTTAAGTGTGCACTGAATTCTAAAGTAACTAGCTTTTGGGGTTTTAGGGCGTCAGTCTTCTTAGTCCCATTGATGCCATAGTATGTTATATAACACATTCTGATATCCCAGAAATTATATAACACTATGAATTTGCTGTGTTTAAAAATATTCTATAATTTTTAGACTTTATAACGAGTGGAAATTTTTATTTTATTTGGGCTATATGAGCTATATTAAAATTTAGTGATATGTATGTGTATATGTAGCAGTGATTTTCATGGAAGATTTCTTTTTAAAATTACATTTAGAAGAATGATAACTTTATTATGTTTTGTAAAATATAAACTTATATCAGAATATAGTAATACAGATGCTCCCTAACTTATGATGGGGTTTTTTCCTGATAAACCCATCGTTAAGTCAAAAATACTATAAATCCATTTAATACACCTAGTTTACTGAACATCATAGCTTAGCCTAGCTTATCTTAAACATACTCAGAACACTTCCATTATCCTACTGTTGGGCAAAGTCATCAAAAGAAAGCCTATTTTATAATAAAGTATTGAATAGCTCATGTAATTTATTGAATACTGTACTGAAAGTGAAAAACAATTGTTGTATGGGTACTTGAAGTTAAGTTTCTACTGAATCTTCATCACTTTTGTACCATTATAAAATAAAAAAATTGTAAGTCTAACCATCTTAAGTCAGGGACTGTCTGCATTGTAATTGTTTGCCAGCATTTTTCACTATGCTTAAAAACTGAATTATTGTGTTTGTTTCATTTGGAATTATTTTTTCAGCTGAACAATGGTCAAAAAACATTTGATTTTTGGAAGGATATAGTTGCTGCTATACAACACAATTATAAAATGTCAGCTTTTAAGGGTAAGTATTGTGAAGAGGGGCCTTCTAATACGTGTTTGTTAAGCTATGTTTGTCTAGTGAATTAGCTGAAAAGTAGGTACTTTGCTGTGTATCTTACTTAGGATTTAATTTAAGCTTAAATATTATTATAAAGTTGGTTCTGACTACATTTTCAGAAGTCCTTTTATTTGTGCTTCTTTCATGGCTATAATTGCCCATATTCCAAGCTGTGCTGTTACACTCTCCTTTACCACGCCTGCCACGAGGGTCATTCTGTGAGTTCCCTAGAATTGAAGTCCAGTTTTGCTTTTTCATGGCCTGGGCATAAGGGTTGGTGACTTGTAACCATTAGTGTAGTAGTTATAGACAGGTGGGCAAAATGTCTGCCGGCAGAAATTTTGTTCTTGTTGCTTAAGGAACAAAACTGGCTGACCCAGAGTGAGGGCAGAGATATCACCAATCTTGAGCCCAGAGTTTTACCTTTCCAATCACAGCTTTGCTTGGATTACACAAGATTGCTTCTAAGGAATAAATAGATGCCTTTATAGTATGTTACCTCAGTGACTTGAGCCACATTGTCCTGATTAAACTAATAGGATGATGGATTCTTAAGAGTAGTATTTTTCAGCTTGGAAAAAATGTTGCCTTGTGATTGACAAAAAAATTGCTTGCCTTTTTAAAATGTAATTCAAGCCATCAAAACAATTTTAAATATTATAACCAAAAACATGTCAAGACAATAAATAGTAACTGCAGAATATTTGTTCAAACTGCATATTTCTCTGTCACCTGCTTCTTTCCCTCCCAGGAGAAAATTACAACTTTGGGGTGATTTTGTCATTTTTCTATCCCTAGTCATCAGCCCTTGACCCTGACTCAGATTGCATGTGGTTTTGTGGGTACCTCTTCACAGTCAACAATGAGTGGTTGGGTCTGTGGGAATAAAGATGCATCACCAATATAGGGACATATCCATGACAACTGTAAAAGCCACCCATCACTTTATTGTCCTACTTTTTTATTAACTTTGAACAATGAAAAGCCTTGAAAGAATGGTTGAGAACAGCAAATTGCTGCTTTCAAATTAATTCAGCCTAAAAATCTATTGATGTTATTTTATTGCGTCGTAAATAAGGAGTAGGTAAAACATTTTGTGCTTTAATAAGTGAGGCACAGCTTAAAAGTTTTAAACAGCAATATAAAAATACAGTACAGTGCATAAATAAATAATATATCTCCACTTCTAGTCGAATTTTGAAACCCTCAGTGTAAATTATAACTTCACTTGAATGGGAGGCACAAGGTACATGTGCTAATGTTCTGTAAATCCAGAAAATCATATCACATAAGATTCAATAAGGAATTAAAGAAATCAAATTAATCACACTTGTGTTAACTAAATAAGAATAGGTCAGATACCTGTTTCCAAGTTATGCTGGGTATATAAAAAGCTTCTCTGCAATCATAGAAAAGTTTGAAAAGGTTCATTGATGAAAGCACCTTGCATTTCAGATGAACTTCAATATTTTGGGGCTTTTTTATATAAGAGCTTTAACAAGTATATATGCACCTGTATATTTGAATAGATATTGATGAAAGGGGCCATACAGGCCTCAGAGTAGTGCACCATCAGAAATATTTTAGGGGATACAGTGTCTTTTAAATTTGAATATTCAAGTATTTAAGTTCTACAAAGTTATATGATACCTCCTGGATGTTTCCTAGAAGTTCTCATATTCATAGTTAGAAACAGGCTTTTTTAAAAAGGAAATGCCGAGTTTCTCAAATCAAATTTCACATAACTTAGAGCTCTATTTCTGTTTTTTTTTTTAATTTTTTTTTTGTTGTTTGTTTTTTGTTGTTTGTTTTTAACATAGCAGGACTTCTTTGGTGATATTTTTTAATATTGGAGAAAACCTTAAAGAGCCTTAAGATTGCTAACTAGAAATTCAAGAGAGGCTTCACATACGTTTTTACGTTGCTGCTCACTTTTCAGGGGGAAGGTTTGTTGGTCTGATAGCTCAAATCTGTATTTCAGAAAATAAAAATTACATTCTTTTCAGCCTACCTCCATATGCATTTTGTAGGGTGGGGTAGAGTTAGAGAATGCTTTTTCTAGCACAAGATTTAGATTAGCTCTGTGTGTACTCACATTGGAGCCACTAGGAATCCTGAGAAAGAGGAGTGGACATACTCAGAGGAGTATAGGCCATTTGACTCGGCATTGGGAAGCTGGAGCCACACCTGGTCATTTTCTGTGAGATCGATGATGGCACTCCCTGAAGCCTGATCCAGGTAGCCTTTGGTGTATTCATCATAGGTGTACATTACAGGGGTGCCATTCTTATACAGGCCTACCCAAACATGAGTCCCTTTCACATGCACGTGGTATGAAAAATAGTATATTCCTGGTATCTGACAAGTAAAGATTCCAGTCCTTGGGTCATAATGCTGTTGCCTGTTATACAAAATTTTATCAAATGGTATGGGAGTTCCTATTGCTGGGTAAGCTTTGGAGAGAATAACAGTAAAAGCAGACACAGGCATTCCTGTTACCCCCTGGTTGGCACTAACAAGAGGGGTCCCAGAAAGACTGGGCCTTTGGCCTGCCTTTATAAAACCCTCAGGCATGACTGCTTGACCTGGTGGGCCTGGAGGCCCAGGGGGCCCTGGAAGACCAGGCTCTCCAGAGTGGCCTCTTGGACCTGGAGGCCCTGGTGGCCCGGTGGGTCCATTGAGGCCCTTAGTTGCTATGCCAGCTGGGCCAGGAGGACCGGGACTTCCTGGATCCCCTTTAGACCCAGGGAATCCTGGAATGCCTGGTGGCCCAATAGGGCCTCTAGTACCTGGTATTCCAGGGGCACCTCTTGGGCCAGCCTCTCCATTGTGTCCGGGCATTCCCTTTGCTCCTGCTGGGCCCACAGGGCCTGGGAGACCAGGAGGTCCTCCAACTCCAGGATCACCTTTTGGACCTGGTAACCCTGGGTTACCCTTAGGACCATCGAGACCTGGTTTTCCTGGGTACCCTGGTTTTCCATCTGACCCAGGGGAACCCCTTTCACCCTTAGCCCCAGGGTATCCTGCAGGCCCAGCTGGCCCTGTCTCACCTTTAGGGCCTGGGAGACCATGGCTACCCGGGATGCCTTTTGGTCCTTGGGGTCCCATATTCCCAGGGGGTCCAGTCAGACCTGGCTTCCCAGGAAGACCTGCTGGCCCTTGTTCCCCTTTGGCACCTGGACCCCCAGGAAGGCCAGCAGGTCCTCTTTCTCCCTTCAGGCCTGGCAAGCCTGGTTTCCCAAAGCCAGGAGGCCCTGGGGGCCCAGCTATTCCTGGAGCCCCAGGGAGACCTTTTGTTCCTGGAATCCCTGGCTGGCCTGGGGCTCCAGCAGCTCCTGGCTTTCCAATGCCTTCTGGCCCTCGTTCCCCAGGAGGGCCTTGGGGACCTGGTGGGCCAATTGGTCCCATTTCTCCCGGAAAACCTCTATCACCTTTGATGCCTGGCTGTCCTGGAACCCCATTTTCACCTCTTTTTCCCACTCCAGGAGGGCCAGATGGTCCTGTGGGACCCTGAGGGCCTGGAAGACCCCTCTCACCTGGACGACCAGGAGCACCATATCCCATTTCCCCTTTCTGTCCATTCATACCAGGGACTCCTGGTGCACCCTTTTCTCCAGGAAAGCCCCTGGGTCCTGGGGCTCCTGTGGGTCCCTGTTGTCCAGGTTTTCCTGGCACAGAAATTCCAGCCGGTCCAGGGATTCCAGGTGGTCCTGGTGGGCCCCGGGGTCCTGGTAGGCCAGCTGGTCCAACATCTCCTTTTGGTCCATATGGTCCTCTCTCTCCTGGTTTTCCTGGGAGTCCTGGCACACCTGGTTTCCCTACAGCTGATGGTCCCGGTGGTCCTGGCAACCCTGGCTCTCCTTGGAGTCCAGGACTTCCGTAGCCTGGTTTTCCTGGTGGTCCAGAAGGACCTGGGTGCCCTCGAGGTCCAGCAGGGCCTGGTGGACCAGGAGTACCTTGCTCTCCTCTTACTGCTATACCTAAAAGACACACCCAACACACCCACCCATAGAAGGGGATGGTTAGTGACATTAAAGAGAATCATTGCCTTTCAAACTATGAATTGGGACACGATATTTCAGCATCATTTATTCCATGTAGACAGAACAGTCTGAAATGGTTTTAGATTATATGTTTTATACTGTTTTAAAAAATTCTGCTGGAGAAGATGGTTTCACAAAACCATGGCTACCATAATACTTTTATCCCATGACAGTGATTCATGAAAATGAGCTAGGATTGAAGAATTCCTCTAGAATAAGTGCAGTGGAGGTAAATTTAGTACATTTATTTTGGGAAAATCATGTACAGAAAAGGCAGAAAAAGACAGTGCAGAATAAGTGAGAAAATGTTTAAGAACTATAAAAATTTTCCCTCCCAAAGCTACCCTGTCAGACATAAAAGAGAAACAGAATTAATTCTGATTTACATCTGCCATGCCTCTGCTGAACACAGGTTAGATTTTGGTTGATTTACTTTTACCTCAGAATATACTCTGAGCTCTTATACTCTCCATTATTGACTTAAAATTGAAACAAAGAACTAGAGAATTAGACATAATAGGTGAGGTACATAAAATAGTATTAAAGTTCTTACCTAAATACAAATATATAGTGTTTGATTTCATAGAGCTGTGAGTTCACTTGACCTGATAAACTAAACTTAAACTAAAAATCATAGTGCCTGTGATGTGAAAAATGCGGCTGGGCCACAAGTATGGGGAAAGCACAGGGTACAGATGTTTCTGAGATTTGGAAAACATTTGGTGTATATAAATGCAGAGCGAATCATTAAAATAGATATGCCGAAATAGGAAAATAATTGTTTCAGATTTAGATTTTTTTTTACTAATTAGAGTTATATTTCAATTTGAAAACATTGATTAATATAAATACATAGAGCTTTCCCCATGGATTTTCAGAAAATGACATCAGGAAAAAGACTGTGAGAAAAATTTATGTAAAAGATTTCCGTATATTAAATATTTCATTGATTGTAGTGTACATACATGATTATATTATGTATAAGTGGATATTGATATATTGCAAATAGAGGAATAAATAAGGAATTTTTTAATGGGTTGGAGGAATAAAATAGTGGATTTTTTAAAATGCCAACTATGTTAGATTGAGCTTTGCTTTAGAATCTGATTATAAGGGTCATGTTCACACTAAAAATAATTGTCTTAGTCTGATTGGAAATCTGTTTTACTATTAAAAAGGAGAAACAAGTCAATGGAAATGAGTGCATTGGGCGTCATCCGAGACTGGAACTCCAGTGACAGGGCGAACTTTGTCACTTGGAATGTTGTCCTAATGGGTCTCAACTTCTCAGTGCGAGAAAGAATTTGGCTTCTATTGAATGCTTGGGGGACAGCCCCTGTTTGTAGGTTGTCATCTGAAAAAATTTTCTTCATTCAAGATTAGGGTGGCACAATCCTCAAGGTAAAACGACTACTTCCTTCTATTAAGTTTTTTAAATGCCACAAACTGAAATCGTGATTGGTTGTGTCAGAATGTGGCACGTGCATCTGCCCACCAGCTGTGGAATCCTCTGCAGCATAATTTAGTATGTTTTGACAGAACTCTTTTTTAACCTGTGTTGGATGGATATGCCTAGGAATTATGTAATAACTCTTTGAATTCCTGTTTCAACTTAATGTCTTACTTGTATAGACTGTGGGCTTTTGTGTTTGTTATGGTGCATTAATGTCTGCCAATGGATGATAGTGTAGTTGAGTGTCTATCTAAAAAGAGACTAAGGTGGATTTAGTAGTTTAAATACAGCTTCTGAACTTTTCATTTGTTAAGATATTTTCATTTGTTCTGCAAAAGTAGCCAAGATAATGGTGTATATTAAGAGAAGATCAAAGTATTTTTAACCTTCTAAAATAGTGCATTTTCTTTTTAATTCAAGACTTTGTTATGCTCTTATTAAGGTGTTAAAAAGTCTGATTTTTGTGATCATGGAAACTATTGAATCCAGTGCTGTTTGTCATAGCATTTCAAATTGTGTTTGTTGCTTCAAGTAAAGCGGAAGGTTGCTTTGTCTTTTATTTTTTTCTTTACTAGCCTTTAAATTTTAAAATTTTTATTTATATTTTGAGACATTCAAAAGTATCTGTTGTATACCTGTGCATTTATTTTCAAATATTAAGTTTCCTTTTGTGAAATATTTTAAATTCCATCTTTCTTCTTAAAAAGACAATTCTATAAGTTTCATTGCTCAAAATGGTTGTTCCCAAAAGCATAATATTTAAACTTTATAACAAATATCCTTAGCTTTATTTACAGTATAAAATATATAATTAAAAAATTATGGAAAGGGAGTTTGAAGCCTACAGTCAGTTTATATTATTCTGTAGATATTTTATAGGCGGTCGTGTCAGTTGCTGTTAAATAAAATTAGTGAATATGAGGCCTAGAAGTTGCCCTCCTTTGAGAACCTTAGTGCTTTACATATATTATCTCAGTAATCTTCAAAGAGTAACCAAGAAAACTGGACAGGTAAGCAACAGATTCAAGAAGAAAGTTAACTTATTGAAGGCTATATTAGTAGCTAAAAGTAGTAGAAATAAAACTAGGAGTAACAGAAGTAGTAGTAGAAGTAATAGCAACACTTAAAGCACTTTACAGGTATTAATTCATTTAAACTTCGCAGCAGCCCTTGAGATAGCTGCTCCTTATTTTACAAATGAGGAAACTAAGGCATGGGAGGACAAGTAACTTACCTCAGGTCACACAGCTTATGCATTACAGTTAAGTCTCTGCATTTTACCGCTAAACTATATTCAAAATGTATAAGTAATTATGAGAATTGCAGTTTCATTTGCCTGCTTGGCAATTCTCATAATTACATTTGTTCATTGTTGGGGGGGAGGCCATCAGATTTTTTTGATAAGACTCGGTTTTATATCTGTTTGTGGGCTAGTTGAATTAGTTTTAAAAGTAAATGTTTAATATTTAGCTAAATAAACCAGCTACCTTCTTTATACAATTGGCAGTTATTTTTAGCTTAAAATTTTTAAACTTGATTAGTTTTGATTAGATCAAGATTTCTGGATTACATGCAGTTATTTGTGCAAAAGCAGCATCTGAGAAAAAAATTTGTACACACAAAAGTTCTGATTTTTTGCAGGTATATCTTTCAACTATATTTTCAAGTATATCCTTTCTACTACACTTATTGGATATTCTTGTTCTACTTTTTTCACAGATCACTTTGTTGTAATAATTTGGGCTAATTCAGAAGTTGGAAAGTAACACCAAAGTTAAATGCATTTTGTTAAAGAGATTATTAAGATTATAGAAAGCAACAAGCAACTTGTTAATAGAACAAAATATACAATTCAATTTACCTTTACTCTTTATGGTGTAGGGAATGAAGAACTGTGTCTTGGTGTTGGGTAGTGGGCCTTTTATGCCTGTGGGCATTTGGTATCGTTCAGCGTAAAACACTCCATGAACCAAGTTCAAGGATACTAGCAGCAAAAAGGGTATTTGTGGCAGCATATTCTCAGATGGATTCTGAAAAACAGAAAAGAATAACTTTATACAGCATTGTTATTAACCTATTTTTTTATTCTCATGTTTCACAGATGAGTTCTTTATACAGTTATCTACTTTTTTAACCTATCCTATATATTTTTAATATGTGCCATAAATAAATGAGAGATCATTTTTTAGTTATGTGAATATATGTCTTAGTTATTTTTGGAAGCTATACTCAGGTAATCAAGTGAAAATAAAATGATTTACCTAAAGGAAAAGAAACAGAAATTAGGATTGGATGTCTGTATTAAATAATCTAGGATCTTTGACATAGCCTGAAATATCTAATAGTTTCAAAATACACTGAAATTCGGATTAGGGCAAATTTTTACAATATGGTTTTATTGGGACTATCATCCACAGACTGATGCAAAAAGAACTTTTGGAGTGCATTTTAGTAGAAACCCATTTTTTAAATCACTTTAATACTTCTAATACTTGAGAAAACTCAAGTATTTAAATCTTTAAAGTTTCTTTCCAAGCAAGTTAACATGGAAGTCCACCAGTAAGCGTACGCTTACCTGCGTGCTGGGAGTTCCTGGAGATGGTGCCTTGGCAGCTTTCTGAAGCTTCCTCTGCCCAGATGAGCAGTGCAGAAGGTGCCTCTCAAGAGCTGTTCAGTGGTATTTATACTGTTTTTCCCTTACTACATGAGGTTACCCTGAGCTTAAGCTCCTCCCCTCAAAGTTGGTAAGCACTAATTATGGTGGAAAGTTCTATTGGGTAGGCACACAAGATCGGGCTGGGCTCTCCTTTTCCTTGTTTTCTTATTTAAAAATAAACCCATTGTCTTAAATATATATTAATAGTTTTAACCAAGGACCGTCTTTGTCTGTGATTCTATTTTATTAATTAATACTCTAGTGTTCAGGCTGGTTCACGGTGGAATGATGATACCCCCTTTTTATTTTTGAAAAGCACATTCTTATGTTAATTGGTTGATATTATATAATATGTGGTAGTACATAAAAGCGGATAAAATTCCTTGAAGGGGGTACTGGATTTAGACCATCATCTAAATTATTGAGTTATTACATAAAGTTATCAATGTGTCTATTAATATTCATAAATTTTTGTGAAAATAGCTGACCCCAATTCTTAATTACTTTTAGGCTTTTAGGATTTAGATCCCTTATTCACAACACTACGCTATATTCAGTAAATGACTTCAGATTTTCTTGCTTAAATTTGGGTTTACTTTAGAGTTGCAGTAGAGTTTGCAAAAACCCCTTAATTTGATAATCTCATATTATGTTAATTTACATAAGATTGCTGTGTTTATTTCAGGAGAAAAAAATTTTCAAACTTTGCTTTCAGCTTAAAAAAAATATTATTGGCTTAACTTGCAGTTAGGAATCATCCCAATTAGAAACACTTTCCCTCAAAGGTGGAAGTAAACACTATTGTTGTCAATTTTGGTAGTTAGACTCTGTTTAACAATATTAGGAAGCCTTTAAAATCAGTTTTTAGGATCCTAAAAAATCTAATAAAGGTGGGAAGTTGAGAGTCCAAATTTTTCATCTTATTTAATTTCATCGTTTTGAATCAAAATCAAATTGACTATGCAGGTGAACTGGTTGAGGAGGACAATTCCATACACAGGCATAGACACATCATTTTTCTACCTCCACAGAATTAAAGTAGTATGGATTCAGGACTAATCAATAATTGAAATAATTGAAAGTTTGACCAGTGAATGAACTAAAGATTTGTCCTTTTTCTTTTCCCTTTCTCTCCCCTTCAAGCAATTTTCTGTATTTTAAACAAAGCCTTGTATAGCCCTTTATGGAAATGTAAATGGATAAGGCATCTCATTGCCTCTCTCCTCTTGCTTGTAAGCATTTTGTTGATTGCCATATTAAAAAAATTTACATTGTTGTATATATCTCTGTATAATACTCATAGATACATATAAAATATGTTTCTTATAGCAGTTTAGAATAACAAAATAGGAAAGTTTATAATTCATCATTTGGAAATTATATATGGAATAGCTTTTGTAATTATAATATGTACTCTGCTACATCTGTAGGAGACTACAAAAGATAAGTGAGAGAAAACACCTGCCTTTTGGCTTATGGCCCATTTGGACACAATTTTGAAAAAGTAGGTGAGGTAACTTTATGGATGCTTTTGAATGCTAGGTTGAATTTGTTTTGAAAGGAATTATTAAAATATATATTTTAATATTTTGTGTGTATATATGGTGATACACATGCACACACATACTGCTATTTGCTTATAATTGAGACTGATACCCTGTTAGTTATCACTCGTGAACGTTCAGAAGACTAATTCTCAGCTCTTAATACATAGTGCTATGCCCCTGTGTATACCATTTGTTCATCTGTGGCTATTGCAACAATTTTCAGAGCCTTTCACTTTAACCTCTCTGGGTGTCTGTTTTTTATCAACACAATGAAAAGTTTGGACTAGGTGGTTTCTAAGCTCCTCCCAGTTTTAAAATTAGATTATTCCTGTGCTTGAGGTATTCTGCTGTTCTCCATGGTCAGATGGTAGACTTGGCTCCAGTTAGTACTTATTAGAGACACAAAAAAATCCATACCAGGAGGTTGTATGTCTTCTTTTAGGGATATGTAAATATATGTGGGTATTTGTCATTCTATACTCCCCTTTAGTTTTGGAAAATGTGGTGTCCTTATTGAATAAGCCTTGGACATTCAACCCTTTTTGCAAATAGTGTACTTATTTCAGCACAAGGAATCTGACTGCTGTTTGCTTTGTTAGTCACATAAGAAGCACTGTCTTGTCCAAAACAGATTGTAGAATCAGAATATTTTCTAGCCACACCCCACCCAATTGTGTATTTAAAACTATTTTTACTCTGGGTGTTTACTTGTAGCTGTTTGAAGTGACTAGTCTGTGGCTTTATGAAGGAAACCCATTCCACTCAAAACAGAGAGCCATACTCTTTAAACTCTATAACCTGAGTAATTTTTTTAAATATCAAATATGAATAATGATTTTTTTCACATCTGGCAGTTAGCTACTATTAAGCTTGCCTATTCATTTGTACATCTGTGGATCGTTAATTAATTCACCTTATGTTTCTTAAGTGCTTCTTAAGTGTTAGACATTAAGATAAATACTGGGTGAATAATATATATTCTATACCCTTAAAGTGTTTACACAGTGGTTCTCAGCCTCTTTTCCCCACTCCTGCTGTCCTGAGGGAAATGCACAATTCCTTCAGCCTTTGAGGTTCATTAAAATAGTGGTGGTTCAAAGACTATATTTTCATGAAGCTCCTCAGGTGATCATGATGGCCTCCTAAGTTAGAATGTATAGTCTGATATCAGTGTTCTATTACCACCTTGTTAATATTAGTTACATTGGTTTTTGTTATTTGTGTTCATATGCTTTTTAAACTTTTTTACAGAAAACTTGTCTTTTATAGTAGTGAGAATAGTTACAATAAATGCCTATATGCCTGTCATTCAAACTGATCTCAACTCGCTGTCACTCAATTCTCTTTTCATTCACCACTCCTTCAAATTTTGAAGTAAATCCCATATATTGTACCAATTTACCTGTGAATATTTTGGTATATTTTTCCAGAAGAGAAGGAGTCTTTTTTCTTTAAAACAATGTCATCATCGTATTAAAAAATCAGCCATTTCTTAATATCATCAAATCCTGTAGTTCACATACATATATAGACATGTATATACACAAACATATGTATACACATGTCTATATTATATAGAAACACATACATACATATCCACATATATTTTTTATTGATTGATAAATTGTTTGTTGAAATTAGGTTGATTCATATATCCCTGTTGTCATGGTTTGAATGTATCCCCCAAAGTTCATGTGTTGGAAACTTAATTCTTAATGTAACAGTTTTGGCAAGTGGGATCTTTAAGAGGTGATGAGGTTGCGAGGACTATGCCCTCATAAATGGATTAATGTTATTGTGGGAATGGGTTAGTTGTTGTGAGAGTGGGCTTTATATAGAAGCAAGCTCGGCCCCCTTTTGCTCTCTTGCACACTTTTGCCCTCTTTTGCCCTTCTGCCTTCTGCCATGCGATACTACAGCATGAACGCTCTCTCCAGATACCGGTGCCATCCTCTTGGACTTCCTAGCCTTCAGAACTGTGTGCCGAATAAAGCTCTGTTCATCATAAATTACCCCGTCTGTGGCATTCTGTTATAGTAGTGTAAAATGGACTAAACCTGTTACTCTAGGTGTCTTGTGTCACTTTTTACTCCCTTGCAGTTTATTTGTTGAAAAGCCGTGTCATCTGTCTCATGCAATTTCCTGTGATCTAGAATTTGTTGTCACTTAACTTGCTACTGTGGAGATTGGTAGTTAAATCTAGAGTTTTCATCTGATTTCAGGTTTGAGATACACACATTCACTCACACACAGATACAGCACACACAAATACATTTTTTGGCAAGAACCCTTTACAGAGAGTGGTATGATATACTTCTGTTAGGAAGCCCTTAATTGCTGGTGTCTCTTTGGTGTTACTGGACATTGGTAATTGCCTACAGTCAATATTTTATTATAGGTTATAAAATGATGATATTCTGATTTTATCATTTGTATTTTATTTATTAGCTAGGATATTCTCTATAAAGAAAAACACCCCTTCATCAACTATTTGATTACCCTGAAGTACAGTGTGTATAGAAAAAGCAGGAGAAATGCCTTTACCAGCATTTAGAACAATAAGCTGCTCCCAGCATCCTCCACAGGTGTAGTGAGGAAAGTGTGTGTGTTTATCATTATAAACATTCAGTTTATAATGTATTGTATGTGTTTCAGTCCGTGGCACTTATTAATCTTACTATTGTTCAGAATTTTTTCCCCATTTTTGGCCAGTGAGAGCCTCTCCTCTACCAGTTGGCTCCTGAGTTCTTTTGACCATGATCCCAGTAGTTTTTTTTATAGCTTCTTTCCTTCTAATGTTTTGTACCTTTCGTGGCCCAGATCTACAATAAGACATTTCTCCACAGACTCTTAGTTTCTTTTGTGGGAAATAGAAACCACAGTCTGAGTGCCTGGATGTCTGGGTCCTAGGGATGCACATTGCTTCTGGGTTGGTCATTCTATCTAGTGAACAGCTAAGAAACGTATGCACAGGGTGTTCATTAAATATAAGATATATGATAACATTTTACTGATGTAGCCAATGCACATTCAGGACCACAGGTGTTTACTTAATGACCTCAATCTTGTATCTGTAGCTGCTTGGTCCCATGCTAAAAACCCTAGTACTCATGCCAGTAATATAGTTATTCATTTGTTTATTCCATGATACTCACAATTTCTCAAAATAAAAATACCAATATTCGTACCAGAATATTGAAAAAAAATATAAGCCGTTTGATTATGTTTGCAATTCTTTTGGTATTTTCACTAGAGCTGCATTACTGTGCTGTAAAGTCACATGACACAGTTGATTCAATGTGGTAATACTGCCCACTCAATTCACTGTTAGGTTTGTTTCATTTTGCTTTCAATTTTTATGAATGCTCTTTTTAAATTTAATTTGTTTTATACTTTCATAAAGTACATATGTTTTCTCTGGTGTTCGGATATATGTTTAACAACCAACCTGAGGGTGAAGGAGATGTGTTTGCTGATCTCCGTGGTATGGTCAGTTTCCAGAAAACCCGATCACAAAATACCTGAACATTCACCAAGAGCCAATATAAGCCAGCTCCAGCAAACATTGTATATTTCTGAAGTCAAATTTATAAAACAAGGAATATTCAGAGAAGGGTAGCCTCTGTTACTGACCTATCCACCCTGTGTTTCACCTTCCTTCTGTATGTAACTATTTTTAAAACATTGTTTTGATTTATCCTTTTTATTAAAAAATGTATTATTCATTTATATCCCTCCCAACTTCTTAAGTAAATGGCATCACAGTGTACATACTTTATTTTGTAAATGACTCAGTTTTTCTTGACCTGAACTGCAGCTTTATTATAGATAACAGTTTATATTGGAGATCATTGCAGAACATTGTGTAAAGATGGTCTGCATTCCTTTTTACAGCTTCATGGTACTCCATTGTATAGATGCACCATAGTTTTTTCAACCATTGCCCTATAGGTGGACATCTGTGTTATTTCCTGTCTTTTGCCAATACAAATACTTTTTTTTAACTTTTAAATTCAGGGGTACAAGTGCAGGTGTGTTACATAGGTAAACTTGTGTCATGGGGCTTTATTGTACAGTTTATTTCATCACCCAGGTATTAACCCTAGTATCCATTAGTTATTTTTCCTAATCCTCTTCCTCCTTCTACCCTCCACCCTCTGAAAGACCCCAGTGTGTGTTGTTCCTCTCTATGTGTCCATGGTTTCTTATCATTTAGCTCCTACTTATAAGTGAGAACATGCAGTATTTGGTGTTCTGTTCCTGTATTAGTTTGCTAAGGATAATGGCCTCCAGCACCACATGTGTTTCTGCAAAGGACATTATCTTATTGTTTTTTATGGCTGCATAGTATTCCATGGGGTATATGTACCACATTTTCTTTATCCAGTCTATCATTGATGGGTATTTAGGTTGATTCCATGTCTTTAACACAAATACTTTATAGTGAATAACTTTGTGTGTGGGTGTATATGTAGCCTGAATGTCTTTGGGAGAGAGTCATAGAATGGGGATTCATGGCCTTGTTTCCCCTCAGCATCACCAACAGGATATGTTGTTTAGATTTTGTTGAACTTTTTAATTTTTGTCCACCTTAGAGGTGAAAATTGGAATCTCAGTCTAGTTGTAGTTTTCATTCTTCTTACTGAAAGCATGGTTGAGTATCTTTTCATATAGCTTAGACCATTTCTCTAGCCTACTTTTCCTGTACATGTTCTATAACTTAAACCTCTGTTCTGTGATATAGTTTTCACATATTTTTCCCAGTTTATTTGTCTTTTTAATTTGCTTATGAGTTTTTTTTTTCATGTAAAACTTTCTTTTAAGGTACATATGTCTTTATTCAGAATATTATTGTTCTTTCATAGACTCAGCTGTAAGGGGCAGGAAAGTTCATCCACATCAATCATTTTATTTTTCAGACAAGGAAACTAGTTTATTATGCACATCCCCTGGCCTAATGTTTAACTGAGTTACATTTCTGATGTGACAAGCTGTTGGCGAGAGAGCCCACTGAGGGAAAACACCAGCGACTGGGCTAATGTGTTCACCCCCTGTTCTGGCAGGATACTGACTTTCCTGTTCTTCTAATCCTTCATCCTTTTAGGGTAGAAATGGGAAAAGTGCCGAGAAGTTTAGTCAGGGCACCTTCCACCACCACCTTGCTGTACCTCATTCCTCTTGAAAAAATTTTAAAAGAACATTCTTAGGTGCCATTATAGAGCCCAGAAGCTAAAAATGATCTATTTGTGTAAATAGTCTAATGTGCTTTAGTGGTTAGATACCTGCTGAGAGTTTGAAAAGAGAAATTCATGCATAAAAACAGGTGTTTATGAAAAACCCCTGAAACGTCAGATCAGGTCAAGAAAAACTGAGAGTCATTTACAAAGTTTTAACAAGGGCTTTATATTCTGTTTTCCGTTATACACAAATTGCTACATTACTTGAAGAGCTCATAGTTTCGTGCGCCAAGTGCTTAATGACATCACCTGCTTTCCATAGTAACCCAGCTGAGTTAAAAATATAGAATGTCTTGGCCCCTTGACCTAAGATCTTCAGGGATCTTGGCTACCCAATGGGTTCTCAACCATTCACACATGTTAGTTCCTACTCTGTTTACAACTTCAGCTTTCACATGCAGTTTCTGCTAAGTTGGAAGGAGAAATTATAGCAAATTAAAGTGTTAATTAGAGAAGTCACAGGGTAACACTTTTTATTTAGATCTCTTTGTTCCTCTGTTTGCCATCGTACTTGAGAACAACTCCACAGTCACCATCTATAGTGTACAAAGTAAAGTACTTGTAGGGTACACGAGTACCTGTAGAATATTAAGTACCTATAGGGCACCTGAGTACCTGTAGGGTCTGTGTGGCAACACAGACCACCAAGAAACCCATCGTCAAAACGGATACTTATGCAGCTATTTAACTTAATCATACTAACAATGAAAATACATCCCAGTAATGCTGGGCCCTTGTCTGTTTAGCCATTGATCAAATAATTGTGTTACCTCACCCACAGACCTCTTCCCTAATAGTGCAAAGATGCTAAGTGAGTCTTCCTGCCATCCCTGGTTCCTGCCTCTTGCCCACCAGTAATGCTGACCAGATCACCTGGCCTTTTTGCACCCTGGTTTCCTCTTTGCCTGCTTTCTTTCATATTTTAAAGGTAATTGCTATTTGGGAAAAATGTAACAAATAGAAAATAAAATGTATATACTATAGAGATATAATAACCATTAATAGTGGTTTTTTTCCCCCAGTGATCTTATTAGTGCTGAAATTCTTACTATCTTTAATAACTTATGAGTCAAAAATAACTCTTGCCACTTATGATGCTAATCAGGCGGAAGTTTAGACATGCTGTCATCTTCCCCTACTTTCTCTTAATTTTATATGTTAGGATCTTTGGAAAGTGAAATGACACATAAGTGGCAAAACAGTGCTTGGGAATGCTCCACAATTGTGATTGGTGATGATGACCATACTGGTGTCAAAGAGGTAAATATCTCTGATATTAGACAGTCTTCTCAAATAATTGTCAGACTTTTTCTGACCCTCTATGTATACCAGTTGCCAGGTTGGGTTCTAGGAATCTGGAGCAGGAGCTACTTCCTGCTGTAGACTCATGGAGATAAACGCCAGACACCAAAGCCTCTTATGGCCTCTGACTTCTTTAGTGTCTGTGTGAATCTATCTTCCAAATCATGAAATGGTGTTTTCTCATACTTTATACTCTTTCCTGAACGTAATTCAAGGACTATGGGTTATTTATTATTGAAAATCCACTCTATACAAGTAGTGCCTGTTATAAGGCATAGACCTTATAAATGTCCCTGAATGAAGGAACTAAGAGCGTCAGGACATCAGATTTCCATGTTTATTGAGGTGGATGGTTTGCCTCATGCTTGTGGATGCCCAGGGATAGGGCCATTCGCATGGTGCTGGTTTGGACCTGAGTCTTTCCAAACCTTTCCTTACCTTAAAATAATAACTTGGAATTCTTGTAGAGGTCCTAGTATTAACAACTTCTTCCCAAAGTAGTTTTCACAAAAGAAAATAACCGTGGTTGCTGTTCTAGTAAGTGTGTACCTTAAATTGTTCTACTGGCTGGCTAATAAGTTAGAATTTCAGAGATTTTTCAAAGACAGTTTTTCTGAAAGTAGGCATGGTAGGAGGATATAGATGTAAGAGGGTAGGTTCAGGTTGGGCCTGAGATGGAAAGAAAAAGGAGAAGAGCCCAGAATCTTGGGAGTTTAGAGAGATTTCTTTAAATATCTCAGAAACCTGAACTATGAAGTTTCAGAGCAACAAATAACTTTTTAGACATAGCTATGCTTCACTTTCCCATTATCTTTTACTCATCTGTACCCCATTTACTTATTGATACATTGATTTATTCAACTCTTCAATGTATTAAAAATATATTATATGCCAGGAAATAAAAATGGGCTCACAGACTACTGATATCATTTATTAGTTCTTTCCCTGCTCAGCCTACCTGTTAGCATCTTCTCTTGAATGGAAATACATATATGACCCTTAAAGGGGGAAGATGTTATTATTTGGGTTGTGAGTATTAGATAAATATTTTAGAACATTCAAGTTTATAAAATGAAAATTGGAGAATTGCATCAATATCATTAAAATACGAATATTAGAGCTGAAAGAGATACTAATCCAAGTAAGTACTAGAAAATGATATTTCATTTTTTTTCTGTAGCATCCATAACCGCCCCCCCCACCTTTTTATTTAACAACTCCATGTGAGTTCTCTAGATAATATTGGTAGAGCCCTCAGTTCTGCTTGTTATTCAGCAAAGTTATGCTTGGACAAAATTAACTTTTTTCTCATTAAAATCTTAGGTAATATTCCATTTCATTACTTGATGAACAATATAACTTCTATTACCAAAAGCATTTTGCACGAGCTATATTTAATATTTACTCTAGACTCATTGGACTTTAATTCAACTAACAAACATTTTTTTTTCCTGATATATATGCTGCTGGCAGTACTCTAAACTGTGGATCAACATACCCATCCCTGGTCATAGTTTCACAAATACTCAGCTTAAAAAATTTTTTTTCTGGCTTTATTGAGTTATAAGTGATAAATTAAAAGTATATATATTTATGGTATACAATATATTTTCAGATATATATATATATATATATATATATATATATATATATACACACATACACACACATTGCTAAATGGTTACCACAATCAAGCTAATTAACATATCCATTACATTGGTGAGAACACTTAAATACCTACTCTTTTAGCGTATTTTAAGTATATGATACAGTATCTCGAACTATAGTCACCATGCTGTACATTAGATTTCATGAACTTATTCATCCTACGTAACTGAAACTTTGTGCCACTTGAAAAACATCTCCCTGTGACCCTCCACTCTGCAGCCCTTGGCAGCCACCATTCTACTCCCTGCTTCTATGAATTTTGACTTTTTTAGGTTACACGTATGAGTGAGATCATGCAGTATTTGTCCTTCTGTGTCTGGTGTATTTCACTTAGCATATTGTGTTCTAGGTTCATCCATGTTGTCAAAAATAGCAGGATTTTCTTCTTTTTTAAGGCTGAATAATATTACATGTTGGTGTGTATGTATGTAATATGCACACTTTTTTTTTTAAAGGACAAGGGGGCTGACACCTGTCATTTCCCAGGCACTGTGTTACATGCTTTATAATCATGATTCTTCTAATTCTAAAAACCATTCTTAGGTAGATGGTTATAGCTATTTTTTTTAAGTTTTGTGGGGTTTTTTTTAAAAGAAGAAAATGAAGCTTATTAAGTGGAATGACTCATCCAAGGTCATTTAGCTGGTAGGCGGCAGAACTGGGGTTTGAACCCAAGTTTTTCTTCCACACCACATAACACTTACTATAAATTGCTGTTATTATTTGAGTCAAATTTCATTTGTGAAATCTCAGATGTGACTTACTGTTCTGATATGGCAGTATCTATCTTTCATATTAATAAACAGATAAAAATCCATATGCTGTTATCATGAGTTTGGAAAACAAAGTGTTATCACAGATAACAATAAGCTATTCTTGGCCTTAGTTCCAACGGTTTGGAATCTGTTACTCAGAACAAGAAGCCCTCAGATTCAGATACGAAACAGAATATTTAGTCACAAATGCAAAAATCTGAAACCCCAATTTTGAGCCATTTCTGTACAAGAAGAATCCAGCCTGTGTTTGTCGTGATGGATAGTATATAAACTAAGAAGACCTGAAGAGGTCATAGTGTTGACAAAATTCAACCCGATGGTGGAATACACACAAACACAGGAAACAAAGCTGGGCCTTTCCACACCACTGTTAAGTCCTTGCAGTGACTTCATTTTAAGTCACCGTCTCTTCATGCCACACATATTCACCAGTGTTTGCTTGATGAAATACCACAAATCGGTGGGGTCTCCTTTTCTGCAGTCTTGCGTAGATGTGGCTGCCACCCCAAAACCCAAAGGGATGTCTGCCACCACCACTTCCTGGCCAGGAGAAGTATTTTTCATGATTTGACTCAGACCAGATTTCAACATATCGTCTCCATATAGAAAGGACTGCTGTGCTCCAGGTTTTATCCACACTTTATACTTGGCATAGGGTGCAGGGTAATCCAGAGCTGTGATGTTCAACTGAAACTTGTAGGTTTTGGTGAATTTTCTGAAGCAGGTCACAGGGAAATCAGATATCAGTGCCAGCTTCAGAATCTTCTCACTCACGTAGTACACCTGGCCTTTGTGCAGCCGAGAACAGTAGGTGCCATTGAGCCTCTCAGCTGGCAGCTAGAGATTCTCCCTAATGTATTTCACAGTCTCCTCAAACATTACATGGGTCTCCTCTTTAGTCAAAGGCTGCGTTTTCCCACTGGGTTGGAACACTGGATCCCCGTGCCTCAGTAGTGGGAAACAAAAGTCCCACATTTTCTTTATCCCTTCAGCCATCAACAGACACTTAGACAAATGCTATTATTTACTGAACCAAGATATCTTTTATAAAATGCATGTGTGCAATACGTACCTGTTTATATGGAAAACCAGTTATCTTTTAGAGTTGTGAGAATCTATTAGAAAATGCCCAGCTTGGCCGGACGCACTGGCTTATGCCTGTAATCCCAGCATTTTGGGAGGCCGAGGCAGACGAATCACAAGGTCAAGAGTTCGAGACCAGCCTGACCAACATGGTGAAACCCCATCTCTACCAAAAATACAAAATTAGCCAGGCGTGGTGGTGTGTGTCTGTAATCCAAGCTACACAGGAGGCTTGGCAGGAGAATCGCTTGAACTTGGGAGGCAGAGGTTGCAGTGAGCCAAGATCACACCACTGCACTCCCGCCTGGGTGACAGAGTGAGACTCTGCTCAAAAAAAAAGAAAAGAAAGAAAATGTCCAGCTCAATAGCTGACATTTTAAGATCTTATGTGCTAGATCTAATTCTAACAACTTTGCATATATTATTTCATTTACTTGTCATAGCAGCCCCGTGAAGTAGGTACTATTATTATTCTCATCTTTAGAGATAAAGAATTTGAGGCCTAGAGGTTAAGCATCCTAGCCAAGATCACCATGGTAAAGCGACTGTTTTCTGTGGATATATTTCTTTAGGATTTATGAGAAACAGTATAATTCCAAGAATAGCACTACTTAACTAGGAACTACTGTGTTGGCTATTCCTTGTTAAGATTTGTGTGAAAGTGTAATCCCACTACGTCTGCTTTCCAAACCATCTCAAATTGGTGAACACTGTTTTTAATTCTTTACAATTGAAAGAGCTATGTTGTTTCAGTTCTAAAATGGGCTAGTTCAGAATTTGCTAATTAAAAACGAAGCTAATTGAAAAGCAAATAGTGCGAATGTCGATATATTTGTTTTTATTTCGAAGAAGTGTCAAACATGCTTATTTTTTAGGACATCATGGCTTGTTATAATGATTAAAAGGCAGAATAGTATGACTAAAAACTTCTCAATATTTTGGGAGACTTTTGAATTATTACTAATATATGAATCCTTACTAATGGGGTACATGTAGAACTTCATTTTGTAGTATTTATATTTGTATAGAATTGTATATTTAGCATGAGTTAAATATGGCAGGGGAATGCTCTTGATTACAACTATGATATTGAGAGAGTAAGAATAGATAGTGAATATTTTTTCAGTCTTGCTTTTGGTTTGATTTCCCCATAAATCTTGATTTCTCACATTGGTAAGTGTTAGTTTATAATTGCATTATTAGTTTTGTGACCAGTAGGATTTGTATAATTGCAGCAGAGTAGAACTTTTTCAGATTAATTTAGTAAATGATATTTTGATCATACATGATTTAGAAAATGACTGATAAAATAGTGCAACTACAAAAAAAGATGTATTCTTATGATTTATAGCACAACTATTAAAAATACAGAAAAAAGGATAAAGAGTTATTTGGCAAAAATTCTAGTAGAAGAATATTGGGGGAAAATGTTAAGAGTTTTGGAGCCCATGGGAAGTAACTGACCTTATCAAAGTGTGGATTTTTTGGGGGAAAGAAGTCTCTCAGTCTACTAGTAACAATTTGTGGGTAATTAACTTAAAGAATAAATTCTGTGTTATTTGGTACAAATGATGATTAAACTCTTGTGTAGAATTTGGATAATACAATTATTATATTTTGAATAATACAGTCTAAAGCTGACTCCAAAGCAATATTGAGAACAATTGTATTTGAAATCCACCTATTTGTATACTTTTTTTAACTTTCAGTGTCGATACCACAAAATTCTTGTACATTTTAATACACATTGTATACTACAGTGTAATGATATTGAACTGCATTTAAAATGCATTTTACTTGCAGTGTTAATAAGTGTATTGGAATATTAAAAAACATTTTATAAGACAGTAAAGAGCCCTTCCAGTTTTTAAAATTTGGTTGTTTTACTTTATGGCACTTTACGATCTAGTTTTTTGATTTGCAAATTACACATGTGGGTCATGTTATGAGCTATGGTTCTTTAGATCTTTCTTGTCATGGGAGTAAGGAGAGAAATAGGAATTTGACAGTTTTTTGCTTAAAAGGCATTATAAATATTAATATTAAGACATCTTCAATGTGAGGGCCATTTGTATAAAAGTTGTGTCTTTGAGACCTAGTACAGCACTTGAGTCTTCTGTCCCTCATTTTAAAAATAACATTCTATGATTCTCATGATAGTTAGGTCTGATTCAACTTTGTGTTCAGATTGGACTTGTGTTTATTGAGAGTCTTCCATGTGTCAGGTGTTTTGCTTTTCTTATTTGATCCAGAAGAGACTTACGTGATAGATATTACCACTGTTATTTTGTAAGGAAACTGAAGCCCAAGGTGTTGAGGAATTCCACAGGTTCATAAAGCCAGTAGGTGGCAGAGCGGAGAGTTGAATGCCGCCCTCCTATGGACACCAATTTCAAAGGCTACTTTGGCATTTTTCCACCAGTGCATGCTCTCAGGTATTTTCAAGTATTCCTCTTCTGTTTAATTTCCTTTCATTGTTACCTAAAGCCATCAACTTATGCTTATGTTCCATCCCTTACAAACTAGCTGAAATGCCGTGGTAGCAGTTACACATCACTTAGCTAATATACTTTCTCAGAGTGGGAGCACCACCTTTGCTCTTCTGGGCACATCACACCTCTCTTTTCTGCCTTACATTCCTGGTTTCCACAATTTTCAAGAACAGGTACCCATTTTTTTCAATATTTAAAATTGGGAAAACTTGGATATGTGTATAGTATATATCATTCTTTTATGCTAAAGGTGAGGGATATTAATTCAATGAACACATGTATGTGTATCTGCTACCCAGCAAAAGAAACTTAACATTAGCATTCTTTTTGAAACCCCTATGCCATCTCCCTGATGGCATTCCCTGTGTTTCCTCATGTAGTTAATTATGCTGAGTCTTATTCCCTCTGTCCTTCTAGAAAGTATACCACTCCACATCCCATCCACAATAATGTTTTTCTTGCATGTTTTTAAATTATATATTTAAAAGGAATTACACTGTATGTATCTGCTTCTGCAACTTACTTTTTTGATGTAACATTGTGTTTTTGAGATTTGTCCATACTGATGTGTGGGGCTGTTTATTCATTTTTCACTGCTCTGTAGTTTACAATGGTGTGAGTTTATCAGAATTTTTTTATCTGTGATGGATATTTAGCTATCCAAAATAATACTGCTCTGAAACTTCTTGTACATGTTTCCTGGCTGCATGCAAAAGAATCTTTCTAGGAAGTATACCTAGGAGTGGTATATTAACTATGTATATTTTTCTGCTTCACTGGCTAATTCCAAATTATTTTCTAAATTGTTTCATGTTTTTACCAGCAGGGTATAAGGGTACACCCACTTGGTGTCATTTAAACTTCAAGGTTTGCCAACCAGTGGTTGTAAAATGCTGTCTCATTTTATTGTATTTGTATGATACTGATTCGAATGATGGTGAGCATTATTTTTATATGTTGATTGGCCATTTGTGTTTACTCCTCTCTCAAATACCTGATTGTACCTTTGCCTACTTTTTATCAGATTTTTTTTTTTTGGTGGTGGTGGTTTTTTTAGTATTCTTACATATTTTTGATATTTATTTTCGTTAGTTATATGTGTTGCAGATACTTCCAGTTTGTGACATGTTCACTCTCTCTAGGGCATCTTATGTGTTATCTGCAGTTAACTTCTATCTAAGAAAGACTCCATTGTTCAAAATAATTCATTGAGATTCAATAAATTACTTACATTGTTCTTTTCCCAACTTTCCAGTGGGACTCCAAGTCATTGTATATTCAAGAAAAAACGTGGCACCCTTGTGAATGATGGTAGAGAATGTTTCATTAATTTTTTTTGATGACCTTCCTTTTTCTAATGGAATTAGTTGACCATTCTTTTAATAGAATTTCTGATTCTAGGTTTACTTGCAAAGGTTCTGTGTAAATCATTAACAGAAGTTTATATTCAACATTTGAATTCAAGAAAAAGTTACTTTGCTTCTTATGTGATAATAACTAGTGCCACATTTTCTTCTTTTGTTTTTTTTTTTTGTTTTGGTTTCCAGCAGGAGAATGTTTCCAGTTGAGGATTATGATAAGCATTTAATTACTGAAAATCCTTACATAGAGTCTTATTTCAGTAAAAGATTTTCTGCCAAAAAGAAAACACACACACACACACACACACACACACACACACACACACACTGTAAATGTGAGATGTTCCTAGTCTAGAAAATATATAGGAATTCCTGTTTCAGGAAAATTTTGACAAAGTTACTTAGATGAAAACTCAAAAAAAAGATTTGTTACTTCTGAGTTTCATTTAATAGCTGATTTGTACATGGTAACAAATGGAATTGATATTAGGATCCTATTCCTTTGATATTTACAAAACTACTTTTTTGTAGGAACTAAATGGATACTCTTTCTAATATATGAAACTAATATTAGTATAGTTCACAGTTGTTCCATTTTATTTTTCAGAAGTTGTGGGACCAAATTTAGTAATTTAATTGTAAAAGACAAAACACCATAAACTATTTGATTAAATTCTATTTTTGCTTTTTTTTTCAATTTATTTGGCATATACTTAGGAAAATGTAGTAGAGATTTCAAGTTGTAAAAAAAAATTAATAACATAAAAACCACATAAACTTGAAAGCACCTCTTTCAGGTTTCATTTTTTACATTTAATTATTTTATATATCATCAATGCTAGTTCTACTCTTAAACTCATGTTTCACTCCTAAAACATGTTAAATGAATTTATAAACTTACTTCTGATTATTTGGTTGAAATTTGTTAGCATCTGAAAATAAACATATACAGGAAAATAAGGTACTTAATTTACAGTGTGTGGTAAAAACTGTGTTTTTTCCTTAGAGTCAGGAATGTCTTCAGCGAGCTGGGCATCTTGATAGAATGATAGCTTAAAGCAGTCGATGGCAGTGGCTGAGATAAGCAGGAAGCAGTGAAATATATTAATAGTGTTCTTCCAACCTTGAAAAATAGAATTTGGGACTGCTTTTCTTGTTTCTTTTTGTTTCTTGTGAACTGTCTGGCTCAGACTGAAGATGTAAGGTTCTGTATTTATCAGTTCTAAAAGTTATTTTCGTGTTCTGATGCCTTCATTACATCTGTCCCAGTTGCTTCACATATATGTCAGTCTGAATACATGGAAATCAAACAAATTCCAAAGCAAAATCCAAAAATCTGGATTAACTATTCTCTGTGTTTCATGGTGGGAAAATTTGATGGATAAAATTATAGACATTATGGTTTGTGTCTTATTTGGAAGAAGACTATGGTTCTGTCCTTTTGCTCTTACTAGGAAATTCCTGGAGACCGGATTTTGTTATTTTGAATAATATTTAGAAATAATATTAAAATGCCTGATAAATTTGCCTCTGGCATAGATAAACACTAAAGGAATTTTTAGAAACATAGATAATATTAAAAGAGATAGTACTACATTTTCTCACCTCTTTTGTTTTTGTTTTTATTTTTGAGACAGAGTCTTGCTCTGTCGCCAGACTGGAGTGCAGTGGCGCGATTTTGGCTCATTGCAACCTCCAACTCCCAGGTTCAAGCAATTCTCCTGCCTCAACCTCTCAAGTAGCTGGGATTATAGGCATGCATCACCATACCCAGCTAATTTTTTTTGTATCTTTAGTAGAGACGGTGTTTCACCATGTTGGCCAGGATGGTCTTGATCTCTTAACCTTGTGATCTGCCCTCCTGGGCCTCCCAAATTGCTGGGATTACAGGCTTGAGCCACTGTGCCCGGCCTTTCCCACCTCTTTAATTGTTTTTGTTCAGGTTGAATTTGTTCTACTACTTAAAACTTTTTTTAATCCTATGAAAATTTCCAAGTCACACTGTCCTTGTTAGCTATAGTTAAGGAATGAGAGTGTGCCATTTTTTATTGCTGTTAATTTAATATTTTGTTGCATTACTTTTTTGTTTTGCATTTTGGGTGTTTGATATATAATTTTAAAGATAAGTGATTGTTTTATGGATAAGCCTAGGAAGTAAGTTATTCAGTCAACAAAATTAGCTATAGTAATTCATTTTATTATAATCAAATCAAGAAAAATTAGGACTGTCATTTATTGCAACATTGTCAAGTTTGTAGTAGTGTTTGGTTGTGTTGTGTTTTCTCTGTTAGATTTTAATCTGTAACAATTACCAAAATATTTGTAATGCTTTATAATAAAGAACTGATGTGAGTAGAATGTCTTAAACCTTTTTATAACTTGAGAAAAAACTTAGAAAGATTAGGAGCTTTATCATTATGATTTTTCACACACATTGCCAAATAAATACAATCATTTTTATATTTTTATAATGAGGATATTCAGAGTTCATGTATTGGTGGTGTCGGGTATTCTGCAGTCAGATATTTGGATATTCTGGGGATTTATGTAATTGGAATCCTTTTTATAACAGACAGTATGAAAACAAACATATTCTTCTTACAACATTAAAGTGTAAAAGGAGGCCAGGCACAGTGGCTCACGCCTGTATCCCAGCACTTTGGGAGGCCGAGGCGGGCGGATCATGAAGTCAGGAGATCAAGACCATCCTGGCCAACATGGTGAAACCCTGTCTCTACTAAAATACAAAAAATTAGCTGGGCGTGATGGTGCACGCCTGTAGTCCCAGCTACTTGGGAGACTGAGGCAGGGGAATCTCTTGAACCCAGGAGGCAGAGGTTGCAGTGAGCTGATGTTGTGCCACTGCACTCCAGCCTGATGACAGAGCGAGACTCCGTCTCAAAAAAAAAAAAAAGTGTAAAAGGAGAACACCAACTTTCATGAGTTTCTCCTGGTTTTCTATATTACTTTAAATATATGACTCTAAGTTTAGAATTCAAATATTTGGGTGTATTTAAATTAACCTTGATTTTTAATGAGTTAGTAAACGGACTCTTAGATTTTATTTGTAATCCACACCAGACTTTGGGACAACTGTTTGTTAGACTTCACACCAGTAACATGTTCCCTAAGGGGAGTGGGTGGGATAGCAGGAAGTAAACCAGGAGTGGTGAGCCAATGGTATTTGTCCCTGACAACTGTGAGTTAGTTCACCACATCCCAGCCACAAATATGCATGATAGGAGAATGAGAGCTCTGTTTGGCACATAGTTCAAAAACAGACGTTTTCAAACAGGGGATCTTAGGCTGATGGCGTTGAAAGTTACTGGATTTGTTCTAAAATGTGCTAGTTGCCAGCAGTGAAGAAGTGATCTGAGGGAAAAGGGTTCAATTAGAGAATGTATTATGTACCAATTATAGATTTGATTCGTACATCAGATTGATACATGAGAAATGGAATGCCTTTTAAATCTAATATATCAGCAAAGTTATAGGACATAAGAACTTCTGGTTTCTGTCTTGAAGCATTATAATAGATTGAAAGCTTCTTTAAACTCTCCTCCTCACTCTGCAGTGAGAAGTTGGACAGTTGTCCTCAACAGAGGACAACTGATAACAGCTAACTATTAAATGTCCCCAAAAGAATTTGTTTAGAAAGGTGTGATATGATAAAAAGAATGGGCAACAGTGTTTCCCTTATCATACGTTTTGTCAGAGCATAAGATCTGAGTTCAGTAACTCTATGAAATGCTAAAAAAAAATCAACATTAAATTGATGGTAAGAAGAAATGCTGATTTTCAAAATGCAAAACTTTTTCTGTTCTTTATTATCTCTTAGTAAGAAGATTGGCCACATCCTTGCTTCAGGATATATCTACAAGTTTCATACTTATTTAAGAGATTAAAGTGGGTCCTGTATTATTTCATTAGAACTCCTGTCCTGCTATTGTCATCTTATGGATTATTCTTGAGATTGTTTTCCCTTCACCTCTTACCTAATATTTGTTTTTTTACTAATGTTACATAATCTACTCTTAACATTTTAGAGTTTTCTTTAAAGTATCCCCAGTGATCTGAAAATCAAATTTGTATCTTCCATCCTATAAAATAAAAAATAGTTTGTTTCATTTTTTGAATTTATTTTTCATTTCCAGATACTTACCAATTCATTTTTTATTTAGTTTTTAATTTACTATTTTATTTTTAGCAGTAATATAGCTCAAAATTGTGAACTAATGAAACCAAATTTTTGATACTTTCTGAACTTGTTTTAACATTTATGTGATGGTATTTGAGAGCAGCAAACACCTGTTTTGTCTTTGGTAACTCTTTCAATTTGGTATGCAGTCTAGTGTTTGTACAGAGCACTGTGCCAGGCAGAAATCTTTCCTTACTTACTTCTGGAAAGCACCACAGAAGTAAAAGGATGTCCTCCTCGTTTTCCTATCACAGTTAACATATGCACGGTTACCAGCCATGTGTCCCACAGCCTGACTTGTTGATTATGGTTACAGTTAATACTAATGAAAAAAAACTTTCATGCTTTGTGTGGTGGGTGTGGTGGGCAGTTTGAGGCAGGAAGAGTCCCTGGGGATATGATAAAGGAATATAGATAACCTGAGATTTAAGTCCATTGTGTGGTTAAAAGGGAATCAAGCAAATCAAAAGTTATCTAGGCTTCAGAACAAAGGTGGCTATGTACTTTTTGAGTAGGTGGCGTCAACCTGTGATTTTTAGACAGCTTGCTAAATAGACTTTATCATACTCTGACCTCCCAACTTCAGATAAAAGGGGTAAGAAGGAATTTCTCAGAAGCTCCATGACAATAAGTAAATAACTGGAGTTGCTTTACTCAAAATGGGGGAAAGAAATCCCTTTGGATTAAAGCCAGAGAAATTCTTAGCTGGCCACTTGGAACTTTCGCCTTAACAAAAGAAAGTATGTGCCAGGGGGAAGAGAAGGTTAAATAAATTATTGTTAAATGAATTAAATAGGAATAAATCTAGGGAAAATACTTACTTTATCTGTATCTTACAGTTTCCTATAGTTATGTTATAACTTATGTTTCTTAAACTTAAGTATGCTATAAATCTTTTTGATCTACATTGTTTAAGTGTCATGGTATTCAAACTGAATAGAAAGTTCAGAAATAGACCCAAAAAGACTGGGAAATTTAATGTATGAAAAAGATAGCATTTCAGATCAGTGGAAGACAGATTATTCAATAAGTGGTGTTTGGCCTATGGATAGCCATCTGAAAAAATACAGTTGTGCCCTACCTCACACCTAATACCTAAATAAATTCCACAGAGATCAAAGGTCTATGGATTAAAAAATAAATTATAAAACTACCAGTAGAAAAGGTAGGGGAATATTTTATATATGTATAAAATAATATAAAATATATATATATATTTTTAATCATGTAGTCAGAAAGCCTTTGAAGTACGACCTCAAACCCAGAACTATAAAAGAAAAGATGTATGAATCTGACAATATTAAAAAAAAACTGCATATAAAGAAAAATACAAGTAAAGTTAAAGATAAATGACAAACTGGGACCAGGCATGGTGGCTCACACCTGTAATCCTAGCACTTTGGGAGGCCACGGTGGGCAGATCACCTTGAGGTCAGGTGTTTGAGATCAGCCTGGCCAACATGGTGAAATCCCGACTCTACTAAAAATACAAAAAGTAGCTGGGCGTGGTGGCATCTACCTGTAATCCCAGCTACCTGGGAGTCTGAGGCAGGGAAATTGCTTGAACCCGGGAGGCAGAGGTTGCAGTGAACTGAGATCCTGCCATTGCACTCCAACCTGGGCAACAGAGCGAGACTACATCTCAAAAAAGAAAAAAAAAATAAAAAGATAAATGACAAACTGGGAGAAAAATTTCCAACTCATGTAATGGAGCTATAGTCCTAATATATAAGAAGTTATAAAAAGTTCATTTTAAAAAGTATTTAAAGCAAAACAATAACCCAGTTGAATAATGGATAAAGAATTATAAATGGCCTTAAACCTATGCAAAGATTTAGTTTTATTTGTAATGAGAAATTGCAAATAGAAACTGTTACAAGACTTTATATAAACTTTAAAAATGTTAAATGCACATTCACCCAAGAATTATATCTCTAAGAATTTATATTACAGATACGGTTGCATGTGTGCAAATGATGTATATACAGGGTTATTGATTATACCATTGTTTGTAATAGCAGAAGAAGGAACTGCTCAAATATTCATTCATAAGAACTAGCTACATTAGCAGTCATTAAAAAGGTGGAGGCAGGCATGGGAATCGCTTGAACCTGGGAGGCGGAGGTTGCAGGGAGCTGAGATCGCGCCACTGCACTCCAGCCTGGCGACAGAGCGAGACTCTGTCTCAAAAAAAAAAAAGGTGGGGGGGGTTGGAGGCACCTTGTTGTGGACTATGAAAAGACATCCAGAATATATTTAGTAGAAAAAGAAGTGTATAGAATAGAGTAGATGGTATACAGCATTTGTGTAAGATACATAATTGATATGTATGTAACACAGAATATCTCATATTCCTTGTATAAGGATAGACAAACTAGTAATAGTGCTTGCATCTTGAGAGGCAAATTGAGTAAGTTGGGGACAGGGGTGGGAGGGAGAATTATTTTTCATTGTATGCCAGCCTTTACATTTTGAATGTTGTACCAAGCATTATCTATTCCAAAACACATCATATTTTTAAAAATCCTTACAAAAAGACAAAAAGCAAAATAGAAAATATTGTAGCATTTGTTTTCATTGCAATTTACCATACATGCCATCCAAAGATTGTCTACTTTTTGGAACATTTGAATACAGTGATAGACAACTGTGATCCTAAAATTACAGTTAATTTATATTCCTTTGCTGGTACTACCCAATCTTGCAGTGCCTTAGGATCGTCACTGTGGATGTTGATTTTCATTGTACTCAGAATGTGAACATGTTAATTAATAGAAGTATTACTATGATAACAGTTTATTATATGTATTTTTTTAGAAC
Source organism: Homo sapiens (assembly GCF_000001405.40). Taxonomy (NCBI): domain Eukaryota; kingdom Metazoa; phylum Chordata; class Mammalia; order Primates; family Hominidae; genus Homo; species Homo sapiens. The sequence continues at coordinate 116,148,618 of NC_000006.12, forward strand.
ATCAGGTTTTTTTTGGTTAAGAAATGACTAAAGTTGGATGGTTTATATAACAACGTCATTAATAATTAAAATGGTTTTTTGAGAAATTTTTTGTCTTTCTCTATGAGAGATAAGTAATTGAGCAAAATACTGTTTATTATTCAGATATATGTGAGTGTACTGACTTTTTAAACCCATATTTTGAGTGGGTTACAGGTAAGTCATTTCTATAAGTCAAAAGTAAAGCATAACAGGGAAAATAAGGGTCTAGCCAAAGAAACGTTTTTAAAATACATGTATTACATGATACCAATTTATAAGTTACAGCTTATTCCAAGAAGCCAGTCTTTTGTTTTTAATCTCTAGAAATATACTAAACATTTAAGTGATGAGAATTGACAATTCTTTGTAGACTTTCCTTGATGTTTGGATTTTTAGCCCATTCCATGTGTTTTTTAAATTTTCTTTCTTTACAATAAGACAGGTGCATAATTCATGGATAAATTCAAGTGGACAGTAAGTCAACAAAGTTCTCAGAATATATTTTGCCTGGCAGGACATTTTGGAGTAATTATACATTTGGTACAGAATTTGAAGGTGTGGATGATATTATTAGCTGTTTGACACAATTTAAGTTACTAGGTGACTTCCAGAATTTTAAATTAAGAATTTTTAAAATAATAGCTTAAGTATATGTTTTCATCACTGCAAAATTTCAGAATATTATAAGCTATTTCTGTATACTAACTTATTCTTCCAGTACGTATGACAGGAAATCAAATAGACAGTGTGTCTTTACCAAACTGGCTCTGCATTTTTAGGATTATGATTTTCTAAATTATTTCCCTGCCAGTACTAAGAGAACACTAACCTATTCAAAGGCTACTTTAGTAGGATAAGTAACTTGAGTCTGAGACAGAGCTTTCAAAACAGAATGGTATTTGAATAGTGAAGTACATAATGCTTTTAACAAAGGTGAACCAAAGGATGACTGTCGAAAGGGTATCTAGACTTTATTGGAGAAATTGTTTTTCCAAAAAAGCCCAAATGCCTGGTGGAGACACTGAATTAAAAAGGCAATATTTGAACTTAGTGTTGATGCACCAAATCAGTTTAGAGATTGGGGTAGAACTTTTGAATCTGGGATCTCCACATAAAATAAGTGGTGAAAGAGTTATGAAATCAGACAGCTTGAAGATTCAAATAGAAATCTTTTTAATGAGTCTCCCTTCTTTAGAGGTGAGGAAATTGAGATAAGGAATTTGATTTGCACAACAAACCAGCATTAGGACTTAACGGCTTTTTATCTAAAGCATAGTGTTCCCCCACTCACAGGTAGGTAAGGTTGAAAGTGTTGCTACATTGGTGTACCTTTATTCCCTATGATGTCTCCCTTTGACATCTGCCCCCCAAAGTACTGTTGAGGAGCTGAGAGAAGGCTTGTGGGCCATAAGTGTTGAAGTTTAGAGAATAGGAGTTAGATCATGTTGTTTTCTAGTCCCTGATAAAAAGTCGAGTCTTTGACAAGGGCAATGAGAGGCCAAGTCTTGAAGGAATTTTTACAGAAGAGTGACCAATTAGATGTATGTTTTTAAAACATTACTATGGCTTTCACATGGAGAGCATGCTGAGGGAGCCCATGGCCACTGACAGATCAGTTAAGAAAATGGTTTTTTTTTTATTTTAACTTTTTAATTATTATTTTTTCAGACAAAGTCTTGCTCTGTCACCCAGGAAGGAATGCAGTGGCATGTCTTGGCTCACTGCAACCTCCACCTCCCAGGTTCAAGCAATTCTCCTGCCTCAACCTCCCAAGTAGCTGGGGCTACAGGTGCCCGCCACCACACCCAACTAATTTTTCTATTTTTAATAGAGACAGGGTTTTACCATGTTGGCCAGGCTGGTCTCGAATGTGTGACCTCAAGTGATCCACCTGCCTCGGCCTCCCAAAACGCTGGGATTACAGGCGTGAGTCACTGCACCTGGCCTTGAAAATGGGGTTTTAAATTAGAATGGGGCAGTGGAAATAGAAGTCCCTGGACAAGAGTGAGTTTTAGGTACTTTACCTAACTTTCAGAGATTGGAGCATTAGTCTAGCAGTATTTTTGTAAGCTAGTTTTTATTTGATGTTGTTTGCTATTATTGCTGTCTGTCATATAAGGTCGTAATCTAATAAAATATCTGAAGGTAAGGAAGCTGGAGAACCTTGGAGTCTTATATATCTAGTGAATATCAAATGTGAATTTGAGAATGTCACATCAAATTTTGTGTAATAAATACATTGTTCATATTTAACCATTACATAGGTTGATTTTAGGTACTATGATTGACATTTAAATTTTATAAGTAAAACATGGCAGATTGTATATTTTATGATTTTTTGACAGGTGAGTGAATAAGATGACATTAACAACTCTTTGTGGCATTTAAAATGTTATCTCATTGATAGAAATCTTGACATCTCTGAGTTTTTATTTTTTTGTGAATTTGCTCAGGGATTAGAATTTGCAGCTCCTAATTGCAATTTGTATCATCTGCTCAGCCTTCTTTTTGCTTCCGGGCAGCTATCTAGCCCATATTCCTGCCAACTTCAGTGCCTGCACCATCACTTATAAAATCCCATCTTCCAAACCCCCACATTTTAAAGACTCTGAGATCAGAATATGTGGGCCTGTGATGAGCATATCAGCCATCTTTGATAACATTCATACATGCAAGTGCATTTTTACTCCACATATTTTTCTTAACTAATTTTTTCTCAAAATTGTACAGGAAGAAAGATTCTTTATGTTTTCAACTCATATTGTTTTTGGTTTATACCCTCTAAGTGATTGTATAGTTAAAGGGCATTTATAGAGTAAAATTTTATCTATCCATTTATTTATTTACTTGAAATACATTGAGCACTTACATGCTGCTCCTTGTTTAAATTCGTTAATATAAGACTATTAAGTAATGTATATATGTGGCCTGTTGGTATGCTTTTAAAATTCACAGAGTTATCTCGAGAATGCAGTACATGCAAATAATGGCAAATGTGATATTGGATTTAGGGTTACATTTATAGATAATATGTTAGAAACCATAATTTTATATTTCTCTTTCCCACTTATAATGGGAATTAAGTATGTTCATTTTAGCTTTTCTATAATAAATACCAGCTTAGTCTACCACAGCAAATAAACTTTTTTTAAAAAAGCAGCAACAACAAAATACTTCACTGTACTCTTTTCTTGGTTTATTGAGATATTAATAAACTGATAGTTTTGTCTCATCAAATATTCTTTTGTTCTGAAACACTGATGCATTTATTTTGGCTTCTGAAGTTTTATAAGAACATGTTATTTGGGGAGTATTGATGCCAACTTTATTGAAAACACTTATTTTACTAAGCTAATGACTAAGCTAATTGACTAAGATGCAGGATTATAGTAACCTGGTTGATTTCACTACATTCTTCCTTACAAAGCAGAAGGTGAAATGGAAATTTTGGAGGAGGTGGAGTGAGATTTGTATGTCACAATCTATTTTCACAGGATGCAGTGCCTTCGTTTTCATTATACTTTCAGTATGGTTGACTTCTTAAACTAGTTTGAAGATTTAGAATTTGAAATGAGAATATATGATTAGAAAATACAGGAGCTGTGCATTTAATTTTTTTCATTTAATAATGATTAAGGTTTTAACACCTTAAAGGTGCACACAACAGTTGATTCTTCAACTTATCGTACCATTTAACTCCCATTCCTTTCTTTCTGGCCTCTGCTTTTCACCGTGAGGTAGATTCCCTTGCCTCTTGTTTCAAAAATAAGAAAAAAAAATTAGAAAACAACTTTTGAACTCCTGTGTCCTCTAGCTTTAAACTCATCTATTATGGTGATTATCTACCCCACCGTGCCAGAGAATGAGGCACGATGGGGTCTCCAGGGCAGTCTGACTCCTGTGTACTGGATTTATTCCCCTCTATCTCACATGGGACTTTCATCCTCTGTGCTTTCTTTACCAGGTCTTTATTTAACCCCTTAACATAATGAAGACTTTGAATGCTATAAAACAAAAAGAGAACCCTTCTTCAGCCCTACTGTATCTTCTCTTCTTTTTTCCTCCATCTTTTTACAGCCATACTTCTTGGTTAGAATGTTCCATACTTAGGTTTCCTTTTACAACTCTAATATAGTTCTTGGCACCATTCCATTTTTCTTGATAAGGTCAACCAGAAACTCCAAATTGCTAAATCCAGTTATTTATTTTCTATAGTTATATTGCCTCTGAGTTCTTGATTGTGCTCTATGATGTCGCCAGAGAAAAGGAAAAGTAAATTTAAATAACCTATAATCCTCCTCCATACTGCTGTCTTATTTTTATAGTATAATAAAATACAGAGGAATGATTGCTTTATACTTTACCACTAAATGGCTGAACTACATTGTTTTTTGAAAAGAAGTAAAATCTTAATCACTTGAGGTAGGCTAATATATAACATTTAATAAAATCCCTGATATATTAATATAAAAATATATACACAAATATATGTATATACATACATATTCACACATACTACAAATATACAACATAATTTTTGAGTAGGGTTATTAGAATTAAGAATTTTTTTAAATCATAAAACTTATAACCTTGTCTGATTTTAGCTCTATTTATAAGATATGTTATATAAGACACATAAAAGATCAGAGTATTTTCACATCATGTTCTTACACAGACTGCCCATAAACATCAGCTCTAAAAGTTTTTCACAAACATCTTGAGGGTGAATTTAGCTCGATTTTAGATCTAATATCTGTTGTCAGATGATACATTCAGTTATCTTTAAGCATAGTGTTTTATAGAGTCTCTATTCCACTGGAGTTCAAAATAATAGAAGATAATATGCCATTTATTCATTTAATTTTTAGTTATAAACATTTTCTAATTTTTAAGTCTCCTTGAGTCGAGGATTGGTCATAAGTACCTCTGTTAGGTACTTAGTTAGGCTTCAGGAATATAGTTACCTCTATTAGGTACCTAGTTAGGCTTCAGAAATAGAAAAGTTGCATATAAAATTGCTATTGTTGTCAAAAACAGTCAAATATTGGCAGTTTCACTGGCAACAGACAGTTGGAGTTCAGTCTAGTAACTTTCTTACTGGTTTAGTCATATTCATTTTTATGTTTTATGCAATGATATGAATAGTCTTGTGGGACTAAGTTTTGATAAACTGAGTATTGTTTCCTTACCTTCTCTGTGGATTTTATTGAAGATACATGTACAGAAATGCAATTTGGCAAAATAAGCATCAAAAGGAAAAGTAAATCTTACTACGTGCCAAAAGATTTTTCAAGTACCATTGCAGTGTAAAGCTGTATGTATTGCATTTGGAAAATGCATGGTTCATCTTTGAAAATAGAATGTACAATACATGCCTAAAGGGAAGATTTCTTTTTTTTTTTTTTTTTTGAGACAGAGTCTGGTGATGGGCTAATTGAAGTGATTGACCAAAGAGATGTTAAAACATGGCTCTCAAATCAGCATTGATTTGTAGTGTACTTTTTCCCCCTCAGAATAGCAATAAGAGTCTATTGATTTTACTTTTGGCTATTTAATTGTAGTGTAAACACTTAATTAAAATGTGTGAAATTTAAAAATAGTTGATAAATATATTCAATATTTTAACAAAACATCAACATAGCTGGAGTAGGTTTCGTCTAGCTTAAAAGATGTTGTCACTGAGGCCGGGATTTCTTTCTGTTCCTGTATCCTAACACCGTCCATGGTCACCCAGTTTCCCCTCAGAAGGAGACATTGTTATTACTTGTTTTCTTACCTGGCCCCTGACAACAGATTCACCCAAACACATTATACTCCTTGCTACAGGTGATAATGTTCCTGCTCTGTGATTTTTATGTTAACCTTAATTTAAGTCTTCCAACAAATGCTGATGAAAAAAAAATACACAAAACTTTGTATTTGCTTTTTTAAAAAATGCTAGAACAGTGAGGTGGTGTTTAAAACAGTTTGAAAGTACACAGTTCATGGTGTTTATTTGGTAAACTTACAGATTAATTTAATTATGAAAGGGAGAGGTTCTCCCTGAGAAATATTTGGATGGTTTTGATGATGGAATTAAATAATTTCTCATTCATTCTATTTTATTTCACTCATCAAACTAAAAACAAAGCACCGTTTGATTTGTTTACGCCTCAGGATTAATAACTCTTAGCAGAGGCATCTTGTTACTTTCTTTGACTTGCCTATGATGCCTTGTAGGTAAGCAAAAATAATGAATTGTTTTAATATCATTTTTCTTCATAAGATAAAAATAAAAAACATCATTTAGGAGTTTAAAAAACAAACCATAAATAACCATATACAACCACATTGTTCTTTCTGTTTAACTTTTACTCCCTGTGCTGGTTTGAAATGAGGCTGGTATAACAGAATAGAACTTTGGTTTGACAGGGAGTATACAGACTTTAATATTAGGCTGGTGCAAAAGTAATTGCGGTTTTTGCCATTACTTTCAATGGCAAAGTATGTGGTTGAGTATGATATGGCCTTGAAGTATTTCTACATTTGGATTAGTTAAGGTTACAAGTAGTTTGCATGGGTTTAGTGCTTATAAGCATTGTTAGACAACTGTCGTGATGGTTACATGTTATATAGTTTCCTAATGTCTCCAGACTGCTCCAGATATCTGGGATAATCTGAGAAAAATAATAATCTTTCTTATTATTAATGACCAATTCATTTAGCACTTTATAGTAGTGGTTTTTATTTTTTGGTTTTTGTCACTCGCCAACACAAACATCTCTTTTGGAATTCAGTGGCCACTTTCTGGGTGCTCTAGAGGACCATTGTGAATTAACATGGCCTAAAATCGTATTTTAAGAATATCATGTAATACGTACTGAATCCAGTTTAAGAAGTTTGACTAAAGCAAACAATCTAAACAATTTAAAATGACTTTGAATCCATCCAAAATCACATGTGTATTTACCTATCAGTATTCTGCAGGTCAATGAAATTACATATGAGTGAGGTTACTCCATTACAACATAGGTTGTAAAAGCAAAAGATTAGAAGCAAGGCTGGTATCCATCTAAAGGGCACTGGGTGAATAAACAACACTGCATCTACACAAAGAAATAATGTACTTCTCCTTAAAAAAAAAAAAAAAAAAAAGAGGGAGGAAGTTGTGTGTGTACTGAAATGGAAACATTTCCAGGGTATATGTTTTTTAAAGAGCAGATACAGAGCTTATACATTTTATGCTATCTTTTATATAAATGGAAGTGGAGGTAGTGTTTATACAAAAAAACAATGGGAGAATTTACAAGAGACAAATGTATTCAGTTACCTAAAGGCTTTAGGGTTGGGAATGGGCTAGAAAAAAATTACATTGACTTGAATCAAGTTCAAGAGTAGCTTTTATCTCCTGTAATAAAACATTATGATAGTCACAAATATACTTTCCTAATCATGCCATCACTTAAAAATCTTGAAGTTATGTAAAGGTCAATAATACATATTTTCTTTGAAAGCATATCTTCAGTCTCCTGTTCCCCATCATCTTTTATTTTGGGGAGGAATAAGTAAAATATTTGCCATTTGTCCCTGTTTTCTTGTGTTTGCTCTTCACTTTCTGTAGTTTTTTCCTCCTCTGCAACCCATTTCTCTAATTTTCCGGCAAAACTAATGAACTTTGTTTTTGGAGTTAAAAAAAATTTTTTTTAGGTTGTAGATCTCATTCAACTAGTTGTGTTTCGTTTATTAGTTAGTTTGCTGGTTTAATACTATGTAGGCACTTTGAGGTTGAAAAAAATGTGTTCCATTATCTTTGCTTTCACTTAGCTTATTATAGTCTGCCTCATAAGGGATTACTATGCTGTGTATAGTGCAAAGTAAAAAGGAATGCGTCTTAAGGAAGACATGGGCAAAGTAAGGGAAGAGGAGACCGATTACATGTGCTAATTGCAGATATATGAAAGAAAGCATAAGGAAGTCTTCGTGGAGGCAATGGTAATTTAGAGTTTCCTTGAAAGATGACTTTGGTCATGTAGAGATAGGGGAGAGAAGTCAGATGGAATGACACTGCAGATATTCTTATTGTACTTTCATAATATTTGCTTTTAAATTTCAGCATATCTTGAATAAGAAGTACACTTAAGAGTAATATCCAAGATATCTATGGATATGAAGAAAGTAGAGATCAGATAGCAATAATTTTGTGCTTCACGTCCTCTCCCCAGGCCACCCCACGGCCCCATTACATCACAACTCTTGCCACAACCCCTTTTGTTCTCCTCAGGAGCCCAGCTTGTGTAAGTAGCCCCTGGTGCATTGACCAGCCACTCACTCCCTGGCAAGAAGGCCTGCTGCATTTTCCTCATCATAGCTTGTTTATTTGGATATTTTTTTCTCTTTGCCTAAGTGCGTTCACTTCATAGCACTGCCTCCCTTCCACCAAATAGACATGGAGGGGAGGAGACCAGGTCTTGGGCTGCAATTACATGGATTATTTGGGTATGAGAATATGGAAAACAAAGCAAAACTAACCTTTGGTAATATGTGTATCCCAGATATTTGCCCCTTTTCCCTCTACCTCATGTTTTCATTATTAATTTGGTTTAAAAATGAGGATTCCCCCCCATATCTCTTGAGTTAATTACAGTGCTCTGAGTTTCTGTAAAAATGTCAGATTGTGTGGCACCAGTCAGTTGTCAACGTAACTTGGTTAGTGGAACCCTAGACAAGTAACTGTATGGACTTCCACCTTATTACAGTCTTTGGCCACTGCTATCTTGGAAGCTCAGGCAGTGGGAAAAGAGCTATGGGGACAGGTTCAAAGAGTTGAAACTATGTTGAAAAAGCTGCCTGCCAAAAATCAGTGAAGTCTTAAAACTAAATAGTTTTTTAAATTAGAAAAATATTAACATGAATTGTTGAAGAGATTTGAGTCCAATGGGGGATCAAGTGTATGTGAAATTGCATTTTTTAAAGTTGTTCTTTTCCAGTAGACCATAACAAAAAATTACATGAAACCACAAGAGAGGGTGTCTCCCTGCCTTCCCCAAATTTGGGCTCATTTTTTAACAAAACAGAATAAAAACAGTTGAACTAAATTAGAATGTTGAAATGGTGAGAGTGGGTGGAAAGATGAAAGGCACTTCACTTCAAACAGACTCTAACGGGGAAATCAAAAACTGATAATAAGACCACCCAGCTGACCTGACTCACCTATTCAGGATCCTTCTGAAAGCCTCTCATCCCTTGTATTGTACGTCTTTTAGGCTAGTAATAATATCATTGAAGTACAGAAATAAAATGTCTCAAACGTGTTACAGGAACATCCAGAAAAATGAACAGCATATTTTCCAATTAAATCTTTCAGTACTTCCCTTTCCAGTTTTTTCCTCTGATCATTTGACATTTCCACTTCTTAAAAAGAAAAAGCATCACATATTGGCAGCTTCAGCTCTCAAAAAGTCAATTTCTCTGAACTACAAGAACTTTCTAGTTTCAATAGCTATTAATATAATGAGTTCAAATTACTACAGTTTTTATTACAAATAAATCTACATTGACAATACTGGTTATCTGTCATTGTTGGGAGATGTTTAGTATTACAAGTGAGTGTAGATCTGGGAGTAGTTTAGTGTGCTACCTCGATGAAGATACATGGCATTTCAAACAATAGCTTTCTTGTTAGTCCTGTGCATCTACATGGATGCTTTCCTCCTTCTGTTTAAATCTCCTACTCAAGCTTCTCTTCAAATCCAGAAAAAAAAAAGTATTGAGTTTATAAATGATTTACTTTTTATTTAACCTTTGCTTAGTGAAGACAAGAAGATAAAAACTTAGCAATCTTATGAGACACAGAAGGAAGTATCATTTTCTTTAAATACATTTTATCTCTTCAGAGAAATTATTTAAATAGTCACAGCCAGTATTTTTGCCCTGTTTTTCATCTAGTCACATTATTGGTTACATAAACCTATTGTCACACGTTTGAATTTCTCCTACCTGTATTTGCTGAGAGATTCCCTATATGCTTGTTGTTGGCTGCTCTTTAAAAGTCACTACTTTGTCATCCTGGTGTGTTCTTCTGTCAGAACTTCATGGATGCTGTCAGTGGTGATCCCAGGAGGGGTAAAAACAGTCCACTACTTCCCGAGCTTTTTGGGGGTTGCTTTTGAACTTTATACTTTTATACAAAGCTCTGCTGAATCATATGCTGGCTACCGAATGATGGTTTGCCTTCTGATTCATTTCCAGGAGAGAATATCTGTTGTTTTCCAGCAGTCAGTGACTTTTTTGAGACGCAGATGGGGATTGGGGAATTTCATTTATTTGATCCCATGTGTAAATGCAAGAATGGAATGACACCTTGGCATGAATGCTTGCATTAGAATAGCTCAAATACAAGTTCTTCAGTAGTTTTAATTAATAAATCTAAATGATATGTACATTTTATTAGGGAAATTACTTCCTGTCTACTTACTAACTAGCAATGTTATGGAATTCCACAGAAGGATATCTTCTTATGCCATTGCTCTGGGATCAATGTTTTGTTTTTGGTTTTGGTTTTTTTAAATATACAATTATGTGACTTTTTTTGGTAGTTTTATGGATTTTTATTCTGCATTACTCCTTTTAAAAATTGATTTCACCGTATGAGGTTTATTCTTATCAAAAACCAGAGAAACATAACTTTCTTTTTCCATAAAGAGAAAAAAGACACTTTCAAGTCATTATTTCTGTTTTTTAATTCACATGCTTTATCCTAATTATTTGAGAATTTACACATGTGATTATTCATTTTCTACCCATTCCTTTGTTCTTTATTGCCTCTGAGTTAAAGTATACCATGCATTATAGAATGTCTTAAATGTTGCAGACTTTTTTCACCATTATATCTGTCGGGTATTCTGGATGTCATGTGAATAATTTGCAAACTTGCTGAATCTGTATGATGTAGCTATAGCCTGTAATTTTCTTTATGCTCCCTGCAGCACACACAACACTGCTGTCATCTTTTTCCCCTTTTCTGTTAAATTCAAGGGATATATGTGCAGGTTTGTTAACGTGGGTATATTGCATAATTGTGAGTTTTGGGTTTCTAGTGAACCCATTACCCAAATAGTGAACACTGTACCAAGTAAGTAACTTTTCAACATGTGCTTTCCCCCAGCCCCCACCTTTTGGAGTCCCCAATATCTATTATTTCCATCTTTATGTCCATGTGTACTTCACTTATATGTGAGAACATGCGATATTTGTTTTTTTGTTTCTGAGTTGTTTCACTTAAGATCATGGCCTCCAGCTCTATCCATGTTGTTGCAAAGGACACAATTTCATTACTTTTTATGGCCGTGTAGTATTCCACAGTGTATACATACCACATTTTTTTTATTCCAGTCAACTTTTGATGGACACTTAGGTCAATTCCATGACTTTGCTATTGTGAATAGTGCTCAATAAACATATAAGTACAGGTATCTTTTTGATAAAATGATTTATTTTCCTTTATGTATATACATAGTGGTGGGGTTGCTGGATCAAAGGGTAGTTCTACTTTTAGTTATTTGAGAAATGCCCATAATGTTTTCCAAAAGTGTTTAACTAATTTACATTTCCACCAACAGTGTATATACATTTCCTTTTCTCCACATCCTCTCCAACATCTGTTATCTATTGGCTTTTTTCATAATAGCTATTCTGACTGGTATGAGATGGCATCTCACTGTGGTTTTAATTTGCATTTCTCTGATGATTAGTGATGTTGAGCATTTTCCATATGTTTGTTGGTCACTTGTATGTCTTATTTTGAGAAGTGTCTGTTCATATCCGTTTGTCTACTTTTTAATGGAATTTTTGTGGTTTTTTTTCTTTTTGATTTGTTTAACTTCTTTACAGATTCTGGATATTAGTCCTTCTGTCAGATGCATAGTTTGCAAATATTTTCTCTCATTCTGTATATTGTCTATTTGCTGTGTTATTTCTTGTCCTGTGCAGAAAAACTCTTTAGTTTAATTAAGTCCCATTTGTCTACTTTTGGTTTTGTTGCATTTGTTGTTGAGGTCTTCGTCATAAATTCTTTGCCTAGGCCAGTGTCCAGAAGAGTTTCCCCTAGATTTTCTTCTAGTATAATATTTATAGTTTGAGGTCTTACATTGAAGCCTTTAATCTATCTTCAGTTAATTTTTGTATATGGTAAGAAATAGGGGTCCACCAGCCATCCCATTACTGGGTATATACCCAAAGGACTATAAATCATGCTGCTATAAAGACACATGCACACGTATGTTTATTGCGGTATTATTCACAATAGCAAAGACTTGGAACCAACCCAGATGTCCAACAATGATAGACTGGATTAAGAAAATGTGGCACATATACACCATGGAATACTATGCAGCCATAAAAAATGATGAGTTCATGTCCTTTGTAGGGACATGGATGAAATTGGAAATCATCATTCTCAGTAAACTATCGTAAGAACAAAAAACCAAACACCGCATGTTCTCACTCATAGGTGGGAATTGAACAATGAGAACACATGGACACAGGAAGGGGAACATCACAATCTGGGGACTGTTGTGGGGTGGGGGGAGGGGGGAGGGATAGCATTGGGAGATATACCTAATGCTAGATGACGAGTTAGTGGGTACAGTGCACCAGCATGGCACATGTATACATATGTAACTAACCTGCACATTGTGCACATGTACCCTAAAACTTAAAGTATAATAATAATAAAAAATAATAATAAAGATGCATTGATATAACAATGTAGATAAAAATAAAATTATATAAAGCAGATAAAAAAAAAGAAATAGGGGTCCAGTTTTATTCTTCTGTATATAGATAGCCAGCTTTCCCAGCAGTATTTATTGAGTAGGGTATCCTTTCCCCATTGTTTATTTTTGTTGACTTTGTTGAAGATCAGGTGTGTGGCTTTATTTCTGGGTTCTCTATTCTGCTCCATTGATCTATGTGTCTATTTTTGTACCAGTAGCATGCTGTTTTGGTTACATTAGACTTGTAGTGTAGTTTGAAGTCAGGTTATGTAATGCTTGCAAGTTTATTCTTTTTGCTTAGGATTGCTTTGGCTATTTAGGCTCTTATGGGTTCCATATGAATTTTATAATTGTTTTTTCTAATTCTGTGAAATATAACATTGGTAATTTGATGGGAAGTTGCATTGACTTTCTAGATTGCTTTGGGCAGTATAGTCATTTTAATGACATTGATTCTTCCTGCCCATGAGCAAGGGATGTTTTTCCATCTGTTTGTGTCATCTACAGTTTCATTGTTTTATAATTCTCCTTTGTATTTCACCATCTTAAATGTATTCCTAGATAGTTTATGTTTTTGTATGGCTATTGTAAATGGGATTTTCACCATCTTAAATGTATTCCTAGATAGTCTATGTTTTTTTATGGCTATTGTAAATGAGATTGAGTTTTTTATTTGGTTTTCTGCTTGACCATTGTTGGTGTATAGAAATGCAACTGATTATGGTGTGTTAATTTTGTATCCTGAGACTTTAGCAAAGTTATTGATTAGGTCCAGGAGTCTTTTGGAGGAATCATTTGGGTTTTTTAAATGTAAGATTATGTCCTCAGTGAATAGAGATAATTTGACTTCCACTTTTCCGATTTGGATGCCTTTAATTTCTTTCTCCTGCCTGATTGCTCTGGCTAGAACTTCCATTACTATGTTGAATAGGAGTGGTGAAAGTGCACATCCTTGTCTTGGTCCAGTTCTTAAAGGAAATGCTTTCAATTTTTCCCTGTAAGTATGATGTTGGCTGTGGCTTTGTCAAATATGGTTCTTAGTATTTTCAGTTATGTTCCTTTAATGCCTAGTTTATTTATAATTTTTATCATGAAGAGATGTTGGATTTTATTGCATGTTTTTTCTGCATATTGAGATGATCATGTGATTTTTGTTTTTAATTCTGTTTATGTGGTGAATCACATTTATTGATTTGCATATGTTGAACCATCCTTGTGTTCCCAGAATAAAACCCACTTGATCGTGATGAATTATCTTTTTGATGTGCTGTTGGATTCAGTTTGCTAGTATTTTGTTGAGGACTTTTGCATCTACGTTCATCAGGGATATTGGCCCATAGTTTTCTGTTTTTGTGTTATCCTTGCTGGATCTTGTTATTAGCATGATACTAGTTTCATAGAATGAGTTTAGGAGGAATTCCTCCTCCTCAATTTAAAAAATATGTATTTTTAGGCCGGGCACAGTGGCTCAGAGCGCCTGTAATCCCAGCACTTTGGGAGGCCAAGGCGGGCAGATCACGAGGTCAGGAGATCGAGACCATCCTAGCTAACATGGTGAAACCCCGTCTCTACTAAATATACAAAAAATTAGCCAGGCGTGGCGGCAGGCACTTATAGTCCCAGCTACTCAGGAAGCTGAGGCAGGAGAATGGCGTGAACCCGGGAGGTGGAGCTTGCAGTGAGCCGAGATCGTGCCACTGCACTCCAGCCTGGGAGACACAGCGAGACTCCGTCTCAAAAAAAAAAAAAAAATATATATATATATATATATATTAGTAATATTGATACCAGCTCTTCTTTGTATATATGGTGCAATTTGGCTGTGAATTCCCCTGGTCCTGGGTTTTTTTTTGTTGTTGTTTGTTTGTTTTGGTTGGTAGATCTTTTATTACTGATTCAATTTTATAATTTGTTGTTATTGGTCTGTTCAGGATTTTAATTTCCCCCTGGTTCAATCTGGGAGGTTGTATGTTTCTGGAAATTTATTTGTTTCCTCTAAGTTTTCTAGTTTGTATGCATAGAGATGTTCATAGTAGTTTCTGATGATGTTTCGTATTTCTGTGGTATCAATTTTAATGTTATCTTTATCATTTCTGATTGTGCTTATTTGAGTCCTCTTTTTTTCTTGTTTAATCTAGTTAGTAGTCTATCAATTTTTGTTTATCTTCTTAAACAACCAACTTTTGGCTTTGTTGATCCCTTGTGTGATATTTTAGTCTCAATTGTATTTAGTTCTGCTCTGATCTTTATTTCTTTACTTCTGCTAGTTTTGGGTTTGGTTCGTTCTTGTTTTTCTAGTTTGTTAGGTACATCATTTGGTTGCGAATTTGAGATCTATCTTTTTGATTTATGAATTTAGTACTATGAACTTTCCTCTTAACACTGCTTTTGCTGTATCCTAGATTTGATATGTTACATGTCTATATTCATTTCCAATTCTTTTTTATTTCGGCCTCAATTTTGTTAAAGTCATTCAAGAGCAAGTTGTTTGGTTTCCATTTACGTATGTGGTTTTGAGAGTTCCTTTCAGCATTCATTTCTAATTTTATTCTGCTATATTCTGAGAGGATACCTGATATTATTTTGATTTTTAAAAATCTATTGAAATGTGCTTTGTGACCAAGCATATTGTCAATTTTAAAGAAAGTTCCATGCACAGATGAGAAAAATGTATATTCTTTGGTTGTTGGGTGGAATGTTCTTTAGGTGTCTATCCATTTGGCAGAGCCCGTTTTAAGTCAAGTTTCTTTGATAGTTTTCTCCTTCAGTGATCTGTTTGGTGTTTTCTCTGGGATGTCGAAGTTTCCCACTATTATTGTATGGCTTTTTATTTTATTTTCTTAGGTGTAGTAGTACTTTTATAAATCTGGGTGCTCTGGTGTTGGGTAATGTATATATTTAGGATAGTTAAATCTTCTTATTGAGTTGAAGTCTTTATCATGTATCATACCCTTCTTTGTCTTTTTTTACTCTTGTTGGTTTAAAGTCTATTTTATCTGACATAAGAATAGCAACCCCTGGTCTTTTTTGTTCCCCATTTGCATGATATATCTTTCTCCACCCCTTTACTTTGAGCTTGTGTATGTCTTTATACATTATGTGGGTCTCTTTTAGGCAGCAGATGGTTGAATCTTGTTTTTCTTACCCAATTTGCTAATCTATCTCTTTCAAGTATTTATGTTCAAGGTTAATATGCATATGTGAGGTTTTGTTCCTTGCCTAATATTGTTAGCTAGTTGCTTTGTAGCCTCAATTATGTAATTATTTTATAGGATGTGTGAACTTTGTACTTACGTGTGCTTTTGTGGTAGCAAGTATCATCTTTCTGTTTCCTTTTAGCATTTTTGGTGTACTGGTCTAGTGGTGACAAATTTCCTTAGCATTTGTTTGTTTGGGAAATACTTTATTTCTGCTTCATTTATGAAGCTTAGTTTAAAAAGATACACGCTTTGGGAGGCCGAGGCAGGCAGATCATAAGGTCAGGAGATCGAGACCATCCTGGCTAACATGGTGAAACCCCGTCTCTACTAAAAAAATAAATAAATAAAATACAAAAAATTAGCGGACATGGTGGTGGGTGCCTGTGGTCCCAGCTACTCGGGAGGCTGGGGCAGGAGAATGGCGTGAACCTGGGAGGCGGAGCTTGCAGTGAGCTGAGATTGCACCACTGCGCTTCAGTCTAGGCGACAGAGCGAGACTCCGTCTCAGAAAAAAAAAAAAAAAAAAAATTATTGGCTGGCATTATTTTTCTTTAAGAAGTCTAAAACTAGATCCCTGTCTCTTCTGGCTTGTCAGTTTCTGCTAAGAAATCTGCTGTTAGTCTGATAGGATTTCCTTTATAGGTGATTTGATCCTTTTTTCTAGTGGCGTTTAAGATTTTTTCTTTAGCATTGACCTTGGATAGTCTGATAACTATATACCTTGGTGATGTTCACCTTATATCATATCTCACTGGTGTTCTGGATTTCTTCCACATGGATTTCTATATCTCTAACAAGATCAGGGAAATTTTCCTGAATTCTTTCTACCAATATGTTTTCCAAATTGCTTACTTTTTCTTCTTCTTTCTCAGGAATACCTATAAATTATAGATTTGGTGACTTCACATAGTCCTGTATTTTTAAAAGGATTTGTTCATTTTTTAAAATTCTCTTTTCTATTTTTGTCTGACTGGGTTAATTCGAAAAATGCCTCTCCTACATCCACAACAGTGGACTGAGGGAGCAGGAGATGACCCCCCTCTACATCTGTTACCAACCACCAGTACCACCCCATTCAGTGATCAGTTTGTACCTGCATTTCCTTTGTCCCAAGGGGGTTCTTAGTGGGCCGCACTTCCCCCTCTTCTAGGGGCAGCCTGTGCTTAGGGCTGAATGTCTGGAAATCCCACAGCTCCCCAGGGACCTGCTGGTCCCCTGTGGTTGTCAAGTCAGAGCAGGTTCTGGGCTATGTTTGCAGGGTACTGGTGATTGCAACAACTTGGGCTGAGATTCCCCATGCAGGGTAGTAGCCCACAATGAATGCACAACCAGTATGGTGTCTGTCCTCTCAGCTCAGGCTTGAGGGGAGTGAGGGGATACCTGCACAAACTAGCCACTCTGTGCTCTGTCCCCAGGAAGATCCTAAATCCGCACTGACAGCATTGCCTGGGGTCATGAAGGTAGAAAGGCTCCCTGACAATTTGGCAGTCAGCAGCTTATTGCAGGGGTGAAGGGAGAAGAGAAGCACCCCAACCTACCCTTCAGGCGGGATTCAGAGGTTCTCGGGAGTCAATCTCTGCGAGACTCTTGCTGCTTTCCTTTTCTGCAACCCCACATCAACCAGTGGGGTCTCCAACAGATCCTGGCTATCTTCCCTAAGCTTTCCATTCAGATCATGACCATTCATCTATGTCTTTGATCTTCTCTCTGAGGATAACTGACATCCAAAATCCCTAGTCAGCCATCCAGATTCCTCCTAACCAACAATTTTGATACATGGTGGTTGGATATTCAGTTCTAATTAAAAACATAAAGGAATGGATCAACCAATCTTCAACAAAGGTGCTAAGAAATCACAATGGAAGAAGGATTTTGTCTTCTGTAAATGGTATTGGGAATAGTGGATATTTGACTAGTAATTGTGATGAATTGCTAGAGGCTGAGTGTTGGGCCATCAGAGAGTGAGAAACTCCTGGCATCGATCTCCATTTACCCAGTTTCCCAGATATTTCCCTTGAGGTTTTCACTGCTGACATCCTTTTCTACATGCTGATAAAAAACACTCTTAAAACCAAGTCAGTAGTGTATTTCAAAAGTTAATTCAGTTATTTATCTAAATCCATGAGAAATTTCTACTAAAGTTTCAGAGACTTTTCATCTTTTATCTAGTAGTTACTTAAATTATGTAAGAGATAAAAATGGTTCCCTGATGTAAACTTCATCACAGTGGTTTCTATTTAAAGACGAAAGGACTGAAATTCTGAAATGTCTGGAATCTGACCTTGAAATGAGAATAATTTTTTGTTATTCAGAATTGAGCCAAAGAATTGAGCCAAGGAAGTATCTTGCCTTCCTTTCTTGTCTTTATTAATTGTTTTGGGGAGCCTACTCTGTACAGAGTTGCATATTAGGCCTACTATAGGACTTATAAAGATGGTTTATAAATTTTTGCCCCCAAGAAAATTAAATCACACTTAAAACTATTCAGAGCATGTGATATCCGTAGAATTATCTTTTATCACTGATGATTTGTATATGTTCAACCAAATGCATCAGATATAAAAGTGACATACTTTGTACTTAAAAGGTGTTTGTAAAATTAGTTCAAATAGAAGATTTTTTTTTTTTTTTTTTTTTTTTTGAGACAGAATCTTGTTCTGTCGCCAGGCTGGAGTGCAGTGGCACAATCTCAGCTCACTGCAACTTCCGCCTCCCAGGTTCCAGCGATTCTCCTGCCTCAGCCTCCCAAGTAATTGGGACTACAGGCATGCGCCACCACTGCCGGCTAATTTTTTGTATTTTTAGTAGATACAGTGTTTCACCGTGTTAGCCAGGATGGTCTCAATCTCCTGGCCTTGTGATCCACTTGCCTTGGCCTCCCAAAGTGCTAGGATTACAGGTGTGAGCCACCGTGCCCAGCCCACATAGAACTTTCTAAGGCAAAAAATATGCATCATTTTGATACCAGTTATTTGTACTGATTTCATTTGATAAAATTGCAATATTTTATAAATTGACAGGCATTTTTTACTTCCTTCTTTTCTTACCCTTCTACCCTTCGTTAGTTTTTAATTTGTTTGAATTGTTCATAGGCAATGTTTCGGCTCAGTGACTTGGGAAGTAGAGCTTTCCTAGAAAAGTCAATGCCCATGACCGTTGTTGGATAATTACGTTGCATAGCCCTCAAGTTGTTATGAATAGATATGATTGTTTAGCTCAAATGAAGTGTAACATTAGAGCTAAACAATCATATCTGTGTATTGGATGTTGATTTTCTGAAAATTTTTTTATTTCACTTTCATTCTTAGAGAATATTTTTAATGGAGGTCTAGGTTAATGGTTATTTTCTGCACTATAGTCTAGTTTCTATTGTTTATGTTGAAAATTCAGTTATCAGTATAATTGTTCTTTAAAGGATAATCTGTTTTGCTGAGATTACTAATTTCTCTTTGTCTTTGGTTTTTCATCTTCGATTTATGATGTACCTGGTGTCTTTTTTTTTTTTTTTTTTTAAATTCTCCTTGGAGGGCTTCTCAGATATTCACTTAACACCATTGGTTTGTTTTGGAAAATTCTGAGCCATTATCTCTAAAAATATTGTTCTGCTCCTTTTCTCTTTTCTCTCTTTCTGGGATTTCAGTTATTCATATTTTAGAAGATATTTTTACTATCATTTATGATCTTTCACCTTCTCTCTTTTCTTGTCTGCCTTTTGTTCTGTTTTCTTTTAATCTCATTTCTAACCATTTTTCTAATTCTCTCTTCAGTTGCGTCTAATCTGCTTATAAACCTATCCATTGAGCTTTTAATTTTGATTACTGTATTTTTCAGTTCTAGAATTCCATTTAGTTCTTTTTCTATTTTTCAATTCTCTGACAAAATCTTGATTTTATTTTAGAGCTTCCTGAATTTATTATTTATAGTTTTCAAGTCTGTCTTTATACCATAGGAGCTTCTGTGGATCTGGTTCAGTCTGTCTTCATGCCATAGGAGCTGCTGTGGATCTGGTTCTGTCGTGTATTTTCCCCCTTTTTTTGATTGTTTGTTTTGTTTTTATATTATATTGTCTCCTTGAGTATCTGATAATTTTTTATTGATACTAGCTATTGTTTTTTTTAATTTTATAGAAAAATGTTGAGGTCTGGATTACTTTCTACAGAGAGTACTTTTCTACAGAGAAAAATGTTGAGGTCTAGGATAACTTTCTACAGGGAGAACTTATGTTTGCTTCTGGCAGGCAGCTAGGGCTCTAGCACTCCTGGATCACCTGTCATCAATTTTTAGAGATTGAGGTGATGTGAAGTTGTGCTTCAGGCCATTGAGAGCTGTATTATATCTGGTTCGTACTTCTTTCTGTAGTATAGCCTTTTGGGTCAACCTGGAGAGCTCATTAACTTCTAATAAACCCTGGAGAGTTTATTAGCCTCTACCTAACCTTGGCAGGCACTGGCCTCCATTTTTTGTCCTCCAAGCCTCTTGAAGATTGCGACTTCTTAGGCTCTCCTTTACTTTTCTTGAAGTTGGTGTTACTGCTAATTCCAGGCAGAAGCCCCAGATTCCAAGCTCAGCTTTCTGGGTTTCTCTTTTCCTCAGCTTCTCAACTTGACCTCTTAAATCTTCATTGACATTTTGGTTCTTCAGTGCTGTTAAGCAGGTATTTTTTAAAGTTTGTTTAACTTTTCTAGTTATCCTCAGTTAGACAATTTGTTCAAATGGCATAGTTCTCCACTGTCAGAAGCAAGAGACCAATTTCCACAACATTTAAAAAATGAAAACATGTTATAGTTTCCAGTTTATGACTGTTACAATATTTTGTGTCTATGCTTACTATATTGCCACTTCTGTAAGTTCAGTAAGCATAGTGATTAGCCAGAATATCATGATAGGTGCCGTAAGTTCTGTATGAAAGACTATATGGTAGGAAAATATATATCTTAACAAGCCTTTTGAGGATTTTAGCTATTCATTTTGCATACTGATCAACTATATGCAGCATTGCATGAGCTCTTTAGGTATGGGGTAGCCTGTAGTACCTGCTATCTGCTAAGCTTTATTTTTTATTGAGAAATTTTAACAAATGGATAAAACATGAGGAATGAAGAGTTCTATTTTGGACCTCTTGGGTTTGAGATACCCATGTGATGTCCTAGAGGAGATGTGTGGACAATTGGACAGACATTTGGAGTTCAGAGGATTATCAATAAAAACCTATTGATTGAAAGTGTGTATAGATGATATTTATGAAAGGAAGAAAAACTCAGATTGAGCAAGTGATAATCCAGCATTTATAGTTCTTAGGGCAGAAGAGGAGTTGAGAAGAAAGGTAGATAAGGAAGAAAGGAAAACAACAGAAATAGGGGAGAGGGGTTTCCTAGAACTAACAAAGAGAATTAGTCACCTGTTGAGCCATTGGGTAATAGAAAGACAGTTAATTGGCCATGGGATTAGCAATATGGAGCCATAAGCGACATTGTCCATAGCTAATCCCTCTTTTCTTCAGTAGGAAGACAAGTTTAGAAGGATAAGGGGAAATTAGGAAGTGGATATGGCCAGTGTCTTTATATATAAACATTCTGTCGGTTTTGCTGTGAAGTGGAGAGACAAAAGGAGTCATAGCTAGGGGATGATATGGAATGAAAGGAGATTATCTTGTGTCCCCACCAGTGATTGGGGGGTGTGACCTGATTAAGAAGATAATTGTGGTGTATATATGTACTTTTTTTTTAATTCAAAAGAAAGGGTTCATAGAGTACAGACTTAAGTTAAACTGAATTCGAAGTCTATTCTGCCACGTAGTTGGTGTGCTTGTAGGCAGATTATCTAGCCACCATTTATTTTTTCCAACAGGGAAAGTACCAGGTTCATAGCCACCATTTTCTCATAGAAATGGTTCCTGTTTAAGGGCTTTTGTGGATATATAACTAAATCAGAAGTGTACGTAAAGTACCTGACTCATAATAAGTAATCAGTGCACCTTAGCTGTTGGGTTTGTTTGTTTTAGTCACTTTTAAATTCTAAATAGGGTATATGTTCAGAAACTATTAAGAACTGTTTGTGGATAAAGCCATGTTTCTTAGCATAGCATACATAGCCCTGGCTGTTGCTGTACCTCCCTACCCCAAAATTCAGCCTTAGCAAACTGCTTGCTTGCTGGTACTAGGAAATACCTCTGAAATCAACTGAAAATACTGCATAGTACCTTCAGTTGATCACCTTAGAAGATCTTGCAGTTCTCACTCCCACCTGCCGTGTAGCCTATCCTCATTATCTGTCAGGGCCAACTTATCTTTCAAACTGCAGCTTAAGGTCACCTCCTCCCTTAAGGCTTTTCCTGACATCTAGCCTGTCAAACCTCATTCTGTATTTGACCTGCCCATTCCTCCTCTGTGGTCTCATTTTATTTAGCCTGTTACCACCCTACCACGCCTCTTCATTGGACTTAATGATTCACACATCTCTCTGTTTTTACTGGCCTGTAATATCCTTAGAAGTCATCTTTTTTTTTTAAATCCCCAACATAGCACTTGATCCATAGTAGGTGTTCCATAAGTGATTGTTGAATAAATGAATATATGTAAGGTTAAATGACCCACTTATATTATTGTCACCACTACCTTTTACATATTTTAATGTTTTAATCACTTAACTTATTTTTTAATTGCCAAGATTATTATTTTACGAAGAATACACATTATAAAATCAAATAAATATGTGGTTTTTGCTTTGACTAGAAAAGCATTATTTTGTGGATTTTGAGACCAGGAATTATAAATAGACACTGTTCTAAAAGGCCATTTGTAATCTATTTGTCAGAAATTTGGAATATACTTTATAAAAAAAGCCAGGCTGTGCAAGTGTTAGTGGTGGTAAAGATGATTATTATCATCGTAATAATAATCAGATTTCAGACTGGTACTTACAAAAGACTTGTTTAAACCATATGTCATATAACTTGAGAGCCTACCTTTTTGGGGGGACTAAGAATAGGGCAATAATGTGGTTTAGGTAGGAAAAGCAGGAAGACAGTGTATTCTATATTTGACTTGGCTGAATTCTCTCTTTGGTATCCCCTATACTTTTCTCTGCTGTTTCTATTCTACTTTTGAATTTAAAGATTATTCCAGAATACTGAGTTTTTACGGTTTTCTCCCATGGTAAGAACAGTGGAGCTGTGTTGAGCAATTGGGGTACAGAGAGAAGCCTTGGTACAACCATTTGCATAAATGTGCAATTTGTAAATTTAGTGTTTTGATATTAAAGAGGTACTTAAACAGTTGTCTTTAAATTTGTTTTCTATATACAGGGAAGTTTAAGTCCGAGAGTGAGAGAGTTTTCTGACCTGCTTTGCTTAGTGGATAGGATTTTATTGATGGATAGCCAGCTGTATGACAGCCGCCACATCTTAAAAGAGAAATTATGTTGTAGAAAGATTAAGAGGAAGGTAGAGAAAACACTCTCACTTCCATCCACACATCTATGGTTTCAGTGTTTTTTCCATCTGTAAGTCAAGATGACTGAAGTAGTTGAGCATTTCCTAACCTGTTGTAAATTTGTAAACCCTTTCCTAAGTGATACAATCTCATGATTTCCTCATAGAAAGATTGAAAATTATTTTTTTCACTTTTACATAGTATATAATAAGTGGTTTTAAGTTTAAGGTTATATTAGATAAGTATATTATTAAAGATTGGATTGTCAAGTTCATTTTAGTATAACCCCTTAGTAACTTTTTTTTTTTTTTTTTTTTTTGAGATAGAGTCTCGCTCTGTTGCCCAGGCTGGAGTGCAGTGCCACAATCTTGGCTCGCTGCAACCTCTACCTCCCGGGTTCAGGCAATTCTCCTGCCTCAGCTTGCTGAGTAGGTAGGACTACAGGCGCACGCCACCACGCCCAGCCAATTTTTCTATTTTGAGTAGAGACAGGGTTTCACCATGTTGGCCAGGATGGTCTCGATCTCCTGACCCCCTGATCCACCCACTTCAGCCTCCCAAAGTGCTGGGATTACAGGTGTGAGCCACCGCGCCAGGCCACACCTTAGTAACATATATACTTTGTAAGGAAATTGTTTATGTTTTCTCTGTATAGCAGATAACATATATTATTTAATTACATAAGAAAAGATTATTTCCTGAGAAATTTTAAAGTATTTATTATATTTCTTTATGTACTCAGGCATCAAAAATAGTCAAAACTCTTTTCACATCTGGATGTTTGGAATTCTTGAAATTTGACCTTTAGGAAAATCTACTCTCCTTGTTTTTATTTGGTTTCCAAATGATGAGGTAAGATAGGATGTTTCAGGATTCTTTTTGCAGGCACTTTTCTACAGTTTCACATTGCAGGTGTGGATAACCAATTAGGATAAAATTATATTTATATCTTGAGATATCTTAATTTTTTTACATAAGAAATTTGATCAGAGGAATACAATTCACAGATATTATTTTGGAGAGAACCTATGGAATTGTCATTTTTATGTTCTTCTATAACTTTTAAAGTTCAAAATTTGTGGTGATCCATTATGGAGATAAATTAAACACAATATACTAAAAATGATAGCTAAAAACATTGTATGTGTCTAAACCACAGCCCCTGGCAGTGTTCATCTAAAGTGTAAACTATAACTGTGTCAGTGGCTACTCCTTACCACTCAACTTGAAATACACATGGAGCTGCTCCACGTTTTATTTTTAAGAGTTGCAAAATTTAAAACTTAGAAAAATATGATTAAAAAATAAATTAGAACATTTACTCTTTAACAATCTGAAGTTGAAATACCTTCTCCCATCTGGGGTGGGAAAACACTGACGGTTCCTTCCAGCTGTGTGATTTTTGGACAGCAGAACAGAATCCTCCAATGGTGTAATGAGAGAGGTAGGCAGCCTGTCAGTCCCTTTAGAGCAGAGAGCTTCATTCACTTCATGTAGAGGGTTCCCGCTTTGAGCAACAGCAACACTAAAGCTGAGCGAGGGCGAGTGTGCTCCTCAGGGTATGAGGAGCTGTGGACTGTGGTAAAAATCAGACCCAGCTCAGAAAATTTCCTTGGGCTCCTCTTTTCCTGCACATATTATTTTTGTAATTTATTTATTTATTTTTTTGGTTGTCTTATACACTTTGTTTTGGAATAATCCCTAAATGTATAGAAAAATGATAAAGACAATATAGAGTGATCCTGAATATCACCCTAATGTTCACATCTTACATTATTATGGTACCTTTGTCACATCTAAGAAACCAACATTGGCACATTCCTATTAACTAACCACAAGACTTCATTTAGCTTCTACCAGTTTTTATACTAATGTCCTTTTCCTGTCCCATAATCCCATTCAGGATACCACATTGCATTTAATCATCACATTCAATTAGTCTTTTCTGGTCTGTGACAATTTCTCACTTGGAGTGCTAGCCACGTATTTTATAAAATGCCCCTCCATTTGGCTTTTGTCTGATGGTTTTCCATGACTAGACTGCAGTTGTGGTTCACTTCACAGAAGTGAAGAACTAGTTTTATCACATCATATGAGGGGTACATGCTGTCAACATGACATCACTGCTAATATTAACCTTGATTACCTGACCAACATAGCATTTGCCATGTTTCTCTACTGTAAAGTTACTCTTATTCCCCTTTGCATACTCCGTTTTTTGAAAGCAAGTCACTAAGTCCAGCCCACTCTCAAGAGTGACGGGTAGGTGTTAAATTCCCCTGCCTGAAGTAGAAAAAAATATACTTATTTGGAAATCTTCCGTAAGAAATATCATAGACATACCATTTTGACCTTACTAATAGGTCTGTTCAGCAGTGTTAATTCTTCCCCTCACTCCTGAAGGAAAAGACGATATGCATGATTAATGAAATAACCAACTTAAATTATGCTCATAACTAGATTAAATGTATTTTTCACCACTGAATATAAAATTTAGAGTGCCAATGTTAAGTGAATAAAATATTTCCTATTCGTGTTTTGTTTCATGATAAAAGTAATGAAAAAGAAAAACTTGTGTGAAGATTAGGTAGAATAGAGAATTCAGGCATTTTCCCTTTACTATTTTCAATAAGATTTTTTAAAGACATCTTCGATTTTTATACAGGTACTTGTTTTCTCTCCTTTCTAGCTCTCATAACTTTTCTGAATTTGTATTTTGCTTTCATCATACTCCATTTTGAAGGACTCAGTCTACAATTCTACCACTTGCTTTGCAATCCACTGGTACCATAAAGCATGGCTAATTCAACCTAATGGGATTATTAATAGTTCCCTACAAACACTACATAAGCCATTTTAGGATAGCAAGGGTTTCTTGTAGTATTAAAGATACATCTAAAAAGTCATGTTTTATAATAAACCATTTTGTCTCCTTTTCTTAAGGATTAGGTTATTGAATGACCATAATAATCATTAGTAAGGGATATAGAATATTTCCATGAACAGGATTATCTACTCATTGTTTTAAAAATTAAGGAATTAGGCTTATTAACTTCAGAAATTTAATTTTCTTGAGATATAATTTATATACAATAAAATATGTATATTTTGTATAGAGTTTGATGCATTCTGACTCATATATACATTTGTATAATTGCCATTCCAATCAGGATACAGAGCATTTCCAGGAAGTTTCTTTGGAGGCAGTCCTCCCCATCTCTACCTCCCACCCAAGAAAACTAATGATCTGATTTCTGACACTATAGGTTAGTTTTAGAAAGGCAGTTATTTTATATTACTCACATTTTTTCTCTCTAGCTACCTTCATGATTTCCCTTTTATATTTCCTTTTTAATAGTTTGACTATGATGTGGTAGATTTTGAAGTAGGCGGAGTATTTATCTCACTGAACTTATTGGATCTGTGTTTGATATCCTTCATTATTTTTTGAAAAATTATTGGTCATTATCTCTTCAAATATTTCTTCTGCTCCATTGTCTCTCCTCTTTCTCTGGGACCCCAATTATGAGTATGTTGGACCATTTGATAATGTCTTACAGTTTGTGGATGCCCTGTTCCTTCTCCCCCGACACAGTTTTTTTCTCTTTGTGTTTCAGTTTAGGTAAATTCTATTGACTACTGTTCAAGTTCAGTGATATTTCCTTAGTTATGTCAGAAGCTGATGAACACACCAAAGTAATCTTCCTCATCTCAGATACTGTCTTTTAAAACTTTTAATATTTCCATAGTTTTAATTGATCTACTGAAATATCCTATCTACCCATTAATGTTGTTTATCCTTTTCACTAGATCCTTTAACAGTTCAATCTTAGTCATTTTTAAGTCCCTGTCTGATAATTCCAATGTATGAATCATCTGTGAGTCTGTGTCTATTGATTAACTTGTCTTTTAGCGCTGGGTTGTTTGGGGGCTTCTTGTTTGTTTGTTTGTTTTGTATATGAGATTTATAATTTTTGATTGAATGCTGGACATTGTGTGAACATTAGGCACTGAGGCAAACAGTATTTACACCTCAAAATGGACTTGCCTCTTCTACTACGCTGTAATTGTGTGAGGTTGAATCAGTCTAGTCAGCAGCTTAGCTGGATTTGGGTTTTGCTACCTATGGTAGACCATAGGCTTCAAATTCTTCTAGTGCTAGAGTGTTGTTGCCTAGTGCTTAGGGATGCTGTGCTGGCTAAGTTTTCCTCAGGATTACTGCTCCAGCTAATGTTTCAGCTGTCCCTGCATGCATGTACCACAGAGAGGGTATAGCACCACACTCTTGCTCTTCCCCTAGCAGAAGACTGCTGTTGCTTAGCATTATGTGGTTTGCTTCTGTTGGGCCTGGAGGCAGGGTATAGTTCTCTGTTCTGGCTCAGTCTCAGCCTTAGAGAAGCCATGTACACCAGGGTCTTGGGGATATTTTCTGCTTTACTGGTTCTCCTCCCTGTGACAGTTGAATACTGCCTTTACTTGCAGCTGACATTAGCAGAAGTTTTCTGCCCCTCTTAGAGCAGTAGAAATTCTCCAAAAAATAATGAAAGATATCAAACACAGTACCATCTACTTGGTATTGGTATAGGATCTTAGGCCCAAAGCAGTCTTGTGCCCATAATAGAGTTTTTCTTCCACCTTTTTCCCAACCACATATTGTCCTTTATGGTGCCTGTTGGACTTGCTGCCCTTCCTCCAGCTGCTTAAGCCTTTTGTTTCATTAGCATGAAGAGTCTGAGGAAGCAGGTAGCACCGAAGCACTGTGGGCTAGGAGGATTTGTTGTTCCCCCTAGAGGGACAGATACATCCCAAGTCTATTTTCCTCTTGCCTGGCTGACTGTCCTGTGATCTTCTCACTTCTCCAAGTGCAGCATCTGGACCAAGATATGAAAGGGGCCCTTTTTTTGCCCCGTGTAATTTTAGAAAGTTTATAAGAACTTTAGATATAATTTTAATACAGTTCTTTATCTTACTGAATTGAAGACTAGGGCACATATATGCTACAAAATGTCCAGAGAACTACAACTAAAATCTGAAGTTTTGATTTATAGTATAGTTTCTGTTATAATATGTGGACCGGTTTCAGTATAAATACTAGTGTCTCATAGAGTGAATTGATGCATACGACTATAAAAATTAAGTCTTTTGTTACTTGAGCTTTTCGTTTCCAACAAATTCTCAATACAAATAATTAAGTTTAGTCTCATAGATTATGTTTCTTTGCTATTTCCCTTGACTGTTTATAACATTCATGACATACTTTTCAATTAACTGTGTTTTTATTCATGGGCGTTATAGACTTTAAAGAAAAAACTTGATAGAATATATCCAAAGACAGGCACCACTATAAAATCTAGACTTTATTATTTTTGTGATTGAAACTCACCACTCTAAATATTAGAAATGGCTTCCATCTGTTTCATTGCAAAATGGGTAAAAGTATATTCATGAGCTTTCTTCTCTTTAATGATATAAATTTTCTACTTAAATGTAAGCCACTAAGTACTAAATGTAAAATATAGTTTAAGTAAATAAAATTACATGATAAAATGTATTTAGAAGTAAAATATTAACAGTTGCATTCAAGCCCTGTGTTTTCCAGTGCTCTTATACTTTTTACTTAAAGGAATTTATCTAAAAATTCGTGGATATAAGAGATAATGTATCAAAATACCATCAGCTCTCTTAAAGTTTATTACTAAATAATCTAAGTAATTAAATAATAATATTCTAAAATGTTTTCTGACATTCTAAATTATAACCACGTGAAAGGGCATTAAAGCATCCCATTTGTTTATTTTCTGCTGATAAGCTTTAGGTAACAGCTCTGAAATGCCTACTGGAAGGGCAGGGAGGTTGGAAAGGAAATGGACTTTTTGCTGTACTTTTGCTAGAATACATTTAACTCCTTAGAGATTGGAGATTAGTTTCATAGTATAAAAATACCACTACCTTTCACTGCAGCATCAAGGAGTTTACTTTGTGGAATTGTTTTATCCTGTATGTCTAGCTTTCATAACTTTACAAAGAGGAAAGTGTGTGTGTGTGTGTGTGTGTGTGTGTGTGTGTGTGCGCGCGCGCGCGCGTGCGTGCGTGTGTGTGTGTGTGTGTGTGTGTTTACTAGTGGGACTGGGTCTAAATTTATGTGATCTAAGTGAAAGTTAATTTGCTTGAAACCCTTCTTGTTTGCTTGAAACCCACAAGCTGAGGATCATACCTAGGGGACCTCTCTCCCATCCAAGTACTAACCAGGCCCGACCCTGCTTCGCTTCTGAGATCAGGTGACATTGGGCGCATTCAGGGTGGTATGGCCATAAGCCCTAGGACACCTTTCTGAACTCTTTAACTTGAAGTCAGCCTTTCTTGATTCATAAAGGCGATAGAAAGAATCTGTAAACATCTCTATGTTTTATGGTCAGGTATAAGAATTCTAAATTGAGTGGTCAAAACCTGGACCAGTTTATTAAAAGAGATTACTGCAATGAAGCAGAAAACTAACCGACTTCCAGTCATTTGTTGTTAAAGAAGTCATAACTAGTGTCAGCTGGTATGTGAAAGCCAAATTACCAAGTGTTCCCACCTTTTACTCTGAAGAATGAACTTTTCAAAGTCAGTGCAAAGAACTATAGTTTTGGTAAAGGCAATTTTACTGAATAGTCCAAAATGTTATTGTACTTCCAGAAATATAGAGCAGTTTCCCTATAATAATAAAACCTCTTGATTGATGCCTCCCAAAATGTGAGCATCTCAGAAGGGGAGGGGAACTCATGGATTAATTGACAGGTGAGAACCAGAAAAAGCCCCCAACTCCCAGTAAATTTGCAATTTCAGTGTTTGCCTTATAAAAATCTTCTTGCTTTAAGCAAAATTTCTTTTACTCGATATGCATTTCCAGCCCTCTAATTTTTCTTTCCTTATGAGTCTGAAGGCACAAAGACAGTGAACAGTAGAAAGAAAAGATTATTCTATCCTCATCTTCATAGTTATACAAATGGTAATTTCTTGGCCCTAAAATAGTCAAAGTAAGTTTGTAAAATTCGATATGTTCATGCTGTTTTTTCTTCTTATTTATTTAACATAAGTAGAGATATTTAGCTTCAGGAAGTGTCATTGTAAGGGTGGGGATACCAATTTATTTGTTTCTCTTTATAGAAGAATTCTAGCTTAAAAATATTAAATAACATATAGTAGATATTCTTCCAGTGTATTTTTCACTATTAATGTGAAAATACTCCTTATCTTATTAATATTACATTAAAATGAAGAATTCTGAAAACTGCATAATGGCAGGAGGATTTACATTCTTATACTGATCAGATGTTAATACTTTCTTCAGAGAATTGGGGTTTTAGCATTCATTCCTTTTCATGCATCTGACAAAGGACTAATATCTAGAATCTACAAGGAATTCAAACAAATCAGCAGAAAAAAAACAATCCTATCAAAAAGTAGGCTAAGAACCCGAATAGACAATTCTCTAAAGAAGATATGCAAATGCCCAACAAACATATGACAAAATGCTCAACGTCACTAATGATCAGGGAAACGCAAATCAAAACCACAAAGACCTTTTTAAAAATTAACCTACTGAAATTAAATTGTTTTCATCATTCCCAGTGTTATCAAAAAGAATAACGGGTTTTGAACAAGCATTTGGCACTTTGATGACAGGAATCTAAATCAGCTTCAGTGATGAACTCAATAATTATAAGATTCTGGTTTGATTGAGACATACACCTATCTTTGATGTCCTGGTTTGGTTCAGGCATACTGAGGATAACTTAGAGTAATCTTATTTCTTTTGGAAAGGCACAAGAATATACATAATGCTCCAAAGATTCTTGATGTCATGAAAATCACTCTCATCCTAAAGGATTTGTTAGCCAGTGATCCCTCTGAAGCAAGTTCACATTTATTAGAATTTCAGAACAGTGTAGATAATGTGGATAATTTTAGTTCTAGCTGCATAAAATACCCAGAAGTTTATTATTACAATTAAATCTTGTTTTTTATTGCAAAATACCGTGGTGTTCTCTATAACTGTGTTGAATTTATAATGATCTAATTGAGAGGAATTTATCCCCAAAGGATAAGTGTTTACATTTTTTATTTTAAATTATTAAGGGCATATATTATTTTAATTACAGAGATAGTATATAAGTAAAAGATTCATTTTATTTAAATGTTTTCTTAAAAGTGTGTTGTGTCTCATTTTTCAACGTTTAGAGGATGCAAGAGAACCAACTCTGAAAATCATAAAAGGAAAGAATGAAACAATTATCTTATTTCTCTTTTACAAATTCTAACGCAAGGTAACTCATTGGTGCAGGACAGTTTCTCTTTATAGAAGAATTCCAGCTTTTAAAAAATGAAAATGGAATGATAGAATTGATATGTCACACTTTATAATCCCTAATGAAATAATGGACCTAGGTAGTGATCATTAATGACTGCTAAAACTGCTAAAACTTAAGTGAAACTTCATGAATGGAGAAGACTGATAACACCTGAACTTATTGCTTAATCTTATCACAAAGAAAGAAACATTCAGCCATTTTGTGCCTCATGATGTGATGCAATAAGAAATACATTCTCTATAAAACTGTCTTGCCAAAATATCAAACCCAGATTGTATTAAACCTCTGTAATTACCAGTTCATAGGAACTAGAGTACCAAGTTAGTTGACACTGTAGAAAGGCAATAAGCAGAATCCAGAATGAGGAAAGTGCTATGGGGGAAATGACCCAATTTCATCAGTGAATAAATGGAAAGAAAAAAGAATGAAGGAGAACTGTAGGTTAGAGGACATTTAAGTGATGTATCAACCAATTGCAATTTGTGAGTCGTGTATTTTCAGTCAACCAAACCAATTTTTAAAAAACTATTTGGGAGATGCTGGTGACATTTTCAACACTAACTGATATATGATGATAGTAAAGAATTATTGTTATATTTTTCAGGTGTCATGTAGCTTAATAAGAATTCTTATCACTTAGATATACATACTTAAAGGTATTTTGGGATGAAATCATATGGTATCTTGAATTTACTTTAAGACAACCTAACAGAGGTACACGAGATACATATATAGATGAAAAGATTAATAATTATTGAAGTCGAGTGATGAGTATAGCAGTTTGTTATACTCACCTCTCTACTGTTACATGTGTCTGAAAATTTCCATAAGAATGAAAAACTAAACTTAGGAATATCAGATAAATAAATATAGTAAACATTAGGTAAATTACTATAATAAGAATACAATGTAATATAGATACAAAAGGATCTTACAGAAATCTTACAGAAATATTAGCAAATTCAGAATATATAAAAAGTTGCAAAACTAACATTGGAATTATCAGTTTAATTTATGATATTAGCAAATAATTTATGATTATTTCAGTGGATGCAGAAAAACCCAATTAATAAAACCCAGCATCTGTTCATAATAAAAACCATAGGAAACTAGGAATAGAAAAGAACTTCTTTAATCCCATTATAGGATATCTCCAAAGCTTCACACTCTTGGCTAAAGTATTCTCTTTGACACTGAGAATAAGACAAGGAGGCTTATTGTCACCACTTTTTTTCATTACATTAAAATCAGTTGTATATCCAGATCCCAACACAATCAATTGGAAACTTACAAAATGCAAGTACCTAGGGATAAATTAACAAAACCTATTGCAAGCTTTCTGTGCAAAAAAAAAGTGCACAAGATTGAGAGAAATAACTGAAGACCTAAATAAATGGGAGCTATATTATGTTCCTGGTGGAAGACAGTATTTTAAAGGTGCCATCTCTTCAAATTAATTATATAAATTCAGTGCAATTCCAACCAAAATTTTATTTATTCAGTTTTCTATTTCAATAGGTTTTTGGGAAACAGTTGATGGTGGTTACATGAATAAGTTCTTTGGTGGTGATTTCTGAGATTTTGGTGCACCCATCACCTGAGCAGTGTACACTATACCCAGTGTATAGTCCTTTATCCCTCACCCGCTCCCACCCTTTCCTCCGCGTCCCCAAAGTCCAGTGTATTATTCTTATGCCTTTGTGTCTTCATAGCTTAGATGCCACTTATGAGTGAGAACATTGGTTTTCCATTCCTGAGTTACTTCACCTAGAACCTCCAATTTCATCCAGGTTGCTACAAATGCCATTATTTCATTTCTTTTTATGGCTGAGTAGTATTCCATGGAGAGTGTGTGTGTGTGTGTGTGTGTGTGTGTGTGTATCACATTTTCTTTTTCTTTATCCACTCTTTGATTGATGAACATTTGGGCTGGTTCCACATTTTAGCAGTTGCAAATTGTGCTGCTATAAATGTGTGTGTAAGTATCTGTTTTGTATAATGACTTCTTTTCCTCTGGGTAGATACTCAGGAGCAGGATTGCTGGATCAAATGGTAGATCTACTTTTAATTTTTTAAGGAATCTCCACACTGTTTTCCATAGTGGTTGTACTAGTTTACATACCCACCAACAGTGGAAAAGTGTTCCCTTTTCACCACATCCACGCCAACACCTATTTTTTTTTATTTTTTGATTATGGCCATTGTCGCAGGAGTAAGGTGGTATCACATTATGGTTTTGGTTTGCATTTCCCTGATCGCTAGTGATGTTGAGCATTTTGTTACATGTTTGTTGTCCATTTGTATATCTTCTTTTTAGAATTGTCTCTTCATGTCCTTAGCCCACTTTTTGATGTGATTGTTTGTTTTTTTCTTGCTGATATGTTTGAGTTCCTTGTAGAGTCTAGATATTACTCCTTTGTTGGATGTATAGATTGTAAAGATTTTTTTCCCCACTCTGTGGGTTGTCTGTTTACTCTGCTGATTGTATTTTTTGCTGTATATAATTAAGTCCCATCTATTTATCTTTGCTTTTGTTGAATTTGCTTTTGAGTTCTTGATCATGAAGTCTTTGCCTAAACCAGTGTCTAGAAGGGTTTTTCCACTGTGCTTTTCTAGAATTGTTATGGTTTTGGGTCTTAGATTTAAGTTTTTCATCCATCTTAAGTTGATTTTTATATAAGATGAGAGATGAGGATCCATTTCGTTCTTCTACATGTGGCTTGTCAGTTGTCCCTGCACCATTTGTTGAATAGGGTATCCTTTCTCCACTTTATGTTTTTGTTTGCTTTGTCGAAGATCAGTAGGCTGTAAGTATTTGGCTTTATTTCTGGGTTCTCTATTCTGTTCCATTGGTCTGTGTGCCCGTTTTTATACCATTACTGTGCTGTTTTGGTGATTATGGCCTTATAGTATAGTTCAAAGTTGGGTAATGTGATGCCTCCAGATTTGTTCTTTTTGCTTAGTCTTGCTTTGGCTATGCAGGCTCTTTTTTGGTGCCATATGAATTTTAGGACTTTTTTCTAGTTCTGTGAAGAATGGTGGTAGTATTTTGATGGGAATGGCATTGAATCTGTATATTGCTTTTGGCAGTATGGTCATTTTTTAAATATGGATATTTTGTGGGATTTTTATAATATCCCATGTTATATGGAGCATGGGATGTGTTTCTGTTTGTGTCATCTGTGATTTCTTTCAGCAATGTTTTGTAGTTTTCCTTGTAGAAGTCTTTCACCTCCTTGGTTAAGTATACTCCTAAGTATTTTATTTTATTATTTTTTTTTTGCAGCTTTTATAAAAGGGGTTGAGTTCTTAATTTGTTCTCAGCTTGGTCACTGTTAGTGTATAGCAGGGCTACTCATTTTTGTACATTAATTTTGTATCCTGAAACTTTGCTGAATTCATTTACCATTTCTAGGAGCTTTTTTGAGGAGTCTTTAGGGTTTTCTAGGTATATGATCATGTCATCAGCAGAAGCAACAGTTTGACTTCCTCTTTGCCAATTTGGATACCCTTTAGTTCTTTCTCTTGCCTGATTGCTGTGGCTAGGACTTCCAGTATTATGTTGAATAGAAGTGGTGAAAGTGGGCATCTTTGTCTTTTTCCAGTTCTCAGGAGGATTGTTTTCAACTTTTCCCTGTTCAGTTTAATGTTGACTGTGGGTTTGTCATAGATGGTTTTTATTACCTTGAGGTATGTCCCTTCTATGGCAGTTTTGCTGAGGGTTTTAATCATAAAGAGATGCTGGATCTTGTCAGCTGCCTTTTCTGCATCTATTGAGATGATCATGTGATTTTTGTTTCTAATTCGGTTTATGTGGTGTATCACATTTATTGACTTGCATATGTCAAACTATCCCTGCGTCCCTCATATGAAACCCACTTGATCATGATTGATAATCTTTTTGACATGCTGTTGGATTCAGTTAGCTAATATTTTGTTGAGGATTTTGCATTTATGTTCATCAGGGATACTAGCCTGTAGTTTTCTTTATTTGTTATATCCTTTCCTGGTTTTGGTATTAGGGTGATACTGGCTTCATAGAATGATTTAGAGAGGATTCCATCTTTTGAAATAGTGTCAATTGGATTGGTACCAATTCTTTGAATGTCTGATAGCATTCAGCTATGAATCCGTCTGATCCTGGCCTTTTTTTGTTGGTAACTTTTTAATTACCATTTCAGTCTCACTGCTTGTTATTGGTCTGTTCAGAGTGTCTGTTTCTTCCTGGTTTAAACTAGGAGGGTTGTATATTTCCAGGAATTTATCCATCTCCTCTAGGTTTTCTAGTTT
The DNA here is from genome assembly GCF_000001405.40 of Homo sapiens. Taxonomy (NCBI): domain Eukaryota; kingdom Metazoa; phylum Chordata; class Mammalia; order Primates; family Hominidae; genus Homo; species Homo sapiens. Next base: position 116,184,665 of record NC_000006.12, read on the forward strand.
ATGCCCATAGAGGTGTTCATAGTAGCCTTGGATGATCTTTCATATTTATGTAGTATCAGTTGTAATATCTTCTGTTTCATTTCTAATTGAGCTTATTTGGTTCTTCTCTCTTCTTAGTTATTCTCACTAATGGTCTATCAATCTAATTTATCTTTTCAAAAAACCAGCTTTTTGTTATATTATGTTTTGTAATTTTTTTTGTTTCAATTTTTAGCTTTGCTCTGATCTTGATTATTTCTTTTCTTCTGCTGGGTTTGGGTTTGGTTTGTTCTTATTTCTCTAGCTCCTTGAGTGTGACCTTAGATTGTCTATTTGTGCTCTTTCAGACTTTTTGATGCTGTGAACTTCCCTCTTAGCACTGCCTTTGCTGTATTCTGGAGGTTTTGATAGGTTGTGTCACTATTATCATTAAGTTTAAAGAATTTTTAAATTTCCATCTTGAGTTCATTGTTGATCCAAAGATCATTCAGGAGCAAGTTATTTAATTTCCATGTATTTGCATGATTTTGAGGGTTCCTTTTGGAGTTGATTTCCAATTTTATCCACTATGGTCTAAGAGAGTACTTGATATAATTTCAGTCTTCTTAAATTTGTTAAGACTTGCTTTGTGGCCTATCATATGGTCTGTCTTGGAGAATGTTCCATGTGCTGATGAAAAGAATGTCTATTCTGCAGTTGTTGGGTAGAAAGTTCTGAAAATATCTGTTAAGTCCATTTGTTCTAGGGTATAGTTTAAGTCCATTGTTTCTTTGTTGTCTTTCTGTCTTGATGGCCTGTCTAATGCTGTCAGTGGAGTATTGAAGTCCCCCACTATTATTGTGTTGCTGTTGATCTCATTTTTCTTAAGTCTAGTAGTAACTGTTTTATAAATTTGGGAGCTCTACTGTTGGGTGCGTATATAGTTAAGATTGTGATGTTTTTCTGTTGGACTAGTCCTTTTATCCTTATATAATGTCCCACTTTGTCTTTTCTAACTGCCGTTGCTTTAAAGTTTGTTTTGTCTGATGTAAGAATAGCTACGCCTGCTTGCTTTTGGTATACATTTGCATGGAATATTTTTTTCTACCCCTTTACCTTTAGTTTGTGTGAGTCCTTATGTGTCAGGTGAGTCTCTGGAAGACAGCAGATACTTGGTTGGTGAATTCTTAGCCATTCTGTCATTCTGTATCTTTTAAGTGCAGCATTTAGGCCCTTTACATTCAACGTTAGTATTGAGATGTAGCATACTATTCTATTCATCCTGCAAGTTGTTTCCTGAAAACCTTGGATTTTTTTCATTGTATTGTTGTTTTATAGATCCTGTGAGATTTATGCTTTAAGGAGGTTCTATTTTGGTGTATTTCAAGGATTTCTTTCAAGATTTAGAGCTTCTTATAGTGGTTCTTGTAGTTCTCTTTTGGTAATGGCAAATTCTCGCAGCATTTGTTTGTCTAAAAAAGACTGTGTCTTCCCTTCATTTATGAAGCTTAGTTTCACTGGATACAAAATTCTTATATGATAATTATTTTGTTTAAGGAGAACAAAGGTAGGACCCCAATGCTGTCTAGCTTGTAGGGTTTCTGCTGAGAAATCTGCTGTTAATCTGATAGGTTTTCCTTTAAAAGTTACCTGATGCTTTTGTCTCATAGCTCTTAAGATTTTTTTTTTTTTTCATCTTCACTTTAGATAACCTGGTGACTGTGTGCCTAGGTGGTGATCTTTTTGCGATGAATTTCCCAGGTGTTCTTCCCAGAGCTGCTTGTATTTGGATGCCTAGATCTCTAGCAAGGCTGGGGAAGTTGTCCTCGATTATTCCCTCAAACATGTTTCCCAGACTTTTAGATTTCTCTTCTTCCTCAGGAACACCAGTTGTTCTTAGGTTTGGTCATTTAACATAATCCCAAACTTATTGGAGGCTTTGTTCATTTTTATTTAATTCTTTTTTCTTTGTCTTTGTTGGATTGAGTTAATTTGAAAGCCTTGTCTTCGAGCTCTGACTTTTTCTTCTACTTGTTCGATTCTGTTGCTGCGAGTTTCCAGTGCATTTTGCATTTCTCTAAGTGTGTCCTTGACTTCCAGAAATTGTGATTGCTTTTTTATTTATGCCATGTATTTCACTGGAGATTTTTTCATTCGTATCCTGTATCATTTTTTTGATTTCTTTAAGTTGGACTTGTGCCTCCTTGATTGACTTAATAGTTGATCTTCTAAATTCTTTTTCTGGCAATTCAGAGATTTAGTCTTAGTTTGGATCCATTGCTGGTGAGCTAGTGTTATCTTTTGGGGGTGTTAACCATGTTTGTCATATTACCAGAATTGTTTTTCTGGTTCCTTCTCATTTGGGTAAACTATGTCAGATGGTAGATCCGGGACTCAAGGGCTACCGTTCAGATTCTTTTGTCCCACAGGGTGCTCCCTTGTTGTGGTGTTCTCCCCTTTCCCCTAGAAATGGCTCCCTGAGAGCCAGACTGCAGTGATGCTATTTCTCCTCTGAATCTAGCCACCCAGCAGAGCTACTGGGCTTTGATCTGGTACTGGGAAGTGTCTGCACAGAGTCCTGTGATGTGATCTGTATTCAGGTCTCTTAGCTGTGGCTACCAGCACCTGCTCCAGGAAAGGTAGCAGGGGAGCGAAGTGGACTCTGTGAGGGTCATTAGTTGTATTTTTGTTAAGTCCAACCAAAATTTTAACAAGTTTCTTTATAGAAAACTGAAGCTCATGCCACAATTTATATGGAAATGAAAAGGGCCATGAAGAGCCAAGACACTCATGAAGAACAGGGCAAGAGGGTCTGTCCTACAAGACACTAGCAAATAATTCATGGCTTATTTTAAAGTTACAGTAATTTGGTCAGAGTGCTTTTGGTATAAAGACTGACAACTAGAAGATCACTGAACCGGAGATGCCAGAAAAGACCTTTGCAGTTGTAGACACATGCTTGATGACAGAACAGGTACAGCAGAGCAGTGGGGAAAGGACTGTCATAAAGGGTGCCTGGAGAGTTGGAAATCTATGTAGAAATTCATAAAACTTGATCCCTACTCACATATTAGACAAAAATCAATTTCACATGGATTATAGAAACAAATATGAAAGGCAAATCAGTAAAGCTATCAGAAGAAAATCTGAGAAAAATAGCTTCATAGCTTAAAGATAATGAAATATTTCTTAAATAGGATAGAAACAGTATTGATTGATTGTAAAGGAAAAGTGAATAAATTTGACAAACATTAAACGTCTCTCTTCATAAAAAATTACTAAGAACGAAAGGGCAAGTTATAGAAGAGAAGATATTTGGAATACATATAATGATAAAAAGACTTTTATCTAGTGTAAAAAAGACCTATAAATCAGTAACAGGAAGACAGCAACCCAGTAGAAAATGAACAAAAGTCTTGACAGGCAGTTTACAAATAGGGAACTCTAAATGGCCAATAAACATGAAAATGTGCTTATGCTTATTAACAGTCATGAGAGTGCTAATTAAAGTTCAATGAGGTACCACTAGATATCCATCAGAATAGTTGGAATTAAAGAATCTAGTGATTTCAGTGGTTGGTGAGGATGTGAAGCAAAGAGAACCCTTAAACTGCTGGTGGGAGTGTAAATTGTTGAGTTGGTTTTGAAAATTGTTGAGTATTATCCTATAAAGTTGAAAGTGAGCATTCCCTATGACACAGCCATATTAGGCTGCAATATATACCATCCAGAATGTTCTTAGTGGCATTCACTATTACACCAAATTAGAGACAGCCCAAATATCCCTCAATAGTGCAGTTGCTATGCAGTGTGTCATACAGTGACATTCTATTCATCAATGAAAATGAAGCTTTATGAACAACATGAATGAATCTTAAAAACAGAAAATGAGAGAGAAAAAGCCAGTAATACAGGATATACATATTCTATGGTTGCATTTATAAAATAGATATTAAAATGGGTTACACTAGAGCATAATTAGGTAGTAAAGCCAGAAAAGTAAGGATGTACCATAGATATGAGGATAGCAATTACCTTTCAAGGGTGGTATCAGAGGACTTCTGGTATCCTGGAAATTTTCTACTTTTTTTTTTTTTACCTGATTAGCAATTACATGAATGTTTATAACATTTCAACCAAAGCACAGATTTATGTTTTTTGTCTTTTCTATGTGTGTGTATGTTTTATAATTTTTAAGATTATGTATAACTTCTGATTTAAGGAGAGAAGGCCTATTTCATAGCTGATACTCTGTTTTTTAATTTGGATCTGTTTATTTATAATTAAGCTTCACTACCATTTTGCAGAGTGGAGTTTAATTTATAATTGGAATGGATAAATAAAACATTATCATTGGCCCCACATTAGAACTTCACTGTATTTAAAACAGATTTTATAAATTCTAGAAGTTGTATCCTTGTATATTCACAGTTAAAGTCATTATCAGTTTTCTCATTGCAATTGATTTTTTAATAATTATTTTAATCAAGTTGAAATGAGATGTTTAGTAGTAATACCTTTCCTACTTGAATTTTGTTCTTTTTTTTAGTTGACCACTCTTGAGAAATTTATTTTAGGTACAAATTGTAATAAAAGTTTTACTTCTATTTATTAACTGGTACTTTTTTCTCTTGTAAACCTTTAGAATTGTGTAATTGATTGTGCATGTGTATATTTTTTCCCTCATTTTGAGGGCTAGTAAGCTCACAACCCGATTTGAGACTTACATATAGTTCCAGTATTGCAGTATATTTACATTTATTTTTTGTCTTCGTAGTCTTGACATTTTATTCTGATTTTCTTTAGCTTGGGATACTTATTCTTTATATACCTCCCTCTCATTTCTAACTATATTTTGCAAGCAATTTAGAACCTTTTTATATTTAGGAGGAGAAGACACAAATGAACATATAAACGAATGAGTATTGGATGACATTGAGTTGTGCTTGAGACTACTGGTTCTCTATAGTTCTTGTGTATTAAATAAAGTTCAAAAGTTTAAACCAGTTATGCAGACTGTTTTTCTATTTTTAAAAGGCCCTTGCCTGTCAAATGAGAGTAAATATTTATAGTTGGCCATGGTGAAATGTTCTGAGGATGAAAAAAAAATGATTTTAATAGAACAGCATCCTTAATAGAAGATGGATACAAAAATCCATTCATATGCAGGAACTAGAAAAGAATGAAGTAATGGTAGACAGCAGTTACTTAGTTACAGCTAAATGCTTCCGTTCAGGGGAAGCACATAATTCTCTTATTGTATACTATGCTATATGTATGTTTTTGCCTTTTAAGATTTTTAACTGATTTCAATAAAGAAGTAAATGTTTGTTGTTCTTTTACTAGTTTTCAGGTAGTGGCACAATAATGATATAATGGAAAGTACAGTGGCTCAGTTTAATGTGGGCAGATTATTTCATCTCTCTGAATCACTGTCAATACTTTTTTCAGCTTTATGGGAATAGCAATATCTATCACAGAGCTTGTAGTGGATATTACATAAGATGTAATATCTATATCATACCTGTTACATAGTGGCTGGTCAACATATGTTCATTTTCTCCTCTTCCCATCACCACACTTCTCAACCTTAGAAAGTCAGCATTCCCTGAGCCAAAACAGTATTTTTTAAATTATCTATGTATTTTTTCTTTTATCAATATATGAAATACTGTCTTTTTCCTTAAAAAATGAGATTATTACCATATGATAAAAGGAAGCAATTTTTTATATTTCTTATTTTGAAAGAGCAAAATAAGTTGTTTTGTTAGTAGACTTAGAAACAGAGGGGAAATGTGGATAGTTACTTGGATGAGGGATGAGAGGTGAGGAAGACAGTAGATAGGTTACAGAAGTTAGCGGCAGTGGTATCTGGAGAAAACAAAACAAGCATCCCCCCACCTCCCATCACATTAGTTGCCCTTTTTTACACAGCTAAAATTAAATTGAGAGGGAAAAGATGACAGTGGTTGTGGGGGTAAACACCCCATGCAGAAAGCCTCTACTTTTACACAACTCTGCTTTATTGGATCGTCAATAAAATCAAACAGGAAAGACTTCAGACCTGCAAAGCTGCCAAAAATGTAGTGGTCTCTGGATTCTTGACAACTGAACTGTGAGAGTCATGTGGTATGTAAAACGTCTGGAAAGAATCGTTCTGCTGAGGGGGCAAGTGACAGGTCTGCTGGATTTCAGTAATCCAAGAAGGTGCCAGAGACAGGTTCTCAGTTTCGTTGGGATGGGTTCTGTGTGGTGCTTCTACATGGCTCTCATTAGTGGTTACCCCTGTTTATAAGGATGAATACAAGGAAATCCTGGTATTCCAGAACTGGAAAAGACTTGAGAAATTAACTCCAGCTCTTTATTTTAAGTGAGGAAACTGAGGCTCAGAGGCCTCAAGTGACTTCCCCGAAGTTGCACAGTGAGTTGTTGTTAGAACTACAGCCAACACCCGAGTCTCTGAACTCCTGAGTTAAATGCAAATATCTGTGGAAACCAATTTTTTTAATGTAGGGTGTGATTCTACTCATGTAACCTTATTCAGCTCTGGAAGTCGATATCCTAAATAAAGAAAGAGAAATAAACAACTCCTACCCTTCCTTTGTAGTTTAGCAAGAATTTGTACCTCTGACCCAAACTCCAAGGACAAGTTGCTTCAAGATGCAAAACAAGGAAGAGCATCTGAGGTCTTTAAAAAATGTTAACCATAGTAAACAAACAAACAAAAGAAACCCTACTGTACTTACTGTGTGATGGCCCCCATTTCTCTCTGGAAGGGGAAGGAGAGGAGATTCACGGGAAAGAAGAGGAGGGAAAAATGTTTTACAGTGTAAGAGGTTTCTACTTAGTAAGTGCTTCATAAATATTTACTGATAGATGAAATAGCCTTCAACAATCACTGTCTAACTCAAAAAAGCTTTTTATGTAATAAATTATACCTTAAAATAGCCACATCTTTTCTCCTCAAGGTACGTGATACCACCAATTATATGAAATGTAGTGCAGTAGGAAAATACAGTCTGTCTAAACTAACTGTAAAGAAAATCCATTGCTAAAAAGAGTCAATAACATTGTCTTTTTTGTGTAATAATGTAGTTTATATAAGTTTCTAGGATTACTATCTAATGAGGTGTTTCTCCTAATACTTCAATCCTTAAAGTGTGTATATTGATGTACAGTATTTATATATTTGTATTCCCCAAACCTTAAGGCTGCCTGGTTCTCATTGCTCATTAATGTCCCCACCAACAAGGGAACAGGAGGCATTATCAGTGATAAATCAAATCAGTTTTGCTGCTTCCTGTAAGCTACATTGATTGCCATGATTTTTTGGACAGAACAAAGATGAGGTAGAAATTACGAGCAAACATGAGGATGAGGATGCAGGCTTATGAAACTCATCCAGTTAATCTCCCGTTAGCCCATTACTTAGGTGAAACTTGGTAATCATTAATATCATGATTAAGAATTTGTCATGTGGACTTAATTAGGTGGTTAGAGAGAGTGGTAGTCTGTGTGATGTTTAAGAAATGGTGTGAGTTCAGAGTTAACTGTGTGATTTTGCCAGTTAATTAACCTCTGTAAGTCTCTGTTTGCTCTTAAAATTGGGATAAGTTGTATTATGAGTGAGATAATATATGTGTTATGTTAAGCACAGTGCCTAATACATAGTGAGGAGCTCTCAATAAATATCAGCAGATAATATTAATAATGAAAAGGCATTATTTCCGTTTTGGGTATACTCGAATATTCTTTTAAGATGCCATTTCTACTTTAAAGGGTTATACATATTCCCCTCCATTATTTTAAAAAGAGAAAATTAGTACTAGGGTTTAACTATATACAGATGAAAGACTTGAAATGGACATTTTATGTTGCTCAAATTGGATTCTGTGTTTCTGTTAAGTAGGTATTGTTTTTAAAAAGCAAAACTTCCTAAACTATTTTCTTTTGATATAAAGTCAAAAATCAAATCTTAAAGTACATTAAGGAATGTTTACTTTGTATATTATAAAAAGTCAATATGAAGTTCAAAACTTTGTAACTGAATTTTGAGGTTTTGCCTTATACCTGTATAGAGAGTGTAAAACTTCAACTAACCAGAATCTATCTGGTCTGAGTACTAATACTTTGTCTTTATTTCTGTGTGCACATTTCCTCTATTACGATTTCCTCCTGGTATTAAGCTGAAACCTGCTTCTTTGGCCTCCTACTATTGGAAGGTGTGTCTTTTCTAGTCTCAACTTCCCCTGCTTTCTCACGTTGCATCTTCAGCAGACCCCAGTTGTCCTGACTGGTCTCTGGTTTGGCTTGACCTTAAAGTCAAAAGCCAGGATTGTTGCCAAGAAGCTATTTGTATGAGATATACTTAGTTTGTCAGAGTATTGTTGGGATCACTTTTCCTTTTTATGTAAATGCAGCATTACTAAAGCTGTACAGAATAGCTCCGTGCCTTACAGACTCTCATATATTACCTGAGAATATGCTTATGAACTTTTGGCCTTTCTTGACTATTCAGTTTGTTATTAGCAACTCTTTGTGTAATGGCCTTTTAGTTTATTTGTGTTTTACTCTTAGTTCTGCCAGTTTTTCACTGTTTATTTTTTAAAATCTTGCCCCATAGTATCCAGTAATAAATAAGAAGTGGAGATATTGTGCTTTCCTTATAGGAGTGCTGTGATAACAAAACCTATAAATAAAAAATTAGGATGTTTTACTTTTAAACAAAAGGCAGGAAGAGCCCGTGTGTTAGAAAGCTGTGGTGGAAGCAAAGAACACTGACGTTTGAAAAATGAAAACTTGATTTCAAATCTGGAACTTGCAACTTGCTTGCTGTGTGATCTTGGCTAAATCTCTGTTTCTCTAACTTTAAGTTACTTTGTAAAATGGAGAAGATATTTCCTAATTTATGGATTGAGAGAATAAAATAATATATGCAAGCAATGTTTCATAAACTGAAAGTCACTAATATACACAGAATATGTCTCATCTCTGTGCTAAGGGACAGTATGAGCAAATGGTTGTCTTTGTGTAAGCATTTAAAAACAAGAGTATTTTCAAAGCGTGCTTTAATTTTAACTCTGCTGTAATAAACCTTGAATCTTTCATCTTTGTTGTTGGACTTAAACATATAATTATACTGTTAAAAATAAAAAAAGAGGAGTTGGGCCAGGCACAATGGCTCACACCTATAATCCTAGCACTTTGGGAGGCCGAAACAGGCAGATCACTTGAGCCCAGTTGTTCGAAACCAGCCTAGGCAGCATGGCAAAAAATACAAAAAATACAGAAAGTAGTCAGATGTGGTGGCATGTATCTGTGGTCCCAGCTACTAGGTTGGCTGAGGTGGGAGGACCACCTAAGCCCAGGATCCATGATCACCCCACTGTACTCCAGCCTGGGCAACAGAGTGAAACCCTGTCTCAACAACAACAACAACAAAAGAATATTTGGTCAACAATAAATAAAGTAAAAGCAATTAGGAACTCCAGGTAAAGTAAGAAATTGTAGAATGATGTCATGGTCCAATCAGAATGTACAAAAAATGTGACATGATTTTGAGCAGTTGTGAAAATTAAGAAAAGGAAATCTATTTGATCTTTATTCTAGTAACATGTTCTTTCAAATGACGGAGTTTATAAAAATGGAACTCTAAAAATAGAAATGCAATTCTAGCACATTACTTGTTTTCACAACAAGTAATATTTATATTCATAACAGAGTAAACAGATTATTTACCTTTAATTTTTAGGAACAACTTAGAAACAAAGCCTAGAAAGGGTAGTTGACAATTTCGGGAAAAAAATGGCAGTCAGAGGCTAAGATGTGGAAGGGGACTGGGAATTGGTGAGAAGGGGAGAATCACTAATAGCCTATTTTATGTTGTGGGGAGTTAAAAATTGATTGAACAGATAGAACCTGAAGTATATTGTTTAAAGTTAGCAGTGGCCAGTAAAAGAATAAAACTATAACAACTGTGAGGGAGGGGTAAGAATAATAAAGGATAATGTGAATTCTCTTTATTTCTTAATGGGAAGTCAGTAGATGTTGTTTATGGCTTATGAACTAAGAACTACAAGTATAATTATATTATTTAGAGTTTTGAATGTAAATTATCAGAAGAGTTAGAAACAAATGACTAAAGGTAGTGGCTTTTGGGTACAATGCTGAAGTGGGGCAGGTATGGAGCTAGAACCTATTCTTTTCTATTATAAGACACTCTACATACTGTTGTAATATTTTTATGGTTTACATTATTAGTTTGATACAAGCATATTTTTCTAAGTACTGATAACCAAAAGTCATAGTTGGATACTGTGGCATATTTGCCATCCCCAAATCTGGAAGATATACAGTGATTATTCAAACCTAAAGTTACCTCACCTTCACCTTCCTGCCATCCATACTCTACCGCTCTCTCTATATTCTGCTTTGACTTCTAGGTAGCATGAATTGTTTTTGCTTGCCAGCCTAGGATCAGCCTATGTCACATTATATTTTATATCATCTCATTGTTAGTTCTCTTGTTCACTGAAATGTCAATCTGGTTAATTTCTATAAAATAAAACATACTGAAGTTATAATATAGGCATATGATAGTAAGAGAAACAGTGTATCTACTGCTTAGAAAATAACTTGCATGATACCAATATTTTATATCACAATTTCGCTATTAAAATTATACAGAGGAGAATATTAATTGACTCAAACATTGGAAATTTTTTTGGAAACACCATTTTCTGTATTTTTCTATTAAGTTTACCTTAACTTTTTTATTAAATTAACTTTTTTTTTATTCAAGAGGTCATAGTAGTTTACCAGATTAGGTTGGTCATGGCCAAATTGTGACCAAATCATTACTAAAATATTCATTTTTAAGAATAGTTCAATACAGGGATTCCAATGATAATCCATATATTCTGCTTTATATATGATTGTATTTGAAATGATTACTTTCATATCATTTATCTGCTCCCTCCCTCAAATGTACATAATCAGGGGTTAGAAAGATGGCTGGCTATCAGAACAGCTTTTAAATTTTTGGTTGGAAAAGGCACATCTTTAGAATATGGTAGACTCTCTTGTTAGCTAAATATATTCATTAAGATTGAAGTGTAGGCAGATTTAGATCAACAATAGCAACTAGTAGCAATTAAGCAAATTTAATGTGCACAGAACAGATGGTGGGATTGTGGGTGGGGACTGAAGACCAAAGAGATGCTATTTTCTAACAGTAACTTTAGAAGAGACCAAAAAGCTATTTTAAGCCACAAGTTGGAAAGGGGGAAGGTGGAGATGGAGAGAGATTCCTGCCTCTAACCATATTTGATGATGAGCATTTTGGTCAGTTATTCATTCTTCCATCCATCTGTCTAGTACTTGTTTGAGTACCTATTGTAACACTCATTGGTTGGTGTTGTCGGGTTGTTAAGGGGCTAAACTTGACATTCTGTTATCCCTGACATTCTGTTATTTCCTGACATCATGCTATCCACAAGAGTGAGATTGTATCTCAAAAGGACAGTCGTCCTTTCCTTATTACTCCTACTCCATAAGCATCTAACTTCCTTGATGACTTAAACCTCAAATCACCCAGCAATGACCTTCAGGAATTCCATTTTTTAACTGATAGATTAGTTATATTTTCCATATCACATTTGTTATTTCCTAAAAGTACATTTAAATCCTTAAATGTTTTTGAATTTTTGCATTGCTCTAACTACAGCAACAAAATATACACAATGGGAAAGAGTTCAGTTAATCAAAATTTAAACCAGTTTTACCTAATAGCATTTAAATCTTTTCTAAATTTTTCCCCAAACTATAAATCAACCATTATTAGTGATTAGTTTGATCTAGGGAAAAAAAAGTTTTCTCTTTGCCATTTGGTTTTTAATAGCACAAAGAAATTATATCAATTAGAAAAATACTCAAACTATTTGGATGTTATTTTATCAAATTATATATAGTATATAGAAAGTTGAGGTCAGGGGAACAGGAGGAGTAGCTTCATTACACTAAACAAAATAGTGTTTCTTTGTGTCTGCTATGACATTTTATGAGCATTTCACCAGCATTGCTGACTTTTTCTGGGTTGTGTTTGCTGCTTCTTAACTCTGCGGTGTTGGGAATGCTGGCTCACTCTCTCCACCTTTTCCTCTTCTACTTGTGCAGCCTTGTGTATGCTGTTTTTAACACTCACATAGTGCTTACCATGAGCCAGGCACCGTTCTTCATTAGACAGGGAAAGCAGATACTTCCTTTTCCTCCCCTCTTCTACTCTGGTGTTGGAGATATCCTCAAATGGAATAGCCATGTTTTCTCCAGAGTTCTATCTAGTTGCATCTGACCAGCTCTTTTTCCTTTCATTTCTGGCAGACCTGGTGTCTGAGGGCTCCTCATTCTTCTACAGCTGTGTGTGTCCATCAGAGCCATAGCCTCAGAGCCAGAGGGTCACGGGAAGCAGGATCTCCTGTCCACCCCCACCTCCTTTCTCCATTTGTAGTGGGCCAGCTGCCCTCCTCACCTCTACTATCTTCTGCTCTCTACCTAGGGTCTGAAGAGGCATGAATCTTCATAGGCATCTGGCCACGGATCTGCTTTGCCTGGTTAATGATGTCGATGTCAGCTTTGTCCTCAACCACATACCATCCATAGTTTGTAGACACCATTCCCTTTACTGGTGGCCAACTGAGACTTATAACTGAACATTTTACAAAATCCACAAAAAGTCCTTGATTCTCTGCTAGGTCTCTGATTATCATCTTGTCTGATTTAAAATGCTAAGCAGAATTGAATCATTGGAAGATACTGGGAAGAATCTTCCCGGTCAAGAATCAACATTCTTGACCTTCACCACCTTTTACCTCTGCCACCCAAGTTTTAAGAACAAACAGCCAGGTACAGCGGTTAATAACAATAATTTTAGTTGCTGTAGTGCAGATAGAAGACAGTATAATACAGTAATGAAGGCACCCAAATGTCGGAGTTAGACTGTTAGAGATTCAAATACCATCTCTACTTTTTGATTGTTTAGCATTGGCCAATTGACACAATTACTTTTAAGTTCCACATGTGAAAATAAACTTGATAATGGTATTTATCTCATAGGATGTTATGCAGATTCAGTGAGATAATGTATAAAGAACTTAGCACAAGGACTGATGGATTGAAAGCGCTAGGTAAACATTTCTTCTTTATGTTTGCTACCATTGAGAAGCGTTTACATGTACCAGACATGCCAGTGCATTGACTACTTTATATACACATGTCTACTTCATTAGGAGCTCCACAAATAGCTTCACCCCAGATAGGGCTGCCACCAAAGCTCTCTGAATTTTGTCATAGAGGGCAGTGGCAATTTATGGCCCCAGGGCACCTAGCTTTGCTCAGAAAATGTCCTTCATCAGCTTGCTAGTGCCAAGAGTGAGCAAGCTTTTTCTAAATCTTCCAAGAGAGATCCTGGTAAATAAAAGGGTTATTTCTCCTGTCAAAGTGCTGGGTGGTCACCACATCAACAAATAGGGATTCAGTCACTCACTTCCTCTCCAAATTGAGGTCACTGAGTAGTGAACAACAGTTTCTGGGTAACAGCCATCTACTTGGTAAGGTTCACCCATTCATTCAAAGCCACGTAACTATTCCACACAGCTTGATCCTGAAACAGAAAACAGTCAATGTGGCCAGTAAATGATGGCTTATATGGAGATAGGCCTTTCCTTTTCAGGACCATTATATGTAACTGTGCTCATGCCCTGCTTGACTCAAGCAGCTTGTTTAAAGAGCATGCCTTCTTCTATTCGTCCCATACATAAGAACTACAGGTGGCTGGGTATAGTGACTCATGCTTATAATACCAGCAGTTTGGGAGGCTGAGGCAGAAGAATCACTTGAGGCCAGGAGTTCAAGACTAGCCTGGACAGCATAATGAGACCTCATCCCTAGAAAAAAAATTTAAAAATAGCCAGATCTGGTGGTGTGCACCTGCAGTCCTACCTGCTTGGGAGGCTGAGGCAGGATTGCTTGAGCCCAGGAGTTCAAAGTTACCTATGAGCTACGATCACACCACTGCACTCCAGCCTGGGCAACAGGGGAAGATCCTGTCTCTAAACAATATTTTTTTAAAAAAAGGACTACAGGAGTCTCTTATCTGATTTGAGAGCCATGTTTCTTAACCAAAGTGGGGACTTTTTCTTCTGATAGGCTAACTCATGAGGTCACAGAATGAGACAGAGTCTTCCATGGTGATCCCTCATAGCCACCAATAGAAAACTAATTCAGTTAGAATATAAACAGTGTAAATTAGATGAAGAATCTTCTAGTATTTATTCCTTTAGCTACCTTAGCACTATTGTCATCTTGAACTGGGTAATTCTTTGTTGGAGGAGCTGTTCTGTGCATTATATAATGTTTAGCAAGATCACTGGCCTCTATCCACTAGATGGTAGTAGCAGCACCCTCCACCCACCAGAAATTGCCAAATGTCCCTGGGGGGTGAGGGGAGCTAAATCACCCTCAGTCAAAAGCCGTAATGTATAAAAATATCTTTCCATGAAAGACAGACTCTCCAGTTGTTTCTTCTAGATAGACAAGAGAGTTTGTCAGTTACGCCTATTAAATTTTACCTTCTGAAAGGACTATCTTCTGGAAGTGCCTTTTTCCTTTTCTTATAGGTTGTTAATCTGGTCTTTGATGCTGTGTTCTCATCCAGAAGACATTAGATAGTCAAAGGACAGGGAACTACCATTAGAAGACTGAGTTTTATTCCAACACTGCTATTATTAGCCTTGGCACTGAGCAAATCCTTTAACTACTCTAAGCCTTAGTTTACCTATCTGTCATCAATGTTGTGGAAAGAGAAATATGTATGTACAAAAGCATCTTTAAAAAACAAAGAAGTCACCTAGCACTCAGATCTTAGTTTCTAACGCCATTCTCCAGTATTAGAAGCCAGGGCTCCTTGGAGAAATCTCTGACTTTAGGCCTGGGGCAGGAAATATACAAGATGACCTAGAGCATCTTGTAGTGCCAGAAGTAAATAAATGCTTTTTAAAAATTACAATGATGGAGGTGTGTAAAAGGGACACAGGAATTAAAGGATAGAGCTCCCAATGGCTAATGCTGGAACAATTTGAGAACAAAATAAATAAAGTAGTATGGAATTATAACCCAGAGTATAAAATAACCATCAATGAGTCTGGTATAAATAAGTGATTAACAAGTAAATAAATGGGGAGAAGAGACTAATCTACCACACAAAATATTTCCAAAATAGTTTATGCACACATTTTACCTTCAAGAAGGTAGAGCATGAATTTTTACTCCTTAAGGGTAGCCTGTGCATTGTACTTCCTTACAAAGAGTACAGTATGGAAAGTGGGGGGGGAAGAGTAACTTTGCAGTGGGGCAACCTGACAAATACTGTCCTGGCCAAATCATCCAGGTCAACATCAACAGTGACCCTTAATAGTATATACCCTTAATATAACATGAGAGTGGCACTTTATCTCCATGGTCTTCCACCCAATAACACATAACCCAGTCTAATGAAAAAGTCAGACAAATCCCAATTGAAGGACATTCTACAAAATATCTAACTAGTACTCCATAAAACTGTCAAAGTTACCAAAAACAGGGGAGGTCTGAAACTATGTCACGGTCAAGAGTAACCTAAGGAGACATAACCAGTAAACGTAATATGGTATCCTGGATGGGATCCTGGCACAGAAAAGAGACATTAGGTAAAAATTAAGGAAATCTAAATGAAGTGAGGACTTTAGTTAATAATAATGTATTGGTATTGCTTCACTAATTGTGACAAATGTACCATAATATTGAAAGATATTGATAGGGAAATTGAGTGTGAGGTGTATGGGAACTCTGGACTATCTTTGTAATTTTTCTGTCCATCTAAAACTACTAAAATTAAAATTTTATTTTAAAAAGCATAGCTAAATAAAGGTAAGACACTATTATAAGTAATGGTTATTTTATCCAGAAGGATATTATCGAGCTCTGGTATATAATTCCCTTAGTTTTAAAAGTCTATTCATGAAGTCATTCCTCAACTTCTCTCTCTGGGTGATATTTAATGTCCTTATGGATCGTACTTCATCTCTTCTCCCACTAGCTTGGAGCAGTTTCAGGTTCCCAGCTAAAGAAACTGAAGGATATCACATAACAGTTCTTCACCTTCTTGGCATAAATCCTGTGGCAGACCATGTTTACTTTTTCTTCTGAGGAAATCCACATATGCTCCCTTCTTCTTCCCCCACCCACTCAGAAATACAGCTGCCTTACAACTTACCAGTGCTTTTTTCTAACCAAGGTCTGAAAGGTTCTCTGTTTAGTTTCTTTGTTCTCAAGAGGAATGGAAAAAAGCGGGAAGGTACTATGGTAGCACCCCACAGCACCAACTTGCCCAGTAGGAGTGAAGTACTAACTTGCCCAATAGGAGTGAAGTACCAACTTGCCCAAGAGGTACTGCACCTAGATGTGTGCAGAATAAGAAGGTGAGATAAGGGGATCCTTCAGAATGAGTCACCACATGTAAAATCTTGGAGGGACAATACATGAGCAGATAAAAAAGTTTAATATAGGTAACTACAATTAGTTACCTCTATGATACTCTTGCCTTTTTGGCTGTAGCCATTATAACTAACTGTGTAATTGGAAGTCATTCCCACCACCTTTATTTCAGTGAACAGTATTGTTTATTCATTCTGGGCATATTGCACTGTATAAAGGTATGTATTTGAACATAGTTTGTTACAGAAATTGAATTTAGAATCACTCCAGTATATAGAGTAGTGTTCTGTAATCCGTTGGTGGAGAAGAATTGACCAATCAAATTTCCCTAATGAGACCAGTGACTTATGGGACTGCCTCGGTAATGCTTTTCAGTTCTGAGAACTTCAGTGAGGTGAGCATTTGCCAGAGTCAGGTTTACTGATGATATTAAAAGTCTTGGTTAATATAAAGATAATAGGGCAAACAACATGTGCTTACTATTATTTAGGCTTGTTTGACATCCCTTCCCACCCATGAAGTCGGGAAGGTAATATGTGGCCACTTCTGACATGTGAGGTCATGGGCAAGGACATGCAGCCGAAAGAAACACAGGTGTACAGCCTAAGCCACTTGATTCTGGGCAGAGTATTTCCCCTTCTAGCCTGCACTGAAGCCTTGGCATGGTTTCATGATTATAATTATTGCCTCTACTTTTTTAAATGCTCTATTTCTGGACCAAATCATGTTTGCTTATTATTTGGATCCAAATGCCACACTGGTAGATTTATGCACCTACAGCTGATAATTTTAGGAACTGTGAAATAAAGTTAATTTACACCTGGAGGAGTGCTGACCAATAGAACTTCCTGGAGTGAAGAAATAGTCTATATCCAGGCTGTCCAGTGTGGTAGCCATTAACCACATGTGGCTACCGAGCACTTGAAATGTGGCAGGGAGTTGCAGGAACTGACTTAAATTTTACTTAATTTAACTTGAAGTAGCCACGTGTGGCCCATACCTGCTAGAGCACCAGTCTAGACAGTGTAGGAATCCTCCATGTGATGCAGGCTCCCCTACCTTAGCTCTGGGCCTTCCTTGCACACACTTGGCTATTCTTTTCGAGAAAACATTTCTGTAGTACCTTTTTTTCTTATGCTTAGCATGGTTGGAATACATAGATCAGTAGCAGAACAAAGTTCCTTCTCAATTTTGGCCCACTTAAATCTAAAGCTGTAAGTTCTTAAACTCATCACTAAAAAATAAAATTCACTGAGTTTTGTTCGCCATACTCTTTTTTAGGGGAAACGAGGAAACAATGATCCCATATGTTCTTGATTCCACCTTTAAGAGTTTCAACCTTTAGAAAATTATTATTGGCAATAGGTTTATTTCTTTAATTCTAAAAACAAAGGCTATTTTCTTTTACAGATGCAAATCTGTTAATTTGATGCCTGCAAAGTTCAGTGACACTAAGTTTAGATTGAGTGGTATTTACAGAGTCATATGAAAATCCAGTCACATGATGTTTGTTAGGTTAAGAATGGCATTCTGAGATTATAGTCTAGGAAAGGGGGAACTGCAGTGTACAGTTTCATAAATGCATTGCAGATAAACATTAAAATATTAAGACAATGACAGCTATTTTTATTATTGTTAACTTGAGCAAGTAAATTCAGAAGCTCTATGGAAAGAATCAGAAAAAGTGACAGTTCTTAATTACCTCACATTTCCTTAACTAGAAAATCTTAAGGAGTGAGGAAAGTACAAAGGCAACAAATATTACTAGGGGTAATGTAGTAATGCAAAAAGGGAGGGAGGGGCTGTCTCATAATAAACTTTTACTTTTCCAAACATGGTTTTTCACTTAATACAAGTGGTTTTTTAAATTTAATTTAATACACAAATTTTTTCCCACAGATTATGATATTAAACATTTTTATGGTAGGACACAGGAAATAGTGAAGTTATATAAAATGTCACTTAATGCAAATTTGAACAAACCAAATTACCAAGTGGTTGCTTTTCTATACTAAACAGTTTTACAGTATTGTATTAGATTCTCATTTAATGTGAGTCTTTCATTTCTGATTTAACACTTGTTTTTATTCTATTTCTTGGATTCATTTTCATGGTCATGAAACTATTATGTCAGTTCTTTATTATTACTTTACTATACATTGTTATTAAATGTGAACATATTTTCAGCTAATAGAGCCCTGCAGTCCGCCAGAAGCTCTCTTCATGCTCCCTTCTAGCCAACATCCCTTTCCTGGAGAGACACCTAACACCACAGATTAATTTTGTCTCATTTTTTATTTTATATATGTAATTATGCAGTATGTATTTTCCTGCATCTAGTGGCTCTTCCTCAACATTATGCTCCTATAATGTCTCCCTGTTACTGAATGTCACAGTAATTCATTAATTTTCATTGCTGTACAATATGCCATTATATTAATATAACTACACCACATTTTATTTATTCATCCTACCCTTGGTAGACGTGAGTTAATTTAATTGGGGACTGTTATAAATAATGCCTCATGAACATCATTTACATGTGATTTTCATGCCTATTTACATGTTACCCTTAGAGCTACACCTAGAATTAGAATTGCCACATTATAGGGTGTATTTGTGAGTTCAGTTTTAGTAGGAACTGCCAAATAATTTTTCAAAGTACTTGCACAGTGTGAGTTCCAGATACCTTATATTCTCAATATCTTCACCAGTACTTGATGTTGTCAGAAATATTTTTTGCCACTTGATATCTATAATTATTATCATAATTTACCTTTTAGAGAACACCAGTAGTTTTAGACGACAGATGCCCTGACACACACACGGTGATCATCAAATATACCTATTCCCAGCTCTCCATAGACCCGCTGAAAAAAAACCCTCGAAGGCTGTGGCCTCTGACCCAGCTCACTTTGGGCAGTATAATTTGGAATTTGGTCCTGCAGTGAAACACCTGGGTAAGGGAGAGGACGATGCACTGCTGTGAGCCTGAAGGCTTTTGGTGGGGTAAGAAACACTTCAGGAGTTAATACCACCGAGTTTGTCAAGTGCTCTCAGAGTGTGTTTGTTGAATTTTTATAATAAAGTAACTTCATAAATAGCCCTCAATTTACTCAGTTGAATACAACAAATTGCTTTTTGGTAATTACTTCATTCTCAGCCTTGAATGTAGAAATGTAAAAGGGATGAGAGGTAGTGACTGAGAAAGATTCAAAAAGATGCACTACCTAATTAGTAATCAGGGAAATGCAAGGTAAAACAATGAGATGTCCACTTTCACTTAGTATATCAGCAAAAATTAAGATCTGACAGTATGACCTGATGAGAGTGTGGGGTAAGTGTACACACATATATGCTGCTAACAATGTTAAAAACTATTGTCCCCAACAATTCTGAAAGCAAACTCAGTGTAAATATTAAGATTAGAAACGCAGATATGCAATGAGCCAGCCGTTTAACATTTATAAGCCCTAAAGAAGTACTCATATGTATACATGGACTCAGATACAATGTTGTTTACTCCAGAATTTATAATGAAAAAAATCACCAAAGTACTGTTGTATTCATATGCTGGATTGCAATGTTGTGGTTAAAAAGAATGAAGCGTTTCTAGAATGTAAGGTCTATGAGAGAAAAAACTTTGTCCATGTTTTCAACAAGTAGAACAATGAATAGTGTGTAGTAGGTGCTCAGTAATTATTTGTTATAATTACATGGCTAGATTTAAGTACGTGGCTAGATTTTGAAGTCATTTTTTTGGGTGAGGAAAGCAAATTGCACAAAATGTGTACTAGAAAATACATGTATATGTGTGTGTAAGTCCATAACACCTTATTGGAAAGATACACACCAAAATGTGAACTACATATGTGTGTATGCAAGTCCGTAGAAATTTATCTGAAAAGTATACAGTGCAGAAGTGTCCAAGCAAATAATACATTCATGGGTTCTTAGTTTCTGTTTCTGGTTAGGCCGGTAAAACCCCTTCCTCATCCCTCTTTTCTGCTTATCATTACAGACAGAAACTAAAAACCATGTCTTCAGGCTGCTAAAAGCCTAAAACAAAACAAAATAGAACAACAACAAAATAAGCTGGGCTGGACAAGCTTGGTGTGACACTAAAATGACAACAATGATACTAGGGACCAGAAACTGAGAGTACTATTTAGAGAAGACTTCAGACTTTTTTTTTATGTTTCAAAATTTAGAACATATATTTGGAAATTTGGAAGTGTTCACATATCTTACTTGAGTAATTACGAGATAATTTTAAAATAACATTTAACCTTAGAAAGATAATTTCCCTGTTATCTGGTAGGTTGGAACTTAACTGAGTCAGCAGCTTCTCCCTCTGGAGCCCCACAGTCTCTACACAGATATACAGAGCATCTGATCTTGCTAGACCTAGTCTTCCCAAAGGAAATTCCTTAAATATGTGGAATAAATTGGGGGGGAAAAAAGGCTGTTCAGATATTTTATACATTTCTTTAAGAATAAACCAGCTGTTTGTGTAGTTTCCGTCTTTATTCTGATTTTGTATTAAAAGGGTACATTTTAAATTTTTCACTAATTGTATTTACATCTTTACAACAAGGCTGTAATATGTCTTAATAAAGGGGATAAAACAATAAGATTAGTAGATATGACAGTAAGGAATGTGTAATGAAAAAATCAAAGAGACCAAGATTTTCATTCCATCCTGCTGTTTTCCTCATTATGTCATGATGATAGGCAAGTCAGCCTCTCTAGGCCTCATTTTCATATCTGCACAATGAGATTAGGTTTTGTGGTCCCCAAGGTTCTAATAGCTACCCCAAGTTTCTCTGCTCAGTCCTTTGAGAATGATCTAATAGACCATTGGACCATCTAGCCCAGTGTTTTTTCCTGGAAGTAACAAAAAGTAGAACCACCCTGCCTCCTGCTCAGTAGGACTTTTAGGGTTTTTTCATAGCATATGTTTCAAAATATGTTTTGAAGGTAAGTAGCATTTTGATAAGGGAAATCTTGCATTTTGGGCCCATGCAGGGCAATTCCATGATGCAGTGTGGCCCATAGCATTTCGTGGTTAATCAACTGCCTGTACTTAGGCCAGAGGAACTTGTTAAAGTAAAAATAGCTCTAACACAAAATTTTTACTATGTGTAAAGCATTGTGCTAAATGTTTCACATATATCATTGCATATAATTCACACAATTACCTAATGGGGTGAGTGTTATAACTGTGATCATTTTATAGATAAGCCAACAGTCTCTCAATGACTAAAGCACTTACCCAAGGAAATTGCACAACTAAGACTTGACTCAAGACTGTCTGATTTGGGTCCATACCACCCAGGAACACTGGAGACCATATCCTGTAATATACTTTTATCTGTGTGTCTACTCTGGTACAGAACTTTGTGCTCTGAAGCTTTTCAGTAGAAATGGAATAGCAACTCTCCTTACATCAACAGCAACAGCTGTTTCTTAATGAAGTCACCTGCAAATTATGAATTTCTTTCTGCCATCCCTCCTACCCTGCTCCATAATGATTTAATTTGCTGGCATGAGACATTTAGATAAAGTTCCTTTTGATGTTTTAAATGGATTTTATATCTGGAGGGCAAAACATTTTCTTTGCCATAGTTTTTAGATAAACTGTTAATTGGTCGAAGTCTAGTGCAGTTTCCTCTTTACTCACATTTTTCTTCATTGAATACACATAGGGCATTTAGTGTTTATTGCTAACATTTGCCAAATAATTGTGTGCAAAATATTTGTCTCATTTAAATTGGATTTTAAATGTTTTCTTCTTGTTTATTGAGTAATTCTAGAATTTAAAGTTCTCTGGATTTATATTGACATCTTTCCTTTTAAAAATAAATAGTCTGATCACTTATGTCATATGCTTTCTTAACAAACTTTTTCCTAGGTCAAAAGAATGTAATTTTTTATTAGAAAATAGTTTCATTATTACAATATTGTTTTATTCAGATCCTCTGGGAGCTGATATCTCTGCATTAATAACTATACCTATTCCCTGCCTACAGCAGATTTCTTCCACTTTATTCTGAAAGATTGAAGGTATGCACTCAATAAATGGATCATATGTCTTAAGAAATCATGGGAAAAAATATTTCTGTACCTGCATTTCCTTTTAAGATCAATAGAGTCTATAGCTATAGAAGTAAATGTTTTCTTTTTTATGGTGGACTTAATGTATTCTAAAGAGAGAAAGCAAAAAAAATCCTTTACAATCTTTAATTAGATAGATGATAGATACATATGTCCATATTATATAGGTAAAGACTAAGTTTATAACCTTATTTTTCAGATTTTTTTTCATGCTTACCGGGTAAAGAGTTACTTAATTTTTGGTTTAAAAAGTCTTTCATCTTTATGTTTGAAAAGTATATATGATTGTATTTTATTATGATTATATGTTAATTCTAAAAAATACCCAAAATATATAAACTTGTTGCATTAGATTGGAAGCAGGCAGTGTGAAAAAGGCAAAAATAAGACCAAAGAAGAAAAAAGAGGAATTTAGATGGTTAAAAGCCCTGCTTAGAGTAGAATATTCTGGGAACCCAGCCATTACTCAACTGTGAACCCCTCGTGCCCAGGTTCCCACTGTATTTCTACCTGAGTCTCTGCCCACTCCTTGCAGAGGCTATAAAGAGCCGCCCCAGGCTTTCTTTACTCTGTGCCTCATTACTGATCATTATGGAATGAGGACTGGGTTCCCATCACAGATTATTTTTGTTATTTATATTGATTTGGGAGCTGAGTTTAGCATAGTGTATACATACTGAAATGTTGTCTCGGCATTCTGTTAGGCTACCTACTACAGAAGAAAAACCAGGTTAGAAGAAACACAGTGAAAGTTCTATTCCAGGTCTTTCGTTTGTTAAATAATTGAGCACTTCAGTCCTCAGTGTGGGGCAGATTTCCTTAAGACATTGATAGTTAATGACCCCTAATATCTAGCTTATGATTTCTATGTTCCTGTTATTTTTTCTGATCTCTTTGTGCCTCAAAGCTAGAGAAGTCAACTGTAACTTTTTTCAAAGGAATAAGCATTGCCACATTTCTGAGTCTGCTTTGCCCGGAGGCATCCCATTTTAGTTCTCCTAATTTTTTCCAGCTTCTCTCTTCTGAAGGAGGTGGAAGATTTCAAGTAAGGATAATGTCAGTGGGCTGACTTCTGTTGAAAACAAAACCCTCCCAAAATGTTTTATGCTTCACAAATACATTTTAAAACCGTTTGAAATGAAAGCTACAGTGTATCTCTTTGAAGCTAGCCCCTAAAACCTGTCCCAGGTTTTACCTGGAGGCATCTTTGTTTTGCTGTACCAAGGAAAACATTCCTATTTCTTGCACAGTTAATTTGTAAGGCTGTACTTAGGCAATAGTGCCTTTATTCGTTCATCTCAAGCTACAAGCTCTTTAGTTCTTTCTGATCATGTCATCATGTCATCATGTGCATTTTTGGGATCTTTCAACTTCCTTTGACATTCATGAGGAAAAATATTACCAGTGGTGGCTTTCAGCCCTAGGCTTGTAGTGTCTTTCTGTGACCCTGCGATTGCTCTTTTAACAAGCAGACCAAGTGAGCCTGAAAACATCTTATTCAGAGACTAAAAATAAAGTGTGCTAAAATCATAAAAGCAATAGCAAAGGCACATATAGATAGGTTTTAAAGAGATGGCAGAGTAAAGAGACCCATCATCTGGCTCATAGAATATACTAATAGAGAACCCAGGCCAGAGAGTAATTGAAGGGCAGTTACATCATGGCTGGGGATCCACTGTGATTAAAAGATACATAAAGGTATTTATGTTGTCTTTCATTAGTTTGATCACAAATCATTTTGTAATATTCACTCTGCTCAGAGACTGCATAGGCTTTAAACAAAGTCTCTTAAATTGATGATTTTATTATTCTTTTGGTACTTTCTAGTAATAGTGCATTATATATAACTAATTGTATTTTTATTACGTTACTGTCCCGTAGTTATTAAATACTACATATCAGGATTCAGCAAACCTTTTCTTAAAGGGCCAGATAGTAAATATTATAGGCTTTGGGCACCAAGAGACAAAATCAAGGCTATTATATTGATACTTACATTACCATTTTAAGATGTAAGCACCTTTCTTAGCTTGTGGGCTGTGGTTTGCCAACCTCTGGTCTTTATGGTCACCTGGTAAGTCTTGCCTGGTAGCTTTTTCCCACACACACTTACTTCTGTAGTTAGGAATCCTCTGGTACTTGCCTGATATTAGGAGTATAAACATGAATGTTAAGATGGTTCTTTTCTTAAAAGATCTCAGAGTCTCAGAAGAAAGAAAAATACATAAATATGCTTATTACAAGTGTTGATTATAGTGTAACATGATGAATGCCATCATTGATGTGCAGAGTGGGTATTGGGGAGGGCTCCTCATAGAAGGTAACCTTGTGACAAGCTTCCAAGGTTCACCAGGCAGCAGAGGGAAGGCAGAGTATTCCAGGAAGGGAGATAATATTTATGCCTTAATTTTAGACGTTTATTTGGGGTTTTTTTTCCTATCTCAGTGGAAGGTCTGAGTTTCCAGATAATAGCAGAGACAATATCAGTTCAGTGACAAAGAACTTCTGCAGAAATCCTGAGGAAAAGCAGAATTGAATTTTATAATTATTATCCAATAATTATATAGCTAAACAGGCATACCATTTAAAGCATTTGATTTCTGCTTCTGAACGCAAGTTATTTTTCTTTAACAGATAATGGTCATCAAATAAGTTAAATCTCAAACATATAGATTTAGACACATAAATGATGAGGTTTAGTGGATTAGGATTCTTGAGGACTCTATTCCATACCCAAGTTTGTTACTAACCGTAATTTTGAGCAAAATATGTGGTGGCTACTTAATCATCTTTAATATGACAAGGTTGAAGGGTGTGATTTCTAAGGCTCCTTTTAATTCTAGATATAATTAGAATGCATATTGATGGATACTTTTTTCCTCTGCAGAAATCTAATTTGGTGTTTCAATTTTCCTTTATGGCTTTTGAGTTCAGTGCCATGCTTAAAAGACTTTCCACATTGCAAGATTTTAAATAAATTTATATGTAAGGTTCAAAAAGAAGCTAATTTGATTTGTCAAAATTTATCCAAATTCTGAACTCTCACTTATTAAAATTCTGAACAACCTCAAACCCCTGAAATGTAATAATGTACCATGTGAAAAAAAAAAAGAGTAAAGATTTGTGGTGACCCTGTAGTTACCATAGAGTCCCCAAATGCCTTGTAACTGGGCAGTATTGCACAAGCTCCGAAAGCAGACCGCCTGCATTCAAATTCCGATTCTGCCACATGGTAGCTGTGTGACTTTGGGCAAGTTCCTTAGCCTCTCTGTATCTCGGATTTTCAGTTGCAAAACGGGAATCATATAGGACCTGTTCCTGGGGTCATTATGAGGATTAAATCCATTAATAGTTATAAAGGTCTTGGAACTGTGTTTGGCAAAAATAAGCACTCAGATTATGTCAGTTATTATGAGGATAATTATTATAAATAATCTATTTTAAAAGTGATATTAAGTTAAAACCATGGAAATGTTTTAAAATAAATGTTAATGCCATAGGAAATTCCTCAGATACAATGCTGAACAGAAACACAGGTAAAAAAAACTATATATGGTATGCTTAAAATTCCCACAGAGTTAGATATGAACAGAAAATATACTGGCAGGAATCACATAGAAGTATTAGTATGTTTGGCAGCTAGTCTACAAAGATAGCTCTCTAATGAATCATGCCTCCCAGAAGTCACACCTTTCTGTTTTCTTCTCCTTGAAAATGAGCTGGACCTCTATCATCAGTAAAATTCAGCAGAAGTGCTACTGTAAAATTCCTAAAACTAGGTCATAAGGAGCCTTGCAGCTTTTGCTTGTCTTAAAACACTTGCTCTGGGGGAAACCCACCGCCACTTAAGAAGTCCAACTACTGTGAGACCCAAATGCAGAGAGAAAGCTCAAGCTAGCTAAGTGGAGAGATGTTTGTTTCACCAGCTCTCACCGTTCCAGCCAGCCCAGCCCAGGTGCCAGACAGTGAGTGAAGAAACCCTTAGATGATTCCATACCCCCGGGCACAACTCCAAGTGAGAAATGCCTGGCTGAGTTCAGTCAACCCTCAGAATCAGGAGATGATAATACATTGTTATTTTAAGCCATCATGTTTGAGGTGGTTTGTTGTGCAGCAATAAAAAACCCAATACAATGAATTTTCTCTAGCAAAAGTGTATCATATATAAGAAAAGCAATAATTTAATCTCTTTAAATAGTTCTTTTTTCCATATAGGTTCAACAGTAAGAGTTGACTGTATTTTATGTATGTTTTTATATTGTATATTTGGTTATTCTTAATTAACCTACAAATTAATTTAACTAGAACAGCCATTCATTAGCCATGCCAAATAAGTATAAATGTATTGGACTTAGAATAATTTACATGTAAAAAATATAGAGTCCACGAAGTATATTTATTCCTGGACAAACTGTGTACAAATTCTGTACTACCTATTACAGAGAATTTCCTTTTTCTAAGACATTTTTATAAGATTTTTCTCGACTATAACAAAGGGAGGGATATTGGAATGTTTGCTTTGTTGTACTGTGCAAATCTAAGAGAATCTAAGTCTGTGGTTCTTCATGTCCCTAGCCTCAGGAATCTAATTAAAGCTAGAGAGCCTACACCTGCTCTGATCCCCCAACACACACAACACACTGATGAACAAAATGTTGCAAAGAGTATTGGGGTTTCATTCACGCAGTGAGGCCTGTGTATGGATTTTAGGATAAGAACCCAGGCTTAGGGCATTATTACTCCTCAAGCAATGTTGCAGAGTATTACACATAGACTATCCTATATATTTATGTTTGTTATATCAAAGAAATTATTTCATTATTCTAATACTATTTTATCAATTCTTTTTCAAATTTTTTATTAAAAAGTTAATAACTCTGTCAAAACAATTATCAGAGTTAAAATCTCACTGATTTGAAACTTTAGTATGTTCTTTTTTCCTTTTTCTTTTGTTATCATGGAGTAACTAGCCAGGTGATATTTTATGAAAGCATATAGAAGATATGACTGATACAAATACAGGTGGAAAAGTATAGTGAAAAACAGAGTAGTGCCTCATTAAAATAGCTGCTTAACTACTCTGTCTATGCAAGGTATAGATGTGGCACAGACCTAGGAGGCTAGAGAGGGCTTTCCTATTTATATAATACACTGTCTGGACATTGAACAAGTAATCCTTTGTGATTATAATCTTTATGTGTGTTCTGAAATGGATTGCTTCTAAGTGAAATACAACTCTGCATACTTTTGGCTTTATTAGTAAGAAAAGATATTTCTGAAGAAACTGAGGATATCTGAACTAAATTAATTAAGGAAACAGTGCACTCTTGTGATAAAATTTGATCTTTAAAATGCATATTCCTTTGAATACCAATCTAGTTTTTTAAGAAAAATCCAAAGTTTTTGAGTTGAGATTTAATGGGTGGCAGGGAGGCAGGGGAACAAACATCCCAGGATATTCATTTTTTACTGCTATAATCACTCTGTATTTCAGCAATTGATTATTATTTTCAGTTTCTAAGCATTTCATATTTGAACTAGATGAGAAGTGATAAGTATGTAGAATTTGCTTTAAATACTTGTTAATTTTGGATTTCTTTAAACTGTTTAAAACATTTATGCTGACAAAAGCTTTTCATGTATTTACATTTTGTAAATTTATATGCAGTAGAAACCTTTGAGTTATTTTTTGGAGGTGAAGAAAAACAATTTAGAGCCTGTTTACTTTTATTTCATCTGTTTCTAAAAGGATTTGTGAATATTTTATCTTGAATTGCATAGAGATAATAATTAAAATTGGGACTTTATTCCAAAGCATCTTGTTTAGATTATCTATTGCTCCATAGGATACCAACACACAAAACTCAGTATCATGTCACTTATGGATTCTGGGCTTAGTTGGGTGCTTCTAAACGTGGGGGTCTCTCCTGTGGTTGCAGTCAGATGTCAGTGGGGACAGTAGTCTTCTGAAGGCATGACTGGGCTGGATGTCCAAGGGGCTCACTATGTCTTGCAGTTGAAGCTTTTAGCTCAACACTCAGCTGGGGCTGGCAGTTGGAGCACCTACAACACAAATTCTTCATCTAACCTATTCCTCACAGCATCTCAGGTAGCCTCAGATTGGTTGCACATCTTACATGGCACATGACTTCCAACAGGTAAGGAGTCGAAGCTGCCAGGCCATTTAAGGGCTACACCTGGAACTAACACAGGGTCATTCGCACTGCATTCTATTGGTCAAAGCAGTAAAATAACCTCTCCAGATATAAAAGAATGGAACAATTAACTCCAACTCTAGACATATGAGGTGGGAGATATTGTTGTGTCCATCTTGGAAACTCAATCCACTTCACATCTTCTATAATGTTTTATATTCAATAAATTTAACATCTGTTCTATGTGTAGATCACATGTAGGAGAACATGAAAATGCCCCTTCAATTATAATGAGCTACTAAAAACTAATGCTACTTTGAGAAGTGCTGTAACAGGCACAGGATCCTGCCTATTTCACCTCTAGTGATAGGCTCCCTGCAAAAGGATCAGAAAGAGTTGTGTCTAGGTAAGTAGAAGGGGTGGAAGGGAATTCTTATTGGGGATTTTGTGCCAAGCACTATGAGATGGATACTTTACCCACACTACTTTTTTTTGTTTTTTAAGAGATGGGATATCTCTGTGTTGCCTAGGCTAGGCTCAAGTGATCCTCCCGCCTCACCTTCCCAAGTAGCTGGGACTATAGGCACACATCACTGTGCCTGGCTTTCTTCTCCATAATTTAATGAGATTTTATAGGTGAAGAAATTAAGAATTAAAATTTTTAAGTAAATTTCTCAAAAATCCTGATACTGTAAGTGGCAAACCACTTACAAACTTAGGATTCAAACTTAGGCCATTTGACTCCAAAGTGTGTGCTTTTTCTACTTTACATGCAAGAGTATTGCTCTCAAGGCTCAGAAATGAAAGTGAATGTCAAATAGTACACTGAAAAAACATAAAACAGTTCATCAGGTCTTTATTCTCATATATATCCTTCTTATAAAGGAAATAAAAATAAATTCTATTTTACTTAAAAAGATTTTTACTTAAAATGTTTTTAAACACAGACACAGATTTGAGCATTTTTATCAGATAACGTTAAATATGCATAATCTGGTTTTGCACTTCTAGCCGAAATAGTGAGGACCATGTTCTGCTAGGAGAAAAAAGGCTTTCAAAAAGCTGTCTGGTTTTATAGGGGTATTCTACTGAAGTAATTCTCAAAGTGTGGTTCTTGGACTGTCAGTTGACCTGAGAAATTGTTAGAAATGCACATCTTCAGGCCCCACCCCAAACCTACTGAATCAGAAACTCTAGGAGTATTTTTGAAAGCATTCTGGATAATTCTAATTTACCTTCATTTTGAGACCCACTACTCTACCAAAAGTCTGTTTTTGAAATATCATATTCAAAATGCAAAGACATTTTAGAGGAGGAGAAACACTGTGGAAATGGGTGTTCATTGTGGCTAAAGAGTTATCTGTGTTGTGCACATGTACCCTAAAACTTAAAGTATAATAAAAAAAAAAAGAGTTATCTGGCTGGACATCACCATGGAGGCATAGACTCAAGCAACTCTAAGATTAAACGGTCCTTTGAAGCTGCCTGTTTCACAGGTTTGTAAATGTCTGATTGGCCAGTGTGTATCTCTGGGGCTCCACCAGAGGTCTCTAGGGTGGGGGGCATAGGAATTGTTAACATCATCATTCTCTGGACACACTTTCTTGTGAAAAGTGTCATCCAGAATAGAACCCAGTTATCAAGGTTTAGTCTGAAAATGATTAAAAGAGTGGAAATTATTGCTTTCCTGGTTCTGAACATTGTACTGATATTAATGTAGCTCTACAATCTAATCACCTAATTGGATAATACGGAGCACATGAAGATAAGATGCCTAGGGTTATAAAGGAGGACACATGCTTCTTACCCAGCTTTCTGGAGCAGAAATATTTTTCCAGAAACATGATATCAAAAGTACATAGTAGTAACTAAATAAATTGCAAAACATGGTCTCCAAACTTTTTATTTTACTTTGTCTATACTGTGGAGCCTAAGCTGACTGTAAGCTCTATATTTTGAAGTTGCTGACAAACAACAGCTCCTCCAATGTTATGCCTGTATGGCTGAGCTTTCAACCTGGTAAGATTTCATCTCTCCCTATGAAATTGTACCTCACTGAGTCACCTTGTCGACTTTACAGCCTGTCCAGATATTATTGTATGTGATTCTGTCATCAGATCCATCTGCTGACCCTCCCAGCTGTCAGCGTCCTCATTAAAGGATTTGTTATATTTTGAATAAAACCAGGCAGACCTTCAAAAACCTCTCTCCACATTTACGTTGTCTGTCCAGTAACCATGTCGGAAAGAGGAAACTAGGTTCTTTTAGAATGATTCATTCTGATATCATAGGAGAAAAAATAGGTTGTAAACTGATGGCAACAGGGGAGTTGACTAGGCCAAGTGCAGACAATATGGCGTGGTGGGATTGTGGGTAAACTATTACAATACATATGTAATACTGTCCAAGGACATTAACATCCAAAAATTTTAAAATACTGCCGACCCAAAATCATATTTATAGACTGTATTCAGCACAGAGTCAGGCAGTTTGATGGCTTTGGAGAGATAAAGGAGTCTGTTTGGCTTGTCTATACTCATTTAAACTGTTCGAATAATTTTTCTTTCAAAGAATTCCATAATATACACTTTTTCCAGGAATCCTCCTTTCAAAGGAGGAATGAAATCCATCATTCTGTATTCACAATACTTAACTAAATCTAGAGTACCATGCTTAATTGGTATAGTGTAAGAGTAAACACTTTAAAGATCATCAACCACAATGACATTTAAGATAATTGGCAACAGTTATTATTTGTTGATTACCTAACATGTACAAGGCTATATGTTAGGTAATAAAGATACTATAAAATTCAAAAGTCCCTGCCCTCTGAGAGCCTGTGATTTCCAATGAAGCAGGCAAAATACACAGAAAATAATAGTAAGAATTCTGGTTTTTATATTTTATATTTTATATTTTAGGTCAACAAGTCTTAATCCTGGTAGCACATTAGGACTACCTGGGAAGCTTTAAAAAAAAAAATACCAATGTTGTGGCCCTACCCCAAAACAATTAAATCAGAATTTTTGGAGTAGGGCCGGGATATGCAAATTAAATTACAGATCTGGAAATCAGATACTGTTAAAATGTAAATTTTGTATATTATGTTTTTCTCTCATATTCTGTACTTCATTTCCCAGCTTTTATTTGAGAGACTTTCCAAGTATTATGTTTAGCATATAGATTTTCACTTTACACAATCTAGATATTCTAGATTTATTTATTTAATTATAAAATATTAGATATAAACCATATATTTTGTTATATAAACAGCAAATCTGTTTTAATACATTTTAATTTTATTTTTTGCCACCTATAAATAAACAAAATAAATTTATCTCTTTTATCCTCCAACAAATATTTCAGTGTCTCTTAGCAAAGAAGTTTCTTCTTTTAAGAAAATTAATTATATCATCTCTACAGCAAGTACATTTAAACAGTTCATCGCTAGGCATTTTAGCTGTTCACTAGCGTGCTCTTATATAACTTGTAAAGGTTGTAAATATTTAAATCTCTTCTAAATTATATTCTGCAATGGAAACAACAGACCTTATTTGGAGGCTGACCATGGAAGTGTTAGCATCCTGGCATCTCTAGTCCCCTCGGACAGCAGCTTTGAAAATTCTGGCCAAAAATCATGCAAACAGTAGTGATACAGTTAACAAGAAAAAGCTTATTCAGTGATGATAGAAATAGTGATGTGGCACAATTGTCTGTTAAACTGAAAAAAACTGTTTTTAATATTCAGGTTGTACTATACTTTTTTACCACGAGAGGTCCCTATATCCTGTTTGGTGTATTCAGGCCATTTGATGTGCATATCAGACTGTTGCAACACTTTGGTATTATTTCTGTCACTCTACATTAACCAGTTTTTTTAACATAGGAGAGCTAAACTTTTATTCCTTAGAATCAGCTTATTAAAAGAATTTCCTTTAAATCTCATCTGGACCTAGAAAATATCAGCATCAAAGGATATAAGAGTGGTGGAAAAACCAGGAAAATAAGTTACATAAAGTGGCAGTGAAATAGAATTCCTTTGGAGGTTAAGTGAAAACACAGGCTTCTTTGTGAGTTAAGAACAAACAATACCACTCCTTTCCATCTTAGGTCTAAATTCCATTTTGTTCAATCAGTGTTAATTAGTATCATAATTAAACATGACTTTTTTCATAGGCTGCCTTAATCATACATGAATAATATTATTTTTATCACTTCAGTTTGGCTATATGGTACTAATCATACTCTTGCCTTGAATGTAAGGAAACATAAATGTTCCTGTGTCTGCTCCTGCACTAATTTAGGTATTCATATGTTGAATACTTGCTCCATGCCAAGCAGAAAGATATATTTCTTGCCTTTAGAAGTTTATAGTTTCTTTGGGGGATATAATTTAATAGACAATTATAATCCATTGTAGTATGTTTAACATAACTCTTCATTTGATTTAATACCTTGACTTATTTCAATAAAAAGATGTTTCTATTTGTATAATTATGTCTCCTATTCCTTTAATAATTGGAGGTTACAAGGGGGCAAAAATATTTTCTCCATGACAGTGATCTTTTGTAGTAAGAGCAACTCATAATCTACCATTGGGTATGTGTTTGTACAGGGCTTGTCTTTTTTAGTTTGTTCATTTCAGTCTGGCTTATGAACAAAACAAGGACATCTCTGTTATGACTTCAGAGAATAATTTTATCTGATTAAATTATTATATTGGTACTCTTTTGAATCAGACATTATTAATTGAGATACTAATGCAATTAACCTAGGTAAGAAATTTAAAATATTGTATTTAAATGCGTATGCCTTGTATTTTTATTCCTTTGGAAATGTTAACAGTAGCTTTTTAATGGTAATTTATATTTTGATCACTAGATGGCACTAAGCACATATAGCTAAGAAAAAATAATTTTTTCTCAAGTTTTCTGAAAGCAAGTCTATGTTTTCAGCATTACACACTATAAATTTTTTTCTTACGTAGCCCATAAAATTCTTCTTGCTACAAAAGCTTTGTTTTTCTAAGTGAAATAATCTCACATCTGACTCCCTTAGGTATAGTAAGTTACGAGAGAGACACAGCCTCTGAAATTAGCAGTCATCCACTCATCAAACTTCTCTATTCTTAGCCATTTAGATTTATTATTATCATCTGTTTCTTAAACTGACCTTTTCTTACTAGTACTTCCTCTTCCCTGGGAAACAGAGAATATATTTTAATTTTTTTAAAGGGCTATTATATAGCCTCTGGCATGTTAAAAATAGATCCTAGAGATTCACACACAGAAGTTCCTGTAGGGCAAAATATAAAAAGAGCAAAAACTTTGTTTTTGTTTTTGGTCTTCTAAATATTATTCTCATATTGCAAAATATTATTTCTTTTGTTAGTTTTGGTCTGGTTATGATATTCATGCAATATATTTTCTGAATCATGATGCTTTAAGTTGCAAATAATAAATAACCTTAATGTTTAAGCTATTACTAAATTGAGTTATTTTACACAACCAGAGGTTGTCCAGAAGTTGAATGGTACTTCCAGTGGTGGTTAGAGTTAGTCAGTGACTTAATCAGAAATCCAGTGGTGGCCAGGCACAGTGGCTCATGCCTGTAATCACAGCACTTTCAGAGGCCCGAGGTGGGAGGATCACTTGAGCCCAGGAGTTTAAGGCTGCAGTAAGTCATGATCGTGCCACACTGCACTCCAGTCTGGCCAACAGAGCGAGACCCTGTCTCAAAAACAGAAACAAAAGCAGAAACCCAGTGATGTCATCAGGGACCCAGGTTTGTTTCCTTTCATATGTCCACTCCGCCATCTCTGGTATATCAGACTCGTGCTTTGTGTTGATGATAACCGCTGCAGTTCTACATAGAATTTATAATCATGGGAAAGTCCAGTAGTAGAAGAGGGGATATTCCCCCCTTTATAGGTTTATTTTTATCAGTGGTATACATTACTTCAGGATCCTGCAGCAAAGTTCTCCTCAGGTCTCATTTGCCATGCCTGGGTCCCCAGCACTTCCTAAACAATTCAATGACAGGAGGAGGGAATAACTGTGATAGGTGTAGACTGATAGAGACCCTTGCCCTTCCTAGCATCACAGACCCCCTCAGAGGAAGATGAAACCCGAAACAATATCAGAGCACTCCCCAGCAAAGAGGGAGATGGATGTGGGGAGGCAGACCACAATATTTGCTACCGTTTTTTGTTTTTATTTGTTCGTTTTTGTTTCACTTAAAGACTCTTCTTCCTGGCCAGGCATGGTGGCTCATGCCTGTAATCCCAGCACTTTGGGAGGCAGAGTGGGCGGATTGTGAGGTCAAGAGATCAAGACCATTAGACCATTCTGGCAAACATGGTGAAACCCCGTCTCTACTAAAAATACAGAAGTTAGCTGGGCGTGGTGGCACACGCCTGTAGTCCCAGCTACTAGGGAGGCTAAGGCAGGAGAATCACTTGAACCCGGGAGGCGGAGGTTGCAGTTAGCCAGAGATCATGCCACTGCACTCCAGCTTGGTGACAGAGTGAGACTCTGTCTCAAAAAAAAAAAAAAAAAAAAAAACAACTCTTCTTCCTGATGTCCTGATATTCTTGAAATATAACTGCCAAGTATTTCAAGTGTTTCACACTGGAGAGAGTCACGGATGTATCCCATATCTAGCTATTGCAGACTCTATCATTCAGTACAAGCTGTTTAACCTTTTTTTTTTTTTTTTTTTTTTTGTCTATGCATGTGTCCTTTTCCTAACAATTAGAGAAAGTAAAATCTTGAATCCTTTTTATCTGCTTACTAGTTCTATCATGCTCTGAGAACAGTATGTGTTATGAATCTAGTAACATTTCAACTAAATCTGCAATTGCCTGCTAAGTACCCACAACTTTAAAGGCATTGGGTCAAGCACTATGGGTAAGTCTGGTCAGGACATCTGGAAACACTGCCACCATCTGCCCTGGAGCTCAGCCAGACCCCGTGGCCACTCTAAAGGGGCAGAGCAAGCAACCCCGCTTCAGTGATGCGAGTCATTCATTGTTCCCTGTCAAATACAGTGCCTTTTGGCCTGTTCTGGCCTATTTTGCACCGATTTTTCCATTTTGATATCTCAGCACTTCTCAGAGGCTATAGAATGGCTCCCCTAGTATAGATTCCATCTGAAATAGCAAACTGTGACTCTGAGGAACTCATCGCCCTTCTTGGCTATTTATGCAAAAGATGTGATCCTGGTGCAATATCTGAGTGTTGATTTGTTTCTTGTCTGTATTCAGCAAATATTCATTGAATAATTAAAAGAGTATTTGTAACAATTGATATTTCAAATGTAAGGTTTTCTCTTACAGCATTTGAAAATGCTGATCATATTGTGTTTCTTGTGTTACCTGTTTTAACAGTTTATCAGTTCTTGTCAAATAGCCAGCGAATATTATCAACTAACATTTTCAAACAATATTGTGTTTTCAAGTAAAGAACTATTCTTAAAAAGCAAGTAGTATTGGCATAATTGCTAGGTCGGTCAAACCTTGTTCTTATCCTTTTAGTTTTATCTATAGATTTGAAAGAGATTAACTTGTTAGAGAATATATTTAGTCAAAAAATGTTTAAAAAGAAAAACCTCATTGATATTTTTATTTTTCAGAAAACTGTGGAATATATTTTCCAGAAATAAAAAGAGATCCAGGCAGATATTTACATAGTTGTCCTGAATCTGTGAAAAAATGGCTTCGACAGCTAAAGAATGCTGGGAAAATTCTTCTGTTAATTACCAGTTCTCACAGTGATTACTGTAGACTTCTCTGCGAATATATTCTTGGGTGAGTGATGAGTCATTCAGTTTTCATTGTCTTATGAAATACAGATAGCAAATTAGACCAGGGCTTTTTTAAAAGTGTCAGCCATGACCATATCATTATTTTAAACAATGCTGAGTGACAAGTTGATTTTTTTTCTCATGACATACCTCAATCTCTGCTGACAGCAGCCCAACCAAGTACATTTTAGCAAAGCAGTGTTATTGGGGACCAGTATGCTCATAGCTCACCGAATGTCCAGGTTTTAGGTTTTCTAGAAGGTGGTAAACTGTATATCCTTCAGTTTTCCATGAATTTGGTTTCTCATCTTTGGACGATGATTGAGGGACTCTGAGTTGTAGGTTATACTCCTCCACAGATACCTGGAGTACAGCCACTCTTTAGTCATTTCCGTGCGGAGCCATGTATTTTACTGTTTAACACAGCCATGATGGGATTGAATTCATGAGAATGAAGGCAGTATAATTGCATAGACTTTAAAGTAAGACAGACTTGATTTCAAGCCCCGCTCTGCAGTTTACTGTATTACCTGGGGCAGGTTTTATAACCTCTTTAAGCTTCAATTTTGCCGTCATAAAAATGGTACAGTAATTCCTTGTGGGTATGAGGGGATATTTAAATAGCATAATACAGGTAGAGAATTAGACAGGAATAGTTGATAGACTTCAGTGTGTAAATACTTATTCTTGTGGGAAATACCAGGAAATGTCTATGGTCAAAGCGAGATTCTACCTGAGTCATTAGGTCTCCCCTAATGTTTCCTCAAATTCCATCAAATACCGAATTGCCATGAGTATGGAGCAAGTTTGAGCCTTAAAACCTACCTTCACCAGCCCTTTTAGCATCATGATTTCCATGTTCCTTAGCATGTGTGGCTTTAGTTTCTTCTATGGTATGCTTAGAATCTGTGAGTAGAATTCCTGCTTTCTGAATAATATACAGGCTGATACATAATAATGCATCTTTTGGGTGAATTAAGGCTAAAGTCCTGGATGTCTTAGAAGGTGCCTCTCATAGAGACATTTGCTATCCTAGTAGTGGGCCCATGCTTTAAAATGAACAATCTGGATTTTAATTCCTTTTTTATTAGCATAGATAACCATAGTCTTTCTTCATCTTAATTTCTATGTATTGCTGTTTGGATTTGTAAAAGTATTCTAGAATGTTGGGTAAATACTGTTTCCCCCATTGTAATAGTGAGTCCTTCAGGAGAAGGGCTACCTTGCCTTTGCCATCAAAAGTAATCCTTAATATAATGCTAACTACAGATTTAAAATCATTAATTATTGTCATACAAAAGTTACCACATTATAAGACTACACTGATTGTCAAATAAAGTGTCTTCTTCACATTTGAAGCACTCTCTGAAAGATGACCATGACTTGCTATAATGCTGCTTTCTGTGGGACCCATGTAACACACAAAATTGTTAACTCTTCAAGCTAACAAAGCCAGCCAATTTCAGGCCCCCAAATTTGAAGATAGATTTTCCAAATATTTCCAGCTGTTAGAAACTATTGAGTTCACTACCAAAGCCAGCTTGGTACCTAGAGTCTATGTGCTACTCTCTTTTTTTTCCTGATTATGTTTATACTTCAAAGAGTTGTCAGGAAGACTAGTACTCACCCACCTTCTATTTCCAGTGGAATGTTCACCTTAAAGTGTGTGAGAAAAATATAAAGCATGTAAAAGTTAGTCAAAAGATGAATGATGCTGTGGTAAAATAGATAAGCAAAGATCAAGTTCTGTTTTATATGGACCTTTTCTAATTCTTAAAATAAACTTATGAAAAATTGTGTTGCTTTTAGGAATGATTTTACAGACCTTTTTGACATTGTGATTACAAATGCATTGAAGCCTGGTTTCTTCTCCCACTTACCAAGTCAGAGACCTTTCCGGACACTCGGTAAGTTACATTTGGTTTCTTTCTTTTCCTGTATACAGTTGGCTAACAACCTTGTGCAGAACACTGTGTTGCATGCAATGCCATGTCTTCTTTCCTCTCATGGGGAAGAAAAAAGATAATAAACCTATGTTTGTATTAAATTTTATGCTACCGCTTTATATCACAATTATTTCTTTGCATGTCAGTCTCTCCCCAACTTTAAAAATGAAGGGCATGA
Source organism: Homo sapiens (assembly GCF_000001405.40). Lineage (NCBI taxonomy): Eukaryota > Metazoa > Chordata > Mammalia > Primates > Hominidae > Homo > Homo sapiens. Next base: position 116,223,349 of record NC_000006.12, read on the forward strand.
ACTTCACCTTAGTTTTTAGGGCCTAAATAAATGCCTCGATAAATATTTGAAGGATGGATTACTTGTGATAAATCAGTCAAGTTATCTTCTAGAACAAAAGCGCCTGTGGAACACATGAGGATCATAACAAATGAAACATTCCTCTCTCTGGGGAACAGGCAAGGCCTTCCTGAAAGGTTATTTAGAATTGTCATTCATGTAGAAGAGACTGATAGGGAGAGAGGTGGAATGAAAGGGATTTGCAGATGAAAAAGAATGATAGTAGAGTGAGGTACTCATAGTAGGTGTTCTTGAAAGCTTCTTGAATAAATACATAAATGAATAAAAAGAAGAGCCTGATCCGGAATAGAGAAGTTATAGTTTTTGGGGAGTGAAAGACAGTGTTTTGATATCTGTTGTGTCTTTTATTTCTATTTAAGTAGTTTCAAATAAGCTCAATGATATATTAACATTTGAGGACCATTCAGAAGTTCTCTTAGGAGATGAACATCTAAAATAAATCCAGGATGGTTGGAAATTGAAACACACTTAATGGTTGCAAATGCACATAAATGTATAAAAGATTATTAACAAATAAAATTTATAGATCTACCTAGAAATCTAGCTGTATTTTAAACAGAATGATAAAATTAACATACATGCATATTATATGCAAAATATATATAAGTGTCCACCATAATATATGATTTATAATTTTACTTTTGATTCATATGCTTGGCATTATATAACAACCTGGGCCAGGTTGGACTGATATTTAATATACATTTCTCTACTTTCCCATGGCCACACACTATCCTGCTTTGAAATAAAATTTAAAATTTCCCAAAAAAGTGTTCATGTGAGTCAGATGGATTTAATACATTTATTTAATATGGTAATACAGTATTATTTACTTTGAACTTTGCTATTCAAAAGCCTGATTCAGTTCTAGGCATTTGATAGTAGCTCAGTACTCAGTGGTGGGCTTATGAACAGTGAAATCTAAGTGAGGTTCATGGTAGCACGTGTCAAGCACCAAGGCATTTTCTGTGCACCAGACAGATGTGTGAACATGTGAGCACATCAGCAAGTGCAAGGGATGCTTATGGATTGTAGCACGTGTCATGAAGCTAATAACCACCTTATGAGGTACAGTATATGGGGCAGGCCTCCTTAGAGTGGCTGGCCAGGGAAGCTCTGTCCAAAAAGGTTAGGTAGGGTGACTTGCAAGGCGAGCCCTAAGGGACAAGTGCTGAGAAGAGCAGAGGAAGAGTGTTCCTGGCAGTGGATCAAATGAATGCCAAGGCCCAGTAAGAGAGTAGTTTTGTCACATTCTAGTAACAGAGAAGAGACCTGCCATTCTGGCACATGGTCATGGGGTGGGAGGGGGTGAAGTTAGGGAGGCAGGCACCCGCATAAGCGGTGGAAAGGGGTTTAAATTTTATTCCACAAGTAACCTGAAGCTGTTCCATTGTTTGAGGCAGAAGAGTGATATAAGAGACTACTTTGGCTGCTGGGTGGGGAATGGTTTGAGTGTGGGGAAGGATGGGAAGAAGAAGACCTGGCAACTGCAGCGTCCCTAGTAAGATAACTGTCGTGGTTTGGTCCAGAGCGACAGTACTGGAAATGGAGAGAGGTAGATACATTTAAATACATTATGGAGTTGGAAAACACAGAGGGCTCGGTGATACTTAAAGAAACAGCAGACAAAAAGAAAGGAGTAATAAAAAATAACTTCCAGGTGGTTGATTTTTCTTTTTCCTCAAATGAGCAAGTGAGTAGATGGTGGTACCATTTACAGACTTGGGGAAAAATACAGAGGATAAAGTTGTGTGGAGTAGGGGTTATATCTGTTAAGAACTCATTTTTCAACATGTTAATTTTGAGATGCCTATGAGTTATGTAACTGTCACTATCAATTAGGAAATTGTATAAATATGCCTGGAGTCCAAGGGAACAAGTCTAGGCTCAAGATATGTATTGGGAGTAATCAGCTCATAGATAGGTATTTGAAGCCAGGGGATTATATGAAACCAAATATTGAGAGAATGTAGATAGGCAAAAGGCCTGGACCAAGCCCTGACATTCTCTAATATTAAAGATAGAGAAGAAAGAGTGCAGTGTGGCAGCAGATAGATTATAGTAGGGAAAACAGTAGAATACGTGTTCAGAAGCCAGAGGAAAGAGGAAAGGGTAGCCAGCTAGTCCAAATGCTACAGAAAAAGTCCACTGAAATGAGGAAGGAGAAATCTTCCCTGGGGTGGACAAGATGGAGATCACTAGTGCCTCAGTGAACAGTTGCCATAGAGTGGTGGGATAGAAACTAAATTGCAGTATCTTGAGTAGTTCATTGGAGGTATGGAACCAGGGTATATGTGCAGCTCTTTCTAGAATTTTAGCTCTAAAGGCAGTCAAAGAATTGAGGTTTTAGCTAGAAGACAGTGTAGGATTAAGGGCATATTTTATTTTTTTAAGATCGAAGATACTGGAATATGTATATGTGCTGATGAGAATGATCTGCTGCAGTGGTTTTCAACGGTGGCAGTTTTGCCCTTCAGTGCAAATTTGGCAATGTCTGGAGACGTTTTTGGTTGTCGCAACTTTGGAGGGGGGTGGAGGCTGGGTGTGCTGCTAAGCAGCCTACAGCACACAGGACAGCACCCCCCAACGACGAAGAATTATCTAGCCCCAAATCTCAGTAGTGCCAAGGCTAAGAAACCCTAGTCTAGTACAAAGAAATAGGTTGATGTTGTTTTTATATATTGGTTTAAAGTCTTATATAATAAAATCCTTGATATTAAGAAATAATCTGTTATCAAGAATTCTAATAATATTCTTATAATTAAACCAGAAAAAAATTTAAATGTTTTTCCCTACTTTACAAACTTACATTTAAATATATAAGTAAGTACCCAATAAATATTTGTTTTTATTTTTATTTTTGTGGGGTTTGCATATTTTGTTCCAAGAAAATCTATACCCCTTTTATACCCATAGTAGTATTTATGCCATTCCATAAGATTTTTATTAAAATTTCACACAAAGATACAATTAATGGAAAACTGCACGTTAAAAATATACCAAGTTTTTTTTAACATGTTGGAAATTATAAATGCATTAAATATGCTGACAATTTACAGCATTTTATGTAGTTTTTCTCTATTTAATTGAGAGTATCCTGAGAAAAAGGGTGGAGTTTTTAAAAAACGATTACTTTAGAAGTACCTATCTTAAGACTTCTGTGCAGTATTTTCTGTTAGTTGTATAGTACAATTGGATTTGAGGGCTGACATAATAATGATGTTTATCCAAACTATATATTTTTAAATATTATACTCATCAAAAGACTTGAAAGTCTTTTTGATTGAATTTATGGTATGGAAATATTAGGAATCTAAACTTTAAAAATAAGCACATCCTGATAATAAATATACCATTTTAAAAAATTGTTTTACATTTTGGGTTGTATAAACACTTAGTTTTTTAATTTCTACTTTCTCTAATTTGTATTTCATTTATTTTTTAATTGACAAGTAAAAATTATATATTTATGTTGTACAACATGGTATTTTGATATATATATAGATTGTAGAATGGCTAAATGATACTATTTAAATAGGTATTACCTCACATTATCATTTTTTGTGTGTGTGGTAAGAACACTTAAAATCTATTCTCTTAGTAAATTTCAAATATACAATATATTATTTTTAACTCTGCATTTTGTACAATATATTTCTTGGATTTATGGATTTATTCCTCCTACCTGAAATTTTGTGTCCTTTGACCAACATCTCCTAATACCCCTACCCCTAGCCTCACATAACCACCATTTTACTTTCTGATTCTATGAGTTTGGCTTTTTTACATTCCAAATGTAAGTGAGATCATATGGTATTTGTCTTTCTGTGCCTGGCTTATTTTGCTTAACATTGTGTCCTCCAGGTTCATCCATGTTGTCACAAATGACAGGATTTCTTTCTTGTTAAGGTCAAATAGTATTCCATTATGTATATATACCATATTTTCTTTATCCTTTAATCTGCTAATGGACATTTCGGTTGATTTCATATCTTTTGTGAATAATGCTGTAATGAACATGGGAGTGCAGATAGCTCAACATACCAATTTCATACATTTTGCATATATACTCAGTATTGGAGTTGCTGGATCATATGGTAGTTCTGTTTTTAATTATTTTGAAGAACCTCCACACTTTTTTCCGTAATGGCTAAACTAATTTACAATCCCACCAAGAATGTACAAGGATTCCCTTTTCTCCACATGCTCTTTAACACTTATCTTTTGTCTTTTTGATAACAGCCATTCTAATAGGTATGAGGTGATATCTCATTATGGTTTTAATTTGTATTTCCCCAATGCTTAGTGATGTTGAGCACTTTTTCGTATAACTGCTAGACATTTGTATATCTTTTTGAGAAATGTCTATTCAGGTCCTTTGCTCATTTTTTTAATTGGGTTATTTGTTTCCTTACTATTGAGATGAGTTCCTTTTATAGTTTGGATATTAACCCCTTATCAGATGTATGGTTTGCAAATATTTTCTACCATTCTACAGATTGTTTTCACTTTGTTGACTGTTTTCTTTGTGGTTGCGTAGCTTTTTAGTATTATGTAATCTCATTTATCTATTTTTGCTTTTGTTGTCTGTGCATTTCGGGATATAGCCAGAAAGTCTGATAAAAATTTCATTTTAACTAGCAGTCTACTGTGTTTCATTCTCTTCTGTGGTTTTAGAGATGAAAAATCTGGATTGATGAAGCAGGACCAAAAGTCCTACCAGTCTCTGTAATGAAGACTGTAAAGTGCTTAGCAATCTCAGCGTATATAGGATTTCATGCTTTTTGTACAGATATTTAGAAAAATTTACCTCATTTTGGCCGGGAGCGGTGGCTCACGCCTGTAATCCCACCACTTTGGGAGGCTGAGGCGGACGAATCACCTGAGGTCAGGAGTTCAAGACCAGCCTGACCAACATGGAGAAACCTCGTCTCTACTAAAAATATAAAATCAGGCGGGCATGGTGGCACATGCCTGTAATCCCAGCTACTAGAGAGGCTGAGGCAGGAGAATCGCTTGAACCTGGGAGGCAGAGGTTGCGGTGAGCCAAGATCGCGCCATTGCACTCCAGCCTGGGCAACAAGAGTGAAACTCCGACTCAAAAAAAAAAAGAAGAAAAGTTTAGCTCATTTTTATCACATCCAGGAGGGCTAGATGTCTAAGGTTCTTTCCAGCCCTTGTTTTCTAGGCCTCTGATTTAAAATATTTCAGTGGAAGAAATATTTTTTAGAATTAAACCAAAATACTTTTTTCTATTTAGAATGCAAAAAAGATTGCGAGAACTATTACTAATTACAGGATTATACTGCACATACTTTAAAATCCCTACTTCATTACATTCTCTATTATGTGTCTATTCTGCTGCTGATTCTGATTCTGATTCGTCAGCTACCTCTAACTGCTTTACCTCCATTTCTGCTACCTTTCTCTTTTAATGTTGATATTCCCTAACATTCTGTATTTGGCTCTCCTTTCTTCTCCTGTTGTCCTTCAGCTCTCTACCACTGGGAAGCTTTTAACTATCATCTATATACTGATGGTTGACATTTCCTTGTCTCTGGGCTTCACATTTCTCTGACCTTCAGAAGCCCATTTCTATCTGTCTTCTAAAATCTTCACATCCCACAGCCCCAGGGTGGCAGGAAAGTTGATGTGCTTGCAACAGCTCATTAAATCCCCATCCCATTTTAGCATGCCCCTCTTCCCATATTCCATAATTACATTTTAGTTACTTTTCCAAGCACAGACTTTAACCAAGCTAGTAAGCAAAAACCACAATTACTTTTGCACTAACCTAAAAAATCAGTCATCCTCATTTCTTCCCTCCCTTTTAAGTTGTCCTTCTGTTTTCTCAGGTTTGTCCTCACTACATTCCCACCACTGCCCGCATCATCCCTTGTGTGAAATGGCACAATATTTAAGTCATTGCTCCAAATGGTTAAAGTAAAGTTAATGCAACTGAGCTGGCTGGGATGGAAGGCACAGCGAGCCAATCACGAAACACAGCATGGCCTTAGCGAGTCGCACAGGTTTGACGTCAGCGGTTGTCATGGTAACAGGGGCAAAGATGCTGATGCCAGTGTCAGTCAGGACTGAGCTCCTCCCTCCAGTCTGATTCCTGCCAGTGCTTAAGGATGTATGGAGGGGAGAAGCGTCTTCCAAGCAAAATCTTCATCCTCTGTTCTCTATCACGTGCAGTGCGTCACCAGATCCTCGCCAGTGCTGAGGGTGGGGATACGGGGGAATCTCTGACTTGCAAGATTAAATTATCATTGGAGAGGGAACGTGTCAGCCTTGTTCACCGCAGTGTCGCCAATGCTGCTAGCTCAGTTCCTGCCCCTGCCCACCATTGGGAGAATCATGAGCCAACTCTCTCTGTCTCTCCTCTCTCTCTCTCTGTCTCGTCCCTTGGCCTTAGCTGTCACCAATACACTGACTCTGACTCCCAAATCTTTCCCTGAGACCTGTTTTCCTGAGTCTCATACGCAGTTCCTCCTCCACACTAGGCAGCTCCACTCAGTGTTCTGATATCAAGCTTGAGATTCTCCTTCCGCCTAGAAACCAAAAACAACCAAACATGCCGGTCACCTTGTGTGTATTCTTTACTTAACCATCCATTAGAATTCTCCAGCTAATAACCTCCGTTGTCTTCACCCTTTTACCTCCAGTGTGCTATGCATTAAATCCTGCTTAATATACCTGGGAAATCTCTCATCTTTGTCCTCCTCTCCCTTTCCACTAGGCCATCTAACCCCTCCCCAACCTCTCTTCACTTTTCATTAGCACAGACTTCTATTTTTGAGTTCTTTAAAATTTCCCACATCTTTTTTTATTATTTACTTAGGCACAAATATATTTAATCACATGCACACAATATCTCATTGGCTTCCATTCCATATAGCATCCTAAGGCTAATTGTACAGTCTTGTTCCTAAATTACCTTTCCATCTTCCTTAACTCTATCTCCATAAAAGTACCCTTTACTCCTACTGAAATGATTGCCTTTTATTCTTATATCAAGTTTTTGTTCTCGCTATTCTGTCAACATCAGTGTTTCTCAGACTTTCATGTACACGTGAATCACCTAGAGATCTTGTTAAAATGGAGATTCTGATTCAGAGGCCCTGGTGAAACCTTAGATTCTGCATTTCTAAATAACTTGTCTGGTGAAGCAGATGCTACTGGTTGGAAGATCACACTTTGAGTGGCATAGATATATGTAGAATGCCTTCTCCCTTTCCTCTCTGGTGACTTCCTACCTCTTATTTAAGGTCAGACATACAAATCACACCTCCTTTGCGATACCTTCCTTCTGCAGCTCCAGTCAGAGCTGTTTCCTTCTCTGTATTGTTTAGTGCTTTCACTTGGCTACAGTTGGGAAATTGTCTGCTGAACTTTGTCAGCGGATGTTAGTGCTGAGGGGTGCAGCTGTCTGCAGGAATCTTTCTGTCTTTAGCACAATTCCAACAACATTAACAGCTCCCCGAATGAAGGAGGCTGAATCCATCAGCGAACTAGTCAACCCCATCTCCACTAAAAGTACAAAAAATTAGCTGGGCGTGGTGGCAGGTGCCTGTAATTCCAGCTACTCAGAGGCTGAGGCAGGAAAATCGCTTGAACCCAGGAGGCAGAGGTTGCAGTGAGCCGAGATAGCGCCATTGCACTCCAGCCTGGGCAATAAGAGCGAAACTCCGTCTCAAAAAAAAAAAAAAAAAAAAGAACTATGAATGAATGGTAAATCCCCCCCCCAAACCAAAGTAGATAAGAGTAAGAATCACACTTTTTCTTTAATAGTATAATTGTCCTGTTATAGCCCTCAACACAAGCATTTTACTAGACATTTTACTTGAAAAATGTCTTACCTGTCCATGCCAAGAAACAGAGAAAGTATGTATGAAAATGAACAACTGGAGAAAAAAAAGTCTAGCCCAGAATTGAGGAAGGGATTTATAAAAGTAAATATGAACTGTTTGGTCAAATTTACATATATACAGAAAGGAATCCTAGAAATAAAAATTGTAAATATATTTTTAATCATAATTCATTATTTAGTAACCTCTAACAAGTCAGAGATTGCCACCAGAATATAAGCATCCTTAGGGAAGAGATGTTTAGGGCAGAGACTTGAGCCATCTCATTCACTGCTATATCCCTACTGACTAAAACAGTCTGTGAAATATAGTAAAAATGAAGAATGAGACGAGAAAGAAAATGAATTGTATTTCTAGCTCAGATTCTGTTTGACTCCACCAGGCTGTGCAGATCCTCTCATGTTTGTAACTTTTTACTTGTAACAGAAAAACATTGGCAACAACCCACATGTCTATCTATAGAGGACTATTATTAATAAATAAATAATAGAACATGTGTAAAATAGAATGAAATGCACATATTTTAAAAGGAGGTAGATTACACTGTGCTAGCTATAAAATAGTTTAAAAATAGCAAGTTGCAGAGCCTCATGCAGATTATTCTAATAATAGCATTTAAAAGCGTTTTAAAATTATTAGTATTATATTAGTTTGCTAGGGCTGCCGTAACAAAATACCACAAACTAGATAGCTTGAACGATGTATTTTATTTCTTTGCAGTTCTGCAGGCTGTGAAGTCTGAAACCAGGTTGTAGCAGGATTGGTTTCTTCTAAGGCCTCTCTCTTCTTGGTTTGTAGATGGTTGTTTTCTGCCTGTGTCTTCACATAGTCTTTCCTCTGTGTCTATCTGTGTCCTAATCTCATCTTCTTAAAAGGAGACTATTGGATTAGGTCCACCCTGAGAGTCTCATTTTAATTTAATCCAGCCTTTAAAGGCTCCATCTCTAAATAGTCACATTCTGATATACTAGGGGTTATTATTTTAACTTATGATTTGGGGAGAAACATAATTCAGGCCATAACAAGTATATACATATGCTGAAACTCATCAAATTGTATGCTTTAAATATATTCCATTTATTGTATGTTGATTATGTCTCAACAAATGTGTAAAAACATGGAGGAAAAGAATATACTCATATTCGTATTTGCTTTTATATGCATAAAAGAGGAGAAGAGGTGAGTGCATACCAGATAGAGTTCAAAAATAAGACTTAAAAAACATGTAAATATATTACTGATTCAGAAAAAAATCTCATAAATGCATATTTTTAAACATTAATAAAGTAGTGACACCAAGCACTTGGGGAGTTTAGGGGAGGCAGCAGTCTCTGTGAGTTGAGGTTAGTGCTTCTGGCCTACAAAACTTCTCACAGATTCTGCTCTCTGTGGTAAGTTTTGCTTAGCTTTATTCAAGGCTGTCAGTCTAGCCTTGACTGTATCATTGTCCCATATCTACTTTGTAACTATTATACTGTCAAAAACTTTACTGTTTTTTAAACTCGTCTTGTCCATATGTTCTTACAATAAGAAAATAAAAAGATTTACTTCATTGTAGTAAGACATAGCTATATTTAGGAATAAATTACAGTTTCCAAGACAGCTTTAGTTTTATTTATTTGCCTAAATTGATGGCTCCTCCATCTCTTTATCCAACCTTCATTTGTTTCTTAACTTCATTAGGTCAGTTTTTTGGTAGTTTGTAGGCTAAAAGAAAAGATTTGAGCTTTGTTCTCCTATGAGTTTTCTCCTTTGTAGTTATTTTATAACCCAAACATCTATTAGTGATTAAGTTAAAGGGTTTGAGGAATAATTTGTATATCTTGTAGAACTTTGGTATAGAAAATTGTCCTAATAATATATTTTTATAGAAAAATGTTTTCAATTAATACATTTTACCTAACTGTTAAGATTGCTTTAATTAAAGCTGGGACAGTGGAATTTTAGGAAAGTAATACAGGTTTGCTGTTTTATCAAATAAAGTTTTTTATCAGTGAATTTGAGGGACATTGTGAAAATAATAAACTATAAAATTCAGTTCAAAGGGCATTCTAAAGCCCTCCTTCTTTTCTTCATTCATTGCTGACCTGTTTTCAATATATATGGAAGATTGTAACAGCACTAAATTTGAGCCTTATATAAAGATGCCATAGGAGGTTGGCTGAGGCTCCATCCTAAGTGAGAATTGTTCGTTTGCGGGTGTCCTCAGGGATGCCAGATAAAGGTTTATTCTGTGCTTTAGTTGTTTCCTGTTTGTGGCAATACCATGGGACACATTCAGGTCCAGGAATCCAAATTCGGAAATGCTCTCTGGGAGTATCATCTTACTTTGTCTTCTAGCCCCAATTTGAAATCCTTTGGAATAAGGAGGCAAAGTGCATTCTTGTCCTGGCTCTTACTATAACATTTCAGTGACTTTGGGCAGATTCCTTAACTTTTTCAGATATCAGTTTATTCACCTGTAAATTGAAGGGATTATAGCTAAGACTTCTTAAACACTTACTTTGTGGCAGACACTTTTCCATGTGCTCCATTTTTATCTGTATTAATTTATTTACACAACCACTCTGTGAGGTAAGCATTGTTATTATCCCCATTTTAAAACTGTGGAAGCAAATTATCATCACCATCTATCCCCTTTGTCTTCTTTATTTTTTTCTATATCTTCTAACGTTTATCTTTCTATATCTTATAACTGTTTTTTTTTTTTTTTTTTGAGACGGAATCTCATTCTGTCATCCAGGCTGAAGTCCAGTCTGCAATCGCCACCTCCTGGGTTCAAGCAATTCTCCTGCTTCAGCCTCCCGAGTAGCTGGGACTACAGGCACGCACCACCATGCCCGGCTAATTTTTTGTATTTTTGGTAGGCACAGGGTTTCACCATTCTGGCCAGGCTGGTCTTGAACTCCTGACCTCGTGATCCACCTGCCTCAGCCTCCCAAAGTGCTGGGATTACAGGTGTGAGCCACCATGCCTGGCCCTTCTAACATATTTTTAATTATACTTTTTAAAATGAATATCCTCATTGTACTCTTTGCAGGACACTGTTTTTTGGGTTGGGGTGGGGGTTGTTTGTTTTTAGACAGGGTCTACTTCTGTCACCCAGTGGGGAGTGTGGTGACATGATCTCGGCTCACTGAAACCTCTTTCTCCGGGCTGAAGCTATCCTCCCACCTCAGCCTCTCAAGTAGCTGGGACTACAGGTGTGCAACCCCATACCCAGTGAATTTGTGTAGTTTTTGAAGAGACTGTGGTTTCACCATGCTGACCAGGCTGGTCTTGAACTCCTGGACTCAAGCAGTCTGCCTGCCTCAGACTCCCAAAGTGTTGGGATTACAGGTGTGAGCCACCACACCCAGCCTACATTTTTAAATATTATGTAAAAATAGAGATTTAGGTAACTATTTTTGATTGACCTTACAAAGAAGTACAGTGTACTATCTAAATAATGTAAAAAGTGTTTATTTGGGTTTATAAACACTGTGCTTGAAACTTTCCTGAGTTTGTTCCTCTGTACTGTACAGCTTCCACCTCAGTTCTGCGGCTTTCACAGTCCGAACAGGCTCTCTACTGCAGGAATTAATAATTCTCTGAGTCTTGCAGCTTCCTAGCTGTGGAGGCTCTGCCAAAACCCGCAGCCTCAGCTGCCCTTGTAAATTAATTATTCCTTAAGGCAGCCTCCAGTATAGGGGCTGGAAACAGGGAGGGGAGGTAATGTTTGTATAAAGTGAATTTTTTGTTTTGACTTGATTTGGGTTTTTTTTTTTTTTTTTTGCTTCCTATTAGATTACTGAGTCTCAACATTTAAGAAGTTATAATACTATGGATTTTTTTAAATTTTTCATAAGTAGTAGAAAGATTCTCTTCCCGTTATCCTTGCAAAGTAGATATCTACATATCAACTGTGAGTCTTTTCAGAAGTATTTCTGTAAATTATTCATTTCCAATTGCCATCAAATTCACATTATTTGCGTAGTAAGACATTTCAGTAAATAAACAGACATGAGAAGTGATCACTTTTTACTGTGTTTCTCCAGGAATATGCTGAATCTTCTTAGACCCTTTTAATGTTAGGCTAGTACATGATTTTGGCTTCCTATCTATTCTTTCTTTAAAGAATAGTGGGATTTTCATTTGATTTTGCAGAAGAATTTTTAAATGACTGCTGAAATGGCAGCTAGATAGGCATAAATATTTATTGAACATAAGCTGCTAGCTGCTGTGATTTGGCTGTAATTATCTATAAATGTAGTTTTAGAATTTTGTTTAAAATATCTGAGGTTATGCAGAAATGCACTTTATTATTGTGACATTATTTGACTCATTTTTGTAGTAGAATGAATAAATTATATTTCATTTCAGTTATAATGATCAAACTTTAATTTGTAAATCTTAAATTCTCTAGTACCAGATTCAAGATGTTTTTTGTTATAAACTAAGCAGAGATTTAATGTTGTTGTCTGTGACTTTTACATATAGTATCTTTAGGGAAAATTAGATCTTAGTTAAAGGTACTAACATTGCCAGAGATGTATTTTTAATGACTGGCATAACCATCTTTGCCTCCTTTCTAAACCCTTTGTTTTCTGCCTGTCCTACTCCAGGGTTGATTTACAATAAAGCCAATGAAGCTTAAGCTTTAAGACCCCCTCATTTATCTCTTCCAAATCCTAGCAGGGACTATGGTAATTTTGTATTAATTCTGTATTTGTTCTCTTAAAGAGGACCCTTCTAATTATATAAGCTTCTGTATACACAACCTCTGTATCCAGCATAGGATTGTATCTCATAAGATTCTTCTTAGTGGCACAGCAAAGAGGACCAAAAAAGTGGGGGGAATAAACCTTTTTAAAATCAGAAATCATACAGTTGATGTGAGAAAAAAGAGGTTATTTTTCTCCATACAATTTGCAAAGCTGTATCAACAGCTACCAAAGTCTCTGCTGATAGATATATCATGTATTTCATAAAACCTTACTCAATCTTCCTTAATCATCATGCTGGTAGGCAGATTCTCTTCAGCTTTTCAGCTCACGTACAAGTAATAGAATAGCCGGCAAAATTCAGAGAGGCAAAGACATTTACCTCTTTCACTAGCCCTGCTTTAACAGGAGTAGGAAGGTAATGTGCTGGGAGAGGACAACTTGGAATGGTCCACAAACTTGTGCTTTGGCATCAGATAGTCCTTTCATTCCCCACCCACCCCAAGCTGGTACTAGGGTAAAGCATTTGAGGCACCAAGGGTGCAAAATTTACATCTGAATCTGATAGACTACTAATTAAAAACTTACCTTCCTCACCCTCAATTCTAAAAAATTAACACCTAATGACTTTCATTGTGTTATTTATTTGGTAAACCGTTTTGTAGCAGTAGGGGCATGATGTCAAGCAGAGGCATGATGTCAAGCAGATGTCTGTCTAATCACTGAATAAATCACTTACCAGCATTGAGATCCTGGGCAAAATAACTTCCTTGAACCTTATTTTCCCCAATTAAGAAGGCCACGGGATTAAAAAGTATATACCTATAAGGGCCTTATAATATGTAGGTACCACTGAATGTCAGCTCCTTTCCCCACAAGGTTCTTGTTTGTACATGTCCTGTAGCCATGCCCTAAGTGTGGTCTGCCCAACTGGCTACTCTCACTTGATTAAAAAGTATATGATTGTCAAACTGTATTTTCAGAGAATGATGAGGAGCAGGAGGCACTGCCATCTCTGGATAAACCTGGCTGGTACTCCCAAGGGAACGCTGTCCACCTCTATGAACTTCTGAAGAAAATGACTGGCAAACCTGAACCCAAGGTATTTCCCAGTTGAGGAGAAGTCCTCAGTGCCCACTTGCAGACATAAGCAGTTGTGAACTGCCAAATCTCTCCTCTTAATTCTTCTGCTTAAATAAGCCTTTCCTTTGTCAATGTAGACAGGCTGTCTATCTGTGATAGAGAGGAGCAAGGATTCCAAGCAGGGCACCACAGATTTAGGGGGTGTATGAGTGTGTAGGATGCCTGTGGAATGTTATCCTGATAACAATCTATCCAAAAAGTTTCCATATATAAAACAAACAACTGAAATTATGCTACAGACTAGCTTAAAGATACACTTGTTTTTGACAGAATGATCACATTGTTGATGTTGGACATTGGTGCATTTCTAACAGCAGAACCCTTTCTTCTAAGAAAATATTTACCAGAATTTCTGTGAGCTGAGAGATCGTGGGGTAACAGAGCCCTGCTCCATTGGCTGTCACCATGCCACAGTCTCCTGGGGACTCCTGAGGGTTAATGGATGGAGCAGTCTGACTTGCAGATGCTGATTCTCATATCCCTTAACTCTGTTTTCACATCTGAAAATTGAGAGGTATGGACTCAATCAATGGAGTCCTCAGACTCCATTGCCTCAGACTACCTAGGGAACTTTCCAGATTCAACATGCCCAGCCCCACTCTCACAGATTCTGTTTCAACCAGTCTGGGGTTGGGCCCAGAAACTTGAAAAGTGGTTGTGATTTGCACTTTTAATAATCTCTAATCCACTATAACAAGTTGTCTCTAATACCTCACCAGCTCTTCAACTGCAGGGGCCATTTTATTAATAATTGTAAACATCTATGTAAACATATAGGTTCACTTCTTTAGGAAAATTGAATAAAATCACTTATTTCACCTTATGCTGTCTTCCACCTGTGAATGTGTTGTATAACTTCTTAAGACAAATCTGGCACCCTGTGAATCAAATGAGACAAGTTGATGGTCACCTGTGAGATTATTCAAATAAGTGAAGATGTTTATGCAATTTTTGATTGTCATACTCTGATGCCTGTTGAGAAATTTTCTTCTTCCTTATATGAAATAAATGCCACTTTCACAATTCTGTGCCTCAAACAGCATCTGCTATCTGTCTTACAGGTTGTTTATTTTGGTGACAGCATGCATTCAGATATTTTCCCAGCTCGTCACTATAGTAATTGGGAGACAGTCCTCATCCTGGAAGAACTCAGAGGGGATGAAGGCACGAGGAGTCAGAGGCCTGAGGAGTCAGAGCCTCTAGAGAAGAAAGGAAAATATGAGGTAAGGGTTCCCTGCAGCTCTTTCCTTGAAAGACAAATATTTATGTTTGAAAGCTAAAGTATCTTTATACTACTTGACTCCAAAATTGTCCTGGTCAGGCTGAATACCATCATGTTAAAAAAAAAAAAAAAAAAAAGAGACTAATAATTTGAAACTTTGTATTAATTTTATTGACTTCATGTTCCATTTGTATTGAAAGCAATAAATAATAATTCCATCCTCATTCCTTTCTAAAAAATAAATACTAAATATGAAAATTAGACCAAGTTGTTTTTTAACTACCCTTTAGACATCATCATCATCATAATAGAATAGAGAGTTATTTTTATTATAGGGAAAAAATTATGTTTTCTAGGTTGCTTTGTTTGGGCTAGTTTTCAGATAATAACCAATTGACCATATAAAAAGCTAGTTTGTGTTTAAAATAAAGGATACTTCATAATAAGGAGGAAATATTATTCCTGTTCCAAAAATTTAATGTGGGCCCAAAGCCTATTTGTAGATTCCTACAGGGTTTCAAAGTTTTTATTTACTTAATAGACAAAAAAATTATGAGATTGAACATTAGTTAATCACCATTTTAATTATTCTGTTCTCTTGTTTCAGGGACCAAAAGCAAAACCTTTAAATACTTCATCTAAAAAATGGGGCTCTTTTTTTATTGATTCAGTTTTGGGACTGGAAAATACAGAAGACTCCTTGGTTTATACATGGTCTTGTAAGAGAATCAGTACTTACAGCACTATTGCAATTCCAAGTATTGAAGCAATCGCAGGTAAGGGGGAAAATACCTATAAAGCTTCACCTGTTACTAGACAATAATGACCAGTACTAGAATTCTTGTCTTTAAGAAAAAGAAATGTTGCCACAACATTGATTTATCTTTGGGGAAAAATCTTCTAGATATGGAACCTAGGTAATTAGGACCAGCACTTCTGTGGGAGGCAACTACAAAAGCTCAACAATTTTTTTTTTAAGTCAGCTTGGAGGCATATTATAAAATTAGGGAAAGAGTTACCAGGACAAGCTGCTGAGGAGGCCCAGTAAGGTGAACCTGGCATTTGAGGCTGCTTTTCCCCCTGGGTATTTGCTGATTCCGGAGGCGGCACCACAGAGGGTGAGTGGGCCTTTCAGTAACTTCATGAATCTACAGGAATAGGAACTGGAGGAGAGGGCCTGCCTAAGGAGGGTGGGTCTGGTGAACTCCCTCAATCTATGTTGAGGCCTTGAAGGGCTTTACTTTAGAATAAGGATGAATTGAGAAGAAATCTCCATTTTCACAGGGACTAAAACTCAGCTTGAAATCAGCTAAATACCTAAAATTGGATTGAGGAGATTTCAGATTATTAGTGCCCCTGCACACCTGGTAGAAACAAATATAGATTCTCTTTTGAGGAAGATAACATCATTCTAGGACTCAAATTATTTCTAAAAACAATTCATATAAAATTCAGTGCATAATGAAAAATAGCCGGGCACATAAAGATATGAGACCACACTAACAGAAATAACCATGTTAATTATAGTCAAATACAGAAAAGGAAGGAATGAGAAATTTGGTAGAGACAAAAACTATTGTATAAACTGTGGTATAAAAAGAATGGAGATTGTAGAATTTAAATATTTAAAAAATGAAATTAAGAACTTAACAGATGGATTTAACAGCGAATTAGACACAGATGAAAAGTCAGTGCACTGGAAATTAGGTCAAAAGAACATATTTGGAATGAAGCAGTAAGAGAAAAATCATAAAAGATACAGAAGAGAGGCTGAGACATAAAAGATATAGTGAGAAGGAGTAAGATTTCAGGTAAGATATGCACTGAATTTTATGTGAATTGTTTTTAGAAATAATTTGAGTCCTAGAATGATGTTATCTTCCTTCTGTATTCTTGGGTTTCACATTTTCGGATTCAACCAATTGTGGATAAAAATTATTCAGAGGAAAAAAATAATAAAACAATACAACAATTTAAAATGTTACAAATTTTTAAAAATATAGTATAATAACTATTTACATAGCATTTACATTGTATTGGATATTAAGTAATCTAGTGATGAATTAAAGTATACAGGAAGATGTATGTAGGTTTAATGCAAATATTATGCCATTTTCTGACTTGAGCATGCACAGGCTTTGGTATCCACAGGGGTCCCCTGCAGTTACTGAGGGGCATCTGTGATTGGAGTCCCAGGAGATGAGAGAATAAGTGAGATGAGAGAAAATGATGGGGAAAAAAATAAGCCAAAGGTTTAAGAAGCCCAAAGAAATGAAACAAAATGAAGAAAAAATAAATTCAGAGTTAACTGCTAAATGCCAAAGATAATTAAATATTAAAAGCAATCAAGAGCATAAATATAGATTAAATAACAGATTGACATCTGACTTATCAGAAACAGAGGAGAGTCAAAGACAATAGAATGATAGCTTTAAATTGCTGAAAGAAAATGATGTGAATCTTGATGGAATTATATACCCAGTTAAACATTGTAAAGAATAAAAGTAAAATATTGGCCGGATGTGGTGGCTCACGCCTGTAATCCCAGCACTTTGGGAGGCCGAGGTGGGCGGATCACCTGAAGTCAGGAGTTTGAGACCAGTCTGGCCAACATGGTGAAACCCCGTCTCTACTAAAAGTACAAAAATTAGCCGGGTGTGGTAGCAGGTGCCTGTAATCCCAGCTACTCTGGAGGTTGAGGCAGGAGAATTGCTTGAACCTGGGAGGCAGAGGTTGCAGTGAGCTGAGATCACACCACTGCACTCCAGCCTGGGTAACAGAGCAAGACTGTCTCAAAAAAAAAAAAAAAAAAGTAAAATATTTTTAGACAGGGAATAATAGAGAAAATGTATGTCCAGAAACCTGCACTAAAGGAAATAAAGATTATTATTCTCCAGGTACAATTAAAAATAATTCATGTCAGAAGACTGGAGATGCAAGAAGAATGTATATAAGTATATGGTGTAAGTATATGAATAAAAAATGAATGCTTACTGTTTGAAACAATAAAAATTAAAGTCCCATGGGATTTACATAGAGAATTAAAATGCCTGACAGTAATGGCATATATATGCCAGAGTGGGGCAGCAAAAATTAACATGTTCTAACATGCTAGAATTAAACAATTAAGGATAAGACTATGTTCAGTATTGAT
Organism: Homo sapiens; assembly: GCF_000001405.40. Classification (NCBI taxonomy): domain Eukaryota; kingdom Metazoa; phylum Chordata; class Mammalia; order Primates; family Hominidae; genus Homo; species Homo sapiens. The sequence continues at coordinate 116,241,502 of NC_000006.12, forward strand.
GTCAGAAATGCATGTTGTAATCTCAAAAATAACTCTCAAGAGAATTGTGATGATATACATATACCAAGCTAATATGTAAAATAATTTAAGAATCTAAAAGAAAACAAAGGAGATGAGAGAATATTAAGAATCAGCAAGACGGCCGGGTGCGGTGGCTCACGCCTGTAATCCCAGCACTTTGGGAGGCCGAGGCGGGAGGATCACCAGGTCAGGAGATCAAGACCATCCTGGCTAACACGGTGAAACCCCGTCTCTACCAAAAATACAAAAAATTAGCCAGGCGTGGTGGCGGGCGCCTGTAGTCCCAGCTACTCAGGAGGCCGAGGCAGGAGAATGGCATGAACCCGGGGGGCGGAGCTTGCAGTGAGCCGAGATCGCGCCACTGCACTCCAGCCTGGGTGACAGAGCAAGACTCCGTCTCAAAAAAAAAAAAAAAACAAAACAAAAAAAAAAAAAAACAAAGAATCAGCAAGACAAATGGAAAGCATTTAGTAAAATGTTTAATTTAAACCTGAAGTAATTACATTAAATGTATGTGACCAAATACTCCAATTAATAGCCAATTTTAAAAAAATAACAATACCCGGCAGGGCACGGTAGCTCAACGCCTTGTAATCCTTGCACTTTGGGAGGCGGAGGCGGGCGGATCACGAGGTCAGGAGATCGAGACCATCTTGGCTAACACGGTGAAACCCCATCTCTACTAAAAAATACAAAAAATTAGCCGGGTATGGTGGCGGGCGCCTGTGGGAGGCTGAGGTAGGAGAATGGCGTGAACCCGGGAGGCGGAGATTGCGCCACTGCACTCCAGCCTGGGCAACAGAGCAAGACTCTTGTCTCAAAATAAAAATAAAAAAATAAAAATAACAATACCCAATTATAAGTTGTTTATAAGAGATATATCTGAGACATAAGGATTCAGAAAGTTTGAAAGTTTAAATATCAAAAGACGGACGAAATAATACCATGCTAACAGTAACCAAAAAAAAAAAAAGAGAGAGAGAGAGTGGCTGCATTAATATGAAACAAAGTAGATATTAAGGGGAAAAATGATTAGCATGAGAGAGATCACTTCATAATTATAAACTCCTAGTTCTCAGAACTATATAACTGCCAGTCTAAGATACTCACAAAGTCCCCTCTCCTCTCTCAGGTCAGAATTTAATCTTTCCATTTTCACAATACCAAGAAAATGCCTAAAAAAGAAAACATCCACTCTCCTTTATAGAGGCATATGCTTTCCGCTTGGATTCTTAGTTTGCAAATTTCCTTCAGCATTTGGCAAAGGGTTTGAGGAGACAACCAGCAGAGTCCAGTTCTCTGACCCTTCCTTTACAGTGGTCCTAGCCCCTCAATTTTTGTCTCTGCAGCCCTGCAAGACTGTCAAAATCTCTACTGGTTTTTCTGCTGCTTGTAGTAGCCCTTACCACCAGCCAGAATTCCAGCACCAGAGGAGAAAAGCTGAGGCTTAGTGTTAGCTCCTCTCTCCGCTGGTTCCTCCTTCCCAAGAATTGTGCCTCAAGTCTTGGTTGCCTCTTTAGCTCTCTGGTGACACTTCAGTCTCGTGTTTATATTTTATCCAGATTTTCCAGTTGAAGTTAGAAGTCTAGTTAATTTTTTTGAACTTCCGATTCTTCTTCCTTAAATTGAAGAAAGTTGCCATGTTGTATGTATTAAAATTCTTATTTAGCTAAGCATTTGAAGATTATTCTTAGTAACCCTCATCCTGTGACTATGAAGAAGATTATTAGGTCTCATTCACCAGTTTTACATGATCCTCTGAGGAGGGCCTGGGAGTTTTTTTTAAATTTTTATTCAGATAAGCTTTCATATTTTTGTATTAACTTCTGTGCAGAGTATTAAAATTAAACTCACATAGAGCTCGGGATGATTTGAGATATCTCTAAATGTGATTTGACTTAAACATTATTATAAATTGCATAGAGAAAGATATCTAACTCTTCATCCTAAGTGACCTTTGATAGACCTTTTCTGTAATATGGGAGAAAGAATAAAATTAAATTGTTTTAAATGAGATAGGAAGTGAAAAATAACCTGGTACATCCCTTTTGCCTCTTAAAACCTTTTTATATTCAAGTAATGTTTCTATACTTGTGGATATTCTGTTAGACATGGTTATCTCATTCACATTTAAATGCCTAGAAGCCTTTTTTATAGCTGTTGTAAAAGTTTGTCTTTATTAGCCATATGTATTACAATGGTGGTTGGTTTATACACATTTTTAACCTTATAATAATAGCTACACACAGACCTACTGAAGGAGCAAAAGAAATATTAAAATTTTACGTCTAAAAAATAAGTTTTATTAGTGAATATCAAGTTTTGATTTGTTTATGAAAGGCATTCAGAGACCTGTGCAATAATTAAATTTTTTTTTCCTCCCCAGAATTACCTCTGGACTACAAATTTACAAGATTCTCTTCAAGCAATTCAAAAACAGCTGGCTACTATCCAAATCCTCCACTGGTCTTATCAAGTGATGAGACACTGATATCCAAATAAGTTGTCTTTACTGAAAAATGAAGTGAAGACCCATATATGCAGTTAAAAAAAAGTTAATTTTCAAAAAATACTGTAAAAGACTTTAAGGAACAAGTTTTATTGACCAATAAGTTGATATTTGTCCATAGGTCTCCTTTCTATAAATCATCTTGATGTTTAACAACTCTTATTATATTAAAATCTCAGTATCCTAAAACTTAGAACCTTATTGATATTTTCTATACAGTAGTTTTGTGATTAGAATTCACCTGGGGACACACACTCACACGCACAGTCACTCTTACACATATGCCTAGTCCAGTGGTTCTCAAAGTGTGATCCATAGACTAATAGCATAGCATTACCTGAGAACTTGATAATGCATATTTGCAGGCCCCACGCAAAACCTGCTGAATCAGAAGCTCTGAGAGTAAGGCCTACCAATCTGGTTTAACAAGCCCGTCAGGTGATTCTGATTTACAGTACAGTTTGAGACCCACTGGCTAGAACATATCCTCCAGAGACTTGGCTTAATTGGTCTGGGTAAATATGGCTGAGCGTTGTTATCTTTTGTTATCTTTTATATGCCCTAGGAAAGTACAACCAGAATTGAAAACCAACTGATCTATACCAGTTCTTTCAATTAATAGTCAAGAACATTGAGTCCAGTGAGATTAAGTGATTTTTGCAGGCTATGAGGTTTTATGCTATTCCTGTGTTCTCCAAAACAAGAAAATAAAAAGACATGACTTATTCTCTGTTCATACAGCAAGTATGGAAAAAAGATGATCTAGAAGTCAACTATCTCAACCTCCATTGTTACCCACTAGGTTTTTTTCTAATAATGTTAAAGGCTATTTAATTTATTTAATCAACTTTAAGCATTACATTCTCAATTGGGGACAAAAATTGGTTCTTGGGGTGAAAAAATATTAGATATGGCTTGTGGACTTCCAATATCATCCTATCCAACAAAATCTTATTCCTTAGTATTAATTTATCTCATTGGGAAGAAATTTGTAGTTAAAACTATTTAATGTAATTTGAATTTAATTTCTGTAATTGGGAAGGAGGGTAATAATGAACAAAAAGTTTGAGAAAAAAATGCTTTAATGGGTTTTACAGGCATGCTACAATCCAGGACTGTGGTGTTCTATGTGCCGTGTATGGTCATATTAGTAGCTATTTGTTGCAAGATACTTGAAGCCAAATGTTTGCAGTATAGGTTCCTGGCTACTGTTTATGCTGTGATTTCACTCTGTCTATCATGGGCAGTATTAGAAAACACACTGGTTTTCACTATCTGGTTTACAAACACTATCATTATTTTACCTGGATTGAAGTGCAGAATTTGGCATATCGATGCATGCAATGGAAAGAAAAAAAATTTGTTAAAATTTGTAAATGTTCAGCTAAATCTCAGATATACTGTGGGATGAGTATCTCAGGGTAAGTAACAAAAAAACAAACAAAAAAAATCACTGAAATTTTTCCCTCACAGTCAGTAGCTTTGTTTGATATTTAACAATAAGTATATGGTGATATACTTGAAATTTATGTCCAGAATGTCACTGGAATATTACAATGAGCATAAATAATCAAGCTTAGGACTAAATGAAAGATACTATCTCATGTATGCTTTAAATAGAGAATTTATTTCTTTTAAAAATAAAGCTATCTTTCCTTATCCATGTTTACTCTGTAAATGGCAAATAATACATCTTTAAATGCTTATGAACTACTGTTAATATGAAAAATGAGAAGTCCAAAATAAGAAATAACTGCACTTTTTGGGCCACTTGAGTAGTGGCGGGGGTTCAGGAGGCAGAATTCAGTTGTCAGAAGTTCTAGTATTCCCTTTATCATTCCACCTAAAGACCCTGAACAAGTTACCACCAAATTTGGCTTCAGTTTTTTCCATCTTATGAAAGGAAAAGTTTAGTTTATTTCTAAATTTCCTTCCTTTCTAGCAGTCAGTATTTCTTCTAATGAATGTTTTTTTTCTGTAATTAGAAAGACTATAATTAGGCTTTTTAAATTTGTATTTTCATTCTTTGTAAAGAGTGCCAATGGATATGAAGATTAAAAATAATCCAAATCCATAAAAATTAAAAAGAAAATATTAAAGAAGTTATATGAAGCAAAAAAATTGTATAAATGGACAGAAGACATGTAATATTCGCATACAGGCAAACATTCATAATCTAAAGGACACCTAAAAATAGATGTAAGCGAGCGGAGGTTTTCTTTGCTGGCCACTGTTTATCGCATCAGCAGAGGAAAGATCTGAATGACTCAGTGACCAAATGTTTTGTCAGAATCTGGTATTTGGAATACTGAGGTAGTAAAAACTTTATCTGAACCATGAATTACAATCTAAAATCAACTTCTGAGTTTGTTAAACTCTAAACTGAAATCAAGTATTATTTCCCCACCAATATTCATATCCAAAAATAACTTTAAATACACACACACACACACACACACACACTTTTAGTGAACTGGTTTGAATGAAAATAAATTTATATAATTATTTTATATAACAAATCAGCATAAAATGGAAAATCAAACTGCCTCTCTAGATATAATAACCTTCACTGACTGTTGGAAATACATGGATAGCTTTTTAAAATCTTCAGTGTTGGAGTAACAGTCCCTTACATCTTTTCAGCCTCTTGAGTACAAGAAGACTATCATAAGAGTTAGTTCCAGATTGGTGCAAGACTGGAATACACTTGACTGCTTTTATTAAAGCCATGAGGGCATACCAAGTAATTCACCCAGTATGGTCTTATTGCCACCCTTGAAAATCCCTGGGCATGGTCCAGTCCACATAGAATGAATTCAGAAAGGTGTCTCTTGTTGGTCTCTAGAACTATCCTCAGAAATAATAGTAAAACAGTGGTCATGAGTAGCCTCACTAGGCTACTTCATGTACATTATCTTGTTTACTCTCTATAGCAACCATATGAGATGTATATAATTATTAAATTGTACAGATGGGAAAATTGAAATTCAGAGAGATTAAATACAATGCTTGCTCTGTGTTACACTGTTAGTAAGAGAGCAATACATGAACCCAAGTTTGATCCTCAAAATCACACTTTTAATTACTTGATACATAATGTCTTCCAATATTGAATCTAGACTAGGGCAAATTCTCAGCCCAAAACCACACTTCAATTTAGCAATAATGTCGTGCTAGGACATGAGAGGGATTAACATTGAAGACACAGCCTCTATCTTTAAGTAATTCATAATTTAGCCAAATATATTAAATATCTGTAATATAAAACTTACCTAGGAAAGTAAAATAGAGATCCAAGAATCAGGAGTCCTAAAGCATATAATGAGTCTGTTCCTCTTGGAAGCCACACATGTCAAGGTCATCAGTAAGCAGGCCTACTCTTTCTTCATATTCTGGGTTAATGTTCACCTTGACTGCTTGGTAAATTTCCCTCACTGGTGCTGAAGTAACCAAAATGGGGAAGGAGTGATGAAAACTCATCTTTGAGTAAGCTTAGTGGGAAATAGTATATCTGGGCCTATAGAGAAGTTGGGTCATTACTTAGAATGACAACTGGAAAAGTACATAGACTGCTTGCCAATCAGTTTGTTGTACCATGTACCTGTTCACAGACTCTTTTCAAAAAACAAGTTTATTTTACTTTTTTTGGTACTTTGGTCATGTTGTTTCCTTGGTAAAGATCAAAGTTGAATAAAGCTTAACAAAGTTTAATAAAGAAAAGGAATAAATTACTATCTAAATGTGTTAAAAGCAATCACCAAGTTTAATCACTTAAAAAATAAATATTCTCTTAACAGAAATGTCAGCGGTTACTTACAATGCTTAGCAGCTAAATTCCATGAGTATAACGTTTAATGTCTTTTTGGTACATTAAATATTCAGTGCCTTTGATGAAGGGAACAAACTGATAATTTCATTCATGTGCAGCAAACATCAAGGTTACATAAGTAAATTCAAATGTGTCAATCTGTAACTGTATGGAGTCCTGTATTAAATCAAGTGATAAAATGTACCCTTCTCAAAGGCTATTCATGAATAAGCATAACCTTCAACTGAGGCCTGAATAGTCATGTGTCAGTAGGGTTTTTGTTAACATTTGTATGCCAAATTTATTACGATAGCTGTGATAGAGTAGAAGTTATGCTAGCTTGAAATCAGAAAACTCAACAGTGAGACTTGCATCTTAGGCAGTTCTACTTTCTGGACCTCTGTTTTCTCAACTATTTAAATGGAAATAATAAAACTTGTGTTACAAGGATTATCAAAGTAATATGTGCACTTCGAAGTGCCTGACATATCTCAGATCTTTTGAGGAGATTGTGAAGCCAGGGAATAAGTAACTGAAACAAGATCAAATATCCATGTCTTAAATTGTGATTCTCTAGGACAGGGACTCAGTAATTAAAAATATAGGCAAGGGTTTGTTTTGGTTTTTGTTTGTTAATGATGAAAACATTTAAGGACGTTGAGTTAACTGGAGATAAAGCAGCAGCACGAGGAGTAATGGGGAGAAGGGCCTGATGAGAAGGTCAGAGAAGCCTTTTATAAGTGTCTGGCTTGCACTGAATGCCCAGAAATGGAAGCGCAAGGAAAGTGTTGTGTGAGGACCAGGGTAATTATGCAGTGTCACCACTACTCACAGGGATTATGGCCTGAGAAACTAAAATGATACTTCTTAGGTGACCAGAGGATGGGAGAACTTCTTAACTGGTTTGGAGGTCCACATAAAGAATAATTGGGGTCTAGAATTAAGGAAGGAAAAGCAATACAAAGAAATGGAGCAGGGCTATAGCAGTGAACCAATTGGTTGGTAAGTGAAACCTGTAAGATGCCTAATTGAGTAATTTAATGACTAATTTTATTAGGCTAAACAGAACAGAAACCATGCTAATCTGTAACAAATAAGTGGCGCCAGCCTATTACAGTGAATGCTATTGGTTAGACTAAAGCAGATAATAAACCAAGTGTAGGAAAAATGACATTTTCTGATTACATCCAGAACAGGCATAGAAAAGGTATAATAAAGCTTGAAACAGGTGGCTGACAATGCAGAAATCAATCACTGAACTGAAAAGGTAAAATGAACATTGTTAGAGGAATTTAGGATTAAGATGGATGTAGAGCTTGCAAAAGAAAACCTAGCTCTCTAATACTTAAAGTTCTCTAGCCCTAGAAAAAAATACCTCAGCAAGAAATTGCAAGTAATAATTGCACCAAGAGTCAGCATCTATTTTAACTGTATGTTTAATTAAGTTTCTAACTCAAATGAGAAATTTTGGGCCATTTTTGTCAAATTTTTGCTTAGATGGCTACAAATACTTAGCAATTCATTTTCATAGATTTTGTAGCATCCACAAAGCCCTCCTTACTGCAGAGAATGCAGAGGTATTTATCCAATAAACTTTCATGTAATTGCTGCTATACAGCAAAACTATCATTACCGGTAATTAAAGTTGTGATACCTGATATCATTTGTCTCTAGACATTTTATTTCATATTTTCTTGGTATTCTTTTTAAAGCCACACATTGGTGTAAGAAAAGAATGTTAAGTAGCACTGACAGAATACACAATAATTAATTCTTCCAAAAGTCTATCTTAAGCTTATTAGATCTCGGAAGGCACAGTTAATAATAAATGTAATGAACAAGGATGCTGCATAGACAAGTTTTCCACTGAAAACAGTATTTTAAGTGATACTATATGGTGCTTCAATTACCACCAAAAACTGCACTGGTTATGTAGAAAAAATAATGCTCATGAGTATGCAGTTGCAGTTGGGCTCCCATTTACCATTTTTCAGGTGAAAAATCTTGGAAGGTTTGGTGGCTGTTGCCTTTTTTTTTTTTTTAAACTTTCAGGATGATAGTTACTGGTATCATTTGATAACTTTAATGATTTCCCAACCTTAAATTAACCTAGACAACACAGAATTTTTTAAATTATTTTTATTTTTTGATGAAAACAAGAAATACGGTAGTGACACTTTATTTTTCCTTCAAGCACATGGGAGAAGACAAAAGTACTAAATGATCATTGAGTTTGACAGAGAAATTCTACTGGTACTTACACTGCTTAGGAACATAAATGTCAAGTACATTACTAGGGCAAGAAATATCAAGTAAGACAACAGAGTCGTATTTTTCTTTTTGAGGTTATTTTCACAAGACATAGCTATAATTTGTAAAATATTCAGACTATTGAAAGATCACATTCAAATTATATTTCTAAGAATAGAGCCATATATGAACAGAGAGCAAAACAAGCTAATACATTAATGAATATTCACTGAATTCTTCATACTGCACAGGACACAAATTTGGTATTTTTGCACATGTTGTCAATTATAAGCAAAAAGCAGGCCTGTAAACATCAATTTTGTCATAGGCTGAAACAGAGAAAGGAAATGGATTTTACTCAAAAACAGTGACATAAGGAGCATATACCATTAATCTTCCACACATATAAAGGTCACTCCTAGGATAATTGAGAGAAAACATCGACTTACATTTTGTTTACAAAAATCTACTGGTGAATTCAAGGACTTAGGAAAAATTGAAGGAAAATCTTCCTCCAAGCATGCTATTTAAACCCCAGCCCCTCTTCCCTGGAGAGCACCTCAGGGGCCTCCCCTCCCACCCCTGATCCTGCAGGTTCTTTCCTGTGAGCCTTTCCAAACCCACGCCACAGCAGGCTCATTCCTGCTCTGGACTTTTACTCAGTTTCCCAACCTAGATTAACCTCTCCACTGTGTGTGTTCAGACCTCCTAAACCCTCAGGTAGCTTAGGGCAAGGCCTTCAAAACCAAAGGGGAAAAGGGTGATGGTGGATGGTCTTTATCACCACACATGATCATAACTAAGCCTTGACGGCATCACTGTCCCACCTACTGGAACTTGTCCGTGAAAATCCACACAGATGCTGCACATCCCCTTATCCCCTACAAGGAGGCTGGAGATCTTCCACAATGCAGGCTGCAGCCTGCTTCTTCATTTGTTAGGAGCAGGGAAGGAAATGCAGAAGCTGAGAAATGAGGGCCAAGAAAGCCAGGCAGTAGGATGGAGACCCAAGGGACATCAGGGCAGAAACAAAATAGTACAAAGGAGAAGAGTGACCTACAAAATGCTACCCTAGAAGCAGTCCAAGGCCCAAAAAAGAATTTCCATCTTTAGAAAAGTGGAGTGAGGCTAAGTTTTGGTTGCCTTTGCTCACATCACAAAGGCCTTTGCCTTTGACCCGTCCTGAACCCATCACTGTGAGGCCCTTCTCTCTCTTTCCAGCTTCTCAAACTAAAAACTCAAGAAATACACAGGTTTTGGTAGAATGGATGGGGTAAAAAGATAAATATGTCAAAATCTGCCTAATTTAACACTGCCTATAACTAAACAATTAACCTATAGGTCTCCCTTTGAAACTTTCAGACCTTGCTAAAAGAAGTGGGGTGGAGGAATAAGGGCAATAAGAGATCTGGAGCCCATTTAATCATAACCTTTCTCTCTGAACACAATCAGGGAAAGAGCAAATTAAACAAAAAGCCTGCTTTGCCAGTTTTGTTTTCTGTTAATAAGCTAAAACTGCTTCAGAGTGAAAGGGAAGAAAAGGGATGGGAGGGAGAGGGGGAGGGAGAGGGGAGGAGGAGGGAGAGAAAGAGACAGAGGCATAACAAGTCTCACATTCCAGAAATATCTCTTCCTCAATGCCCCAACTCTGGCAACTTTTGTCATGTTCAGAGTGGGTGCAGGCGGGGAAAAGAGGAAATGCCTAAAGAAGTTGCTCACATTAAGGATGGTTTGTTGGCTAGGAGTCAGAAAGACTAAGCTGGAAGGGACTGCGTTCCAGCCTTGCTTTGGGCTCTGTCACATATTACTGCCCATCCTGGTGGTAGGGGGTGTTGCTGTGAGCTCCCTGGGAGCTACGTCTACAGATAGTTCCTGATGAGGCAGACAATGGTGGCCTAAGCAAAGTTCAACCAGAAGGTGAGAGTGAGTAGGGGTGGGCTATAGCACAGGCTTCATACTCACCAGCAGCTGGTCATGACGTAGAGTAACCAAAGGTACAGGAAAACCAATGTGATAACATAGAACACTTTTCATCTATTACCTCAGTCACGCCTAGCAGTCACCCATCAGCCACCAGCTTGTTCTATCAGATAACCAGTAGGGTGGATGGCACAAGCCCAGGAAGGCAGCTGGGATCCAGTTGGTGGTAGTCTGGAATGTCCAATTTGGGTTGATGGCCGGGTTAAGATATCAGTTTTGTCTTGCAGTGGTAATACCCAAATAGCTTACCATAAGTACATGGGTATCAGGACACAGCCAGCATAAAGTATGAAGCCCAATCAGTTATTTGTGAAAATGTATCAAGATTCTTTGTGGTACAGAACCACTTAAATTGGGAGAAGAGCATGGTCACAGATAGGGTCCAAGCCATGCAAAGAAAGGCAGTATGGTACACTATATCTATAGTATCATACGCTTGGCATAGAAGCCGTAGAAGGCCATGCACTTGAAACATGTTAACACAATGCAGAAAAGCATGAAGGCCCAGAGGAAGAATGGCACAGGCAGGTAAGCCAACAATCTTGCAACCGATTACTGAAGATTTAGAACCAAAGGAAAAGATAATCCACAGTATGAAGAGAAAGCAGATGGAAGACTGCATGCTGTTGGCCAAGCATAGGTCCAAGAGGAGGTGGTAAGGAAACTTGTGCAGAAGCTTCTCACAGGACAGAGATTAGCCAGACTGGAACCTGAAGGATCTGGCGCTCTCCACTGGCTGCCTTGGTGGGCCTCGAATTCCTCTACGGGGCCCTTCACCCATCAGGTAGTATTGTAGGGGATTGGGCCACAGTTCTCCTTTGATAATCTCTGCAATTCTGTCGAATTCTAGAAGGCTGTGGTCTGAAAACCAGTTGAAGAAACTAGGGATAGTGTTCCCTTCCCGGTTTCTGTGGATATGAGCCTGGGGGTCTTGGCCTCGGTGCCAGCGGATTGGAGTGGAAAGAGACACCACCCGGCCAGAGGATCTGCGTTCATATTCCTTGACAAGCCCCTCATTTCGGAAGTAGGGGTTGCCCTGAAAGATGAACTTGAATTTGCAGCCTGCTCTGGGGTGTTTAAGCTCCTCCACCTCCAAATTGATCATGTACCTCAGCATGTCTTCATCTTGGCCACTGATCATAGGTGACAGCTGGGGGTGGTTTCGAAAGGCAGTAACCCAGAAACCTGGGATATTCTGGATAATGAAACTTCTGCGCTGCATGTGGAGCCTTCGCATGCGGCCAAACTTGCGCTCAAGCTGAAGGAAGGCCCTGTCAGCCTGGGCATTTACGTTTGACAACTCTTGATCGATGGCCTCCAGTGAGTCCATGCAGTTATTGATCTTCGGGGCCCTGGGCCGTGTCTCCTCTTTCACCCCTCCTGCCACCTTTTTTTCCTTCTGCACTACCTTCTTTTCCTCCATCGCCGCCCCTGCTTCTCCCTCCTTTTCCACTGCTGCCGAGATGGCGCGTTTTTTAGTCGTCACTTCCTTGGCCTTCTTCCCCGGTATCATCTGAGACCCCAAGCCCCCTGCGCCACAGGCTTCTAGAGCCTTCTGCCCAGCAGGGCCACGGGGCTCTCCAAGCTGACAGCCATTTTTCTGGCTGCTGTCAGCAGCCTCGGCGGCAGAGGCTGCTTCCAGACCTTTCGTAGAAGGTGGAGCATCCTCCTGCCCGGCTTTGGTCGCTGCACCGCCGCGACTCCCGGCAACTGGGACGCGGAGCGCGGGGCCACAGTCGACAGGATCCTGGGATGCACCCCCCTCCGCAACGGTCTCCAGGCTGCCCCCACCTGTGTTCGCCATCACCTGTGTCGCCTCGGTTTCTTCACGGAGCCCTTGGCACTGGTCTCGGTCCGGATCTCCTGAGGCATGGTCGGGAGCAGCCAGGCCGCCGGTTTGGGCGAGAGGGAGCTTGTTGCCCCCATCCAGGCCGCTCATTTTGGAAGAAGTCAGACTAGTGGGAGAGGGAGAGTTCCTTGTCCTCCGCAGCGGCCGAGCTCTGCCCGAAACGTCTAGCACCACCCCTCCTTTACTCTCGGCGGTGCTACCATGGCAACTGGTGATGTCAGGGCGGTAGCGTCGTAACATCGCGCGAGAACTCTCTGCGCGGTTGACTACGCTTATCAATCCATCGTATTCCTTTGTCTTCTTGTCACAAAAAGAATTTCGTCAGTCTGGAAGGGGAGTTTTACTTACGTAAATGGATGTAGACCAGACTCAAGCATGTAAGAACTGTGTTAATGTGGATTTCTAAGCCTCTGAATGAATTTCTAAGGCACCTAACCTATTGTTTCTGAAAATATTTACTTTAAGGTGAGTTACTGTCTATTCAAGTCAGTTCATAGGGCTTCTCCTGAGTAGGAAAGTGGATTCACGAACTCACAGGCCTTCCTTCTTTTAAGGTGTGGATTCATGGCTATTACCAAAGAATTTAAATGAGCAGAGTTTGATTTTAAAGAGAAGTGTTGCTGTGTTGTTATTTTTAAAATTAAGGAGCAGCTGAAAGGCAAACTTCTCTCATCCTAACAAGACATAATAAAGGAATATTTCAATTTGTCTTACAGATTTTAAAGTTTATATAATTTGGCCAACATCTACAAAACAAGTGGACAATATTTCCTCTTCACTTTTAACAAAGAGTAGCAAAATGTTTTTCCTTACGTAGAGGTGACTGGCACACGAGCACAAATTTAGGCTTTTAAGCATTACTGAAAGAAATATCTCAGGGGATTTTAATTTCTAAACTGATGCATATGTTCTTTTCCTCAGGTTACAATCTTAATCTAAAAGTGGTTCCTGCTTCATAATGCCTGTGGACATGAAGCTAACAAATCTTTTCAAAATGTGTTCATGTGGTAATTCACTGCAGCACAGGAGCAATAATCAGCTATGTGCAGGCATCTATGCTACTGTCTCTTAAAATACTTTAAAAGTAAGGTTAGTTATTGTCTATTCGAGTCAGTTAGCTCTTACAATTCATTTGATAGTGATTATCAGTACAATATATTAGTTTGTTGGAGTGTGAGAATAATGGTGTTAATCCTTAGAAAAATGCAAGACCAAAGGGAAATTTAAATTTTGCATATTTATGTTTAATGTCAAATTTATATTCAAATAAACGGTTATGATTATAACTCTTTGTAAAAGAAACTCCATTTTAAGCCCCCCAGATTATGATCACTTTCAAATACAGGCTCAGAAGTACAGATTTAGAGAAAAAGGATTCCTCTTAGAGGAATACATCATATATACTGAGACTTCTAGCGAGGGAAGGAGTGTAGTTCTGGTTCAACTAAGATAAAGTACTGATGAAAGGTCACTGGCAGACAATACGGAGAAACAGCCTGCCTTGCAGGATTTTTTGTATGCCTAGTCAGCCTACCCAAGGACAATGTGTCCAGAATGACCTCTTTACTGCCTGCCAGCTAATCAGTTATCCCATAAGAAATATGCAAACAAGATTCACACAGCAGAGAGCAATTATTTTTCTCTCCCTCTTTCCTCTTTGTCTTAATAAACGCTCTTTTTTTATTTGTGGGGTGAAATCAATCTATTGAGGTATCGTCTTTGTAAACACATAAACAGCGTGCTATAATTGACTTTGTGACTTTGAATTATTGACACTGCTCTGTTTCTTTTCCAAAGAACCTTTGCACTGTTGAAAGAGTAACTTTTCCATTATAACCTGAGTCAAGATGAAGAGAAGCAGGGAATACTGAATGAAAGTTACTTTTCCATGCAGCAGGAAAAAACAAGTTTGCTACTATACAAATTTATAGAAAAGTATAAAATTACATGTGAACTTCTTTTTCTTTTTGTGTGTGCCAAAGTTTTTTAAAGATTTATATCTCTACTACTCAAAGCATTCCCATCTCTAGCCTGTATTAGTTCTGTCACCTGAATCATTTTTCACTCATAACCACCTGGCCATTCTTTAACACTCAGTTCATGTAGATTGTACTAGGCAGTTTAAATACATTAGATTTTATAAACAAAGACCCAGTGAGCACAGAGCAGTTAACATGCCCATGGTCACATATGTATTAATTGGCAGATTGCCTCCTCCCACCTTATTACTTTACCTCCTTCCTTAATTACTTGCCATTTTGACAGTCTTCTGATTTCTGTATAGCCCTTATGACTTTTACTATCCAACTTAGTACAGTTACGTTTCACTGAATGACAGGGATTTTGTCATTATGGAAACATCATACAGTACATCTATCAAACCTAGCTGCAATAGCCTACTATACACCTAAGCTAAATAGTATATCATATTGCTCCTAGGCTACAAACCTGAACAGCATGTTGCTGTACTGAATACTGTAGGCACTTGTAACATAATGGTAAGCATTTTTGTATCTAAACATAAGAATGATACAGTAAAAATAGAGTATTACAATTGTATGGTCCCACACTTGTATATGCAGTTCATCTTTGACCAAAATGTTATGCAGCAAATGACCGTACTTATTTATCCTCTACTTTTTAACTTTATTGGTTGTTTCATTAAGGTCAGTTTTATCCCAGCTAGATAATGACTGCATAGCAGCTTCTGTAGCATCTACGACAGTATAGTCCAGTTACTATCTCATAGAATGTTTTAATGAATCTTGATTATTTAAGTGAAAATTTAAATTTAAATAAAAATTTTAAAAAATTTTACCAAAATGAATAGTATGACTACCCTTGTGTTTCATTTTGAGGTGGGTGGATATATAATAGTAGCTATGAGTTATATTTTACATTTTTTGCACATTAGAATAATATATATTTTGTACACAGTAAAGTCTATTCTACTGGAAATTGGCAATAAACCTTACTAAGCAGAAAAAACTACATCAGTGACTTATGATTCTATGGGAAAATATCGATAGAAAATGCCATGAAAATCTATGAGGTAATTTTTATTTGCAAGGAGAAAAGATATTTAATGGAAGTTCAAACATAAATTAATACAGTCAAACAGGAATGACTTTACTAAAGTATAAAGATTGGAAAATTTGTGAAATATCCCCTATTGTTACATCTTTGACCAGCAGTTTCTTTTTCAGAATGATATAGTTTCTGGTTCATTATTTAGTGTTTTCTATATACCATATACTTTTATGTGCTTAAATGTGTATCTCATTTAATTTTTACAAGGACCCTGTGAGGTGATATTATGACCTCCCCTTCCCTATGCCTCAGAAGAAATTGAGGCAATGAGAAATAAAGTGGTTTATCCAAGATCACACAGCAAGTGGTAGAGCCACAATCTGAACGAGGTAATCTGACTGGAGAGCCTGTGCACTCATTCACCATAGTATTCTGCAACCTTACACAACCCATAAAATGAAAAGCCACCTTCTTAGAAATAAGACTACATGACCATCCCAATTTAATGTTGAACTTTCTTCTTTATCTTCTTTTCCTTTACCTGTCTTAGTCCATTCAGGCTGTTGTAACAAAATACCATAGAGTGGGTGGCTTGTAAACAGTAACTTACTTCTCACAGTTCTGAAGGCTGGGAATTCCAAGATCAAGGCACCAACAGATTTGGTGTCTGGTGAGGGCCTACATCCTGATTCTTAGACTGTAGTTTGTTGTTTTTTTGTGTTTTGTTTTGTTTTGTTTTGCTGTGTCCTCACATGCAAAAAGGAGTGAGGGATCTCTCTGGGGTTTCTTTTATAGTGGCACTAATCTCATTAGGGCTCTAACCAGAGGTCTCTTTTATAGGGCACCGATTGCCCCCCAGAGGACCCCAGCTCCAAATACTCTCACATTGGGGATTAGGTTTCAATATATTAGAGGGGACAAAAACACTCAGTCTATAGCCTGCCCCCATCCATAAAATTAGTGACAATTGTTGAGGAAGTGCCCAATTACTAAAGAGAAACAAGAATTCATGATTCTGTGTTTCAATGCCTTAACAGTTCTCAGCTCATCAGATATAACATTTATTTTTTACTTTTATTTTATTTTTAGATGGAGTCTCGCTCTGTCACAGCCAGGCTGGAGTGCAGTGGCAAGATCTTGGCTCACTGCAACCTCCACCTCCTGGGTTCAAGCAGTTCTACCTCAGTCTCCCAAGTAGCTGGGATTACAGGCACCTGCCACCATGCCCGGCTAATTTTTTTTTTTTTAGTAGATACAGGGTTTCACCATATTGGCCAGGCTGGCCTCAAACTCCCAACCTCAGGTGATCTGCCCGCCTTGGCCTCTCAAAGAGCTGGGATTACAGGTGTGAGCCACCGGACCTGGCCAGATATTTCTTTTTATAACGTGCTTTATAACTCCCTTTTCCTTTCTTGAAATTCATATTGTATATCAACATGCACATTTTTTAAAGTCATTATAATAACTTAGTTGTAATTTTTTTGCTTTTTTTGGTAGGGCTGCCCTGAAGGGCAGACAGGTTTATTGGGCAACAGCTGGGAAAATCAGCGGTTGGACTTGGCCACATGCTCCAAGAAGGCCACACGTCCTTCTTCTTAATGGCATAGGAGTTGGAGGAGCCCTTGGCAGCATTGATGAGCTCCTCTGCCAGGCACTCAGCAATGGTCTTAATGTTCCGGAAGGCAGCCTCACGAGCACCTGTGCACAGCAGCCAGATGGCCTGATTCACACGGCGAAGTGGGGACACGTCCACAGCCTGTCGTCTCACAGTCCCGGCGCACCCAATGCGTGTGGAGTCCTCCCGGGGACCACTGTTGATGATGGCGTTCACCAGGACCTGCAGAGGGTTCTCGCCTGTGAGCAGGTGTATGACCTCGAAGGCATGCTTGACGATGCACACAGTCATGAGCTTCTTGCCGTTGTTGCAGCCGTGCATCATCATGGAGTTAGTAAGGCGCTCCACAATGGGACACTGAGCTTTGTGGAAGCATTTGGCGGCATACCACCCTGCACTGTGAGGTAGGTACTTGGCATATTTCTCCTTCACTGCAATGTAATCCTGCAGGGAAATGTCACTGATGTGCACATCATCAGTGCTCCACTTCCCAAAGAGCTTGATGTCTGGGGTCTCTGCCACTGCTGGTGCTGCTGTCTCCCACTCAGTCATCGTGAGAACACAGCCTGAGTGTCTCTGTTGCTCGACGTAGACCATGCGCCACCCTGGCACAGACAGGAAGAGCAAACTTACTTGTAATTTAAAGGAAAAATAAAAGGAAAGTAATTTTTAAAATATCTATTTTAAAATATAAATGCTTTGACATGCCAGCACTTTACAGCATGATAAATTAGTTAAATGGTTATACCTGTAGACTTACCAGTGTATGAAACTACTGATGCAACTCGATATAGGTGTATGGTACTAGAGACATAAGCAGCAATGCTCTTCTGAGATAGATTTTCTGAAATTTTGAGCAGCTTTATGATAAAGTTCTGGAGGAAAAGGACAAAATTTCTTCAATTCACATTTATATCTCTTTGATTATAAGACACATCTTTTTTCCCCACATTTTATTTAAGTTCAGGGGTATATGTGCAGGATATATAGGTAAACGTGTCACTGGGGTTTGTTGTATAGATTATTTCATCACCCAGATATTAAACTTAGTACCTATGAGTTATTTTTCATTATCTTCTCCCTCTCCCAACCCTCCATCCTTAGATAAACCCCAGTGTGTGTTGTTCGTCCATGTGTTCTCATCATTTAGCTCCCACCTATAAGAGAATTCGTGGTATTTGGTTTCCTGTTCCTGCTTTAGTTTGCTAAAGATAATGGCCTACAGCTCCATCCATGTTCCTGCAAAGGACATGATCTCATTCTTTTTTATGGCTGCATAGTATTCTGTGGTGTATATGTACCACATTTTCTTTATCTAGCCTATCATTGATGAGCATTTAGGTTGATTCCATGGCTTTGCTATGTGAATAACACTGCAGTGAATATAGACATGCATGTGTCTTTATGATAGAATGACTTATATTCCTTTGGGTAAATACCTATTAATGGGATTGCTTGGCCAAACAATCTGTCTGTTTTGAGGTCTCTGAAGAATCACCACACTATATTCCACAATGGATGAACTAATTTCTACTCCCACCAACAGTGTATAAGCATTCCTTCTTCTCCACAACCTCGCCAGCATCTGTTTTTTACTTTTTAATAATAGCCATTCTGACTGGTATGAGATAGTATCTCATTGTGGTTTTGTTTGCATTTCTCTAATAATCAGTGATGTTGAGCTTTTTTTTTCACATGAATATTGGCTGCATGTATGTCTTTCTTAGAAAAATATCTGTCCATGTCCTTTGCCCACTTTTTAATAGAGTTCTTTGTTTTTTCTTGTGAATTTAAGTTCCTTATAGATGCTGGATATTAGACTTTTGTCACATGCATAGTTTGAAAAAATTTTCTCCCATTCTGTAGATTGTCCTTTCACTCTGCTGATGGTTTTCTTTGCTGTGCAGAAGCTCTTTAGTTTAATTAGATACCATTTGTCAATTTTTGCTTTTGTTGCAATTGTTTTTGGTGTCTCTGTCATGAAATCTTTGTCCATTCCTATGTCCAGAATGGTATTTCCTAGGTTGTCTTCCAGGGTTTTTATAGTTTTGGGTTTTACATTTAAGTCTTTAATTCATCTTGATTTAATTTTTGTGTATGGTATAAGGAAGGGGTCCAGTTTCACTCTTTTGCATATGATTAGCCAATTATCCCAGTACCATCTATTGAATAGGGAATCCTTTCCTCATTGTTTGTTTTTGTCAGGTTTGTTGAAGATCAGATACCTGTAGGTGTGCAGTCTTATTTCTGGGTTCTGTATTCTGTTCCATTGGTCTACGTGTCTGTATTTGTATCAGTACCATGCTGTTTTGGTTACTGTAGCCCTGTATTATTGTTTGAAGTTGGGTAGTGTGATGCCTCAAGATTTGTTCTTTTTGTTTAGGATTGCCTTGGGTATTTGGGCTCTTTTTGGCTTCCATTTGAGTTTTAAAATAGTTTTTCTAGTTCTGTGAAGAATGTCAATGGTAGTTTAATAGGAATAGCACTGAATCTATAAATTGCTTTGGGCAGTAGGACCATTATAACAATATTGATTCTTCCTGTTCATGAGTGTGTAATGTTTTTCCTTTATGCATCTCCGATTTCTTTGAGCAGTGTTTTGTCGTTATCCTTGTAGAGAACTTTAATCTCTGTGGTTAGGTGTATTCCTAGGTACTTTATTTATTTATTTATTTATTTGTTGAGACAGAGTCTCACTCTGTCACCTAGGCTGGAGTGCAGTGGTGCGATATCAGTTCACCGCAAGCTCTGCCTCCCAGGTTCACGCCACTCTCCTGCCTCAGCCTCCCGAGGTACTTTATTTTTTTGTGTGGCTATTGTGAATGGGATTGCCTTCCTGATTTGGCCCTCAGCTTGACTGTTTTTGGTGTGTAGGAATGCTAGTGATATTTGCACATTGATTTTGTATCCTGAGACTTTGCTGATGTTATCAGCTTAAGGGCTGAGACTATGGGGTTTTCTAGATACAGGATCATGTAGTCTGCAAAGCGGGATAGTTTGACTTCCTCTCTTTGGATGCACTTTCTTTCTTTCTCTTGCCTGATTGCCCTGGCCAGGACTTCCAATACTGTGTTGAATAGGAGTGGAAAGAGCAGGCATCCTTGTGTTGTGCTGCTTTTCCAGAAGAATGTGTCCAGCTTTTGCCTATTCATTATGATGTTGGCTGTGGGTTTGTCATAGATGGCTCTTGTTATTTTGAGGTATGTTCTTTCAATACCTACTTTGAGAGTTTTTAACATGAAGGAGTGTTGAATTTTATTGAAGGCCTTTTCTGCATCTATTGATATAATCATATGGTTTTTGTCTTTAGTTCTGTTTATGTGATGAATCACATCATTAATTTGTGTTTGTTGAACCAACCTTACATCCCAAGGATAAAGCCTGCTTGATCATGGTGGATAAGCTTTTTGATGTGCGGCTGGATTTGGTTTGCTAGTAGTTTGTGGAGGACTTTTGCATTGATGTTCAGCAAAGATATTGGCCTGAAATTTTCTCTTTCTGTTGTATCTCTGCCAGGTTTTGGCATCAGGATGATGTTGGCCTCATAGAATAAGTTAGGGAGGATTCCCTCCTTTTCATTTTTTTTGGAATAATTTCAGTAGGGATGATACTAGTTCTTCTTTGTACATCTGGTAGAATTCAGCTGTAAATCTGTCTGGTCCTGGGGTTTCTGTTGTTGTTGTTGTTGTTGTTTTGGTTGGTAGGCTTTTTATTACTGATTACATTTCAGAACTCAATATTGGTCTGTTCCTGGATTCAGTTTCTTCCTAGTTAAGTCTTAGGAGGTTGTATGTATCCAGGAATTTATCCATTTCTTCCAGATTTTCTACTTTATGAGCATAGAGGTGTTCATAATATTCTCTGATGGTTGTTTGTATTTCTGTAGGATCAGTGGTAATATCCTCCTTGTCACTTCTGATTGTGTTTATTTGAATCCTCTCTCTTTTTATCTTTATTAGTCTAGCTAATGGTCTGTTTTATTAATGTTTTCAGAAAACCAGCTCCTGGATTCGTTGATCTTTGAAATTTTTTGTGTGTCTAAATCTCCTTCAGTTCAGCCCTGATTTGGTTATTTCATGTCTTTTGCATGCTTTAGGATTTGTTTGCTCCTGGTTCTCTATTTCTTCTAGTTGTGATATTAGGTTTTTAACTTAAGATCTTTCTAACTTTTTGATGTGGGAATTTAGTGCTATAAATTTCCTTCTTAACATTGCCTTAGCTGTGTCCCAGAGATTCTGGTATGTTGTCTCTTTATTCTGATTAGTTTCAAAGAACTTCTTGATTTTTGCCTTAATTTCATTATTTACTCAAAAGTCATTCAGGAGCAGGTTATTCAATTTCCATGTAACTGTATGGTTTTGAGTGAATTTCTTTGTCTTGATTTCTAATTTGATTTTGCTGTGGTTCAAGAGATTTTTTGTTATAATTTCAGTTCTTTGGCATTTGCTGATGAGTGTTTTACTTCCAATTATGTGATCAATTTTAGAGTATATGCCATGTGGGAATGAGAAGAATGTATATTCTGCTATTTTGGGGTGGAGAGTTCTGTAGATGTCTATCAGGTTCATTTGATTCAGTGCTGAGTTCAGGTCCTAAATATCTTTGTTAATTTTCTGCCTCAACAATCTAATATTGTCAGTGGTGTGTTAAAGTCTCCCGCTATTAATGTGTAGGAGTCTACGTCTCTTTGAAGGGATCTAAGAACTTGCTTTATGAATCTGGGTGCTCCTGTGTTGGGTGCATAGTTAGGTCTTCTTATTGAACTGAATACTGTTTTGCCATTATGTAATGCCCTTCTTTGTCTTTTTTTTTTTTATCTTTGTTGGTTTAAAGCCTATTTTGTCAGAAGCTAGGATTGCAACCCTTGCTTTTTTCTGTTTTCCATTTGCTTGGTGAATTTTCTCCATCCCTTTATTTTGAGCCTATATATGTCATTGCATGTGAGATGGGTCTCTTGAAGACAGCATACCAATAAGTCTTGATTCTTTATCCAGCTTACCATTCTGTGTCTTTTAATTGGGGCATTTAGGCCATTTACATTCAAGGTTAGTAATGACGTGTGTGGATTTGATCCTGTCATCATGAAGCTGGCTGGTCATTTTGCAGACTTGTTTATGTGGTTGCTTTATAATGTCCCTAATCTGTGTACTTCAGTGTGTTTTTGTAGTGGTCAGTAATGATCTTTCCTTTCCACATTTAGTGCTTCCTTCAGGGGCTCTTGTAAAGCAGATCAGGTGGTAACAAATTTGGCATTTGCTTGTCTGAAAAGGATCTTATTTATCCTTTGCTTATGATGCTTAGTTTGGCTGGATATGAAATTCTGGGTGGAAAATTCTTTTAAGAATGTTGAACATTGGCCCTCAATGTCTTCTGGCTTGTAGGATTTCCACTAAGAAGTCCACCATAAGTCTGAGGGGCTTCCCTTTGTAGGCAATCTGCCCTTTCTCTCTAGCCACCTTTGACATTTTTCTTTCATTTCAGCCTTGGAGAATATGATGATTATGTGTCTTGGGGATGATCTTGTGAAGTATCTTACTGGGGTTCCCTTTATTTCCTGTATTTGAATGTTGGCCTCTCTCACTAGGTTGTGGAAGTTCTCATGGATAATATCCTGAAATATGTTTTCCCAGTTGGTTCCATTCTCCTCATCTCTTTAAGGGACACCAATGAGTTGTAGATTTGGTCTCTTTACATAATCCCATATTTCTCAGAGGTTTTGCTCATTCCTTTTCATTCTTTTTTCTCTATTCTTGTCTGACTAGCCAGTCTTCAATCTCTGAGAGTGTTTCCTCTGCTTGGTCTATTCTACTATTAATACCCATGATTGCATTATGAAATTCTTGTAGTGTGTTTTTCAGCTCTATCAGATCGGCTACAGTCTTTTCTATACTGGCTATTTTGTCTGTCAGCTCTTGCATTGTTTTATCATTATTTTCAGCTTCCTTGGATTGGGTTTCAATGTACTCTGGTAGCTGAATGGTCTTCATTCCTATCCATATTCTGAATGTCATTTAAGCCATCTCAGCCCAGTTCAGAACCCTTACTGGAGATGTGAGCCCATCCTTTGGAGGAAATAAGGCACTTTGGCTTTTTGAGTTGTCAGGGTTCTTGTGCTGATTTTTTTCTTATCTTTGTGGTCTTGTGTTCCTTCAATCTTTGAGGTTGCTGACCTTTGGATGGTTTTTCTTTTATCCTATTATATTTGATGAACTTGAGCATTTGTGGTGTAAGGTGGACTCAGCCAACTGGCTGTGTTTCTGGAAGATTTTTATGGGGCCAGCACTCAGCTCCCAAGTCCTACACTTCAAGCTGTAATTCTGGGGGAACTTATATTAGGCCCTGACTTTGTTTTCTGGCTCCTCAAGGTTAGGAATTCACTGTGTTGGGGGAACTGAGGTGCTCCCGGACCACTGTTCACTACACTTTGATGGGTGGTATCAGCCAAAGTGTTTCATATTGCAGCAACAGGGGGATCTGTCTTCGTTCACATGTGCCAGCAGCAGTGGTAGTAACAGCTGCAGCAGAGTGCTAGCAGGTGCCATGCTAGCAGGCGCCATGCTAGCAGGCATTCACCACAGTGGCAGAGGAAATGCAGCTGCAGGGGTGGGGAGTGGAAGGAGTGGCCCCAGATGGTGACTGTGTGCACAGTCATGCTGGAGGTGGTGTTGACTCAGGGGTGGGTCACTGATGGGCACAGGTCTGGGTGCCTTTTCTGTGCCCTGCAAGCAGGAGTGATTGCTCAGGGCAGGGAAGGATCTGCTGTTCTCTGTGTAGTGTTAGTGCAAGGGTGGGGTGCTGGCAGGGACTGGGCTGGCTGGCTCTGTGCCCACCAAGGCTCTGTCTACAATGGCAGTCAGCAGGGGGAGTGGAGTAGACAGCACTCCCACATGCTGGTGGGGCAGTGAAAGCAGAATCTGCCCATACAGACGTGCTAGCAAAGTGATGTGGGGAGTTGGTGTGAGCCCAGGGGAAGCTGCATTATGAGGAGAGAGCATGCAGGCTGGCACATGGCTGTAGTGGCCACCCCACTGGAGCTCCCTGCTGGTTAAGCATGGTCCACCAGCACAGAAGGTATGGTGTGGGCCCCCAGGGAACCCGAGACCACCCTGCAAGCAGGAATGGCCAGGCTGGGGCCCCAGGAGAGGCCAGCAAATCAAGGGGTGCTCAAGTCAGACCTGCCCAGTCTGATGGACAAGACCACTCTGCAGAGTTCAGATCTGACAGTTCCCCTAGGGTTAACATCTCCTATGTGAGCAAGTCAAGCCTAGAGGGGACAGCCTTCCCTAGTTGTGCTCTGCTACAGATGCTCCCACATCAAACCCTCTGGGTTCTGCATCAGATGGCTTGCTGCCCCTACCCCTTCTCTAATTAGCTCTCTCTGCCACCTTGAGTGTCCATGGTGGTCAAGGGGTTCCCTTCTGCCAGGGTTCCAGAGGCCGCGTGAGAGTAGGTTGCTCCTTGCCAGTTCAACTCACCCATTCCCTTGGAGCCAGTGGAAGCCAGGAATGAGTCCTGGTGTGCAGTAGCCCCATGCAGGGTTCCCAGCTTTCTCCCCTTTTAACCCAGTTTCTTTTTCCACACTTTAACATCTCTGAAATGACTATCCATGATATAATCAATGGCATCTTACAACTGCTACCAGCAGAACAGCAGTCATGGTATACTAGTCATCCAGGAGGTGTGAACTTGGCTGTTAGTCTTGCCGACATTATTGGACAACTGCAACCTCTTGACGTTTCAATCAGTAAACTCTTTAAGAGCCATTTGAGGAAGGAAAATAAGCCTTATTTGTTCCCTGAAAATATTCTGTTGATATCTTCTGGTAAAGTCAAGAAAGTGCCAGCATCAAAACTTGCAGAATGAGTACTGGAGGCTTAGGGGAAAAAATCTCAGAAGCATACTGTTATTAGTAGTAGAACATTCTACTAAGATATGTTGTCATCATCAAAATTATTCAAGAATTTTGAATAGTAATTAAGATTACTATTATAAATGGGAAAATAATTAGAATAGTGAAACTAGTTTATTTCACTCATAATTTACTTTGTATATATACCTATGAGTGATATATGATAAAACTACATTTTTAAAATCAAAAGGTCTTTCAATATGTATACAATAAAAATCCTAAGAATTAGAAAGCTTTGTGTCAGAGTTTAATTGAAAGTTATTTTCTTTCTTTTTCTTACTTTCTTTCTTAGTGTTAACTAATGGCTTATTTTACAATCAATACTTTTAGAGCAGATGAAATAAATCCTTGTAAAAATACAGCACATATCTAAAAAGTGCAAATTTTTTGTTTTCATATGTGAAATACTCATGTGCCACATAATGATGTTTCATCAAATGATGGATCACATATCCAACAGTAAAATTATGATGGAGCTGAAAATTTCCTATGGCTTAGTGTCATCACAGCCTGAGTAATGCTGTAGCCCTCATAAGGTCATAGTATAACTCATTACTCATGTATTGGTGGTAATGCTGGTATAAACAAACCTACTACACTGCTAATCATATAAAAGTATAGCACATACAATTAGGTACAGTACATAATACTTGATAAAACATAAATGACTATGTTACTGGCTTATGTATTTACTATACTATATGTGATTGTAGAGGATACTCTTTCTACTTATTAAAAAGAAAACTTAACTGTAAAATAGCCTCAGGCAGATCCTTCAGGTGGTATTCCAGAAGAAGGCATTTTTATCACAGAAGATGACAACTCAGTATGTGTTACTGCCTCTGAAGACCTTCTATTGGGACAAGATGTTGAGGTAGAAGACAGTGATATTGATAATCGGGAGCATGGCTATGCCTAGGCTAATGTGTGTGTTTGTGTCTTCATTTTTAACAAAAAAGTTTAAAAAGTTGAAAAAAAAGAAAAAATATTAGAAAAAAGCTTATAAATTAAAGATATAAATATTTTTGTACAGCTGTACAATATTTGTGTTCTAAGCTAAGTGTCATTATAAAAGACTCAAAAAGTTTTAAAAAGTTAAAACATAAAGTAAAAAAGTTACAGTAAGCTAAGGTTAATTTATTATTGGAGAAAGAAAAATTTTTTTATAAACTTAGTGTCCCAAAGTGTACAATGTTTATAAAATGTACAATAGCATATTAGTCCATTTTCACACTGCTATAAAGAACTGCCTGAGACTGGGTAATTTATAAAGAAAAGAGGTTTAATTGACTGACAGTTCCGTATGCCTGAGGAGCCCTCAGGAAACTTACAATCATGACAGAAGGTGAAGGGGAAGCAAGGCACATCTAACCATGACAAAGCTTGAGAGAGAGAGAGAGAGAGCAAGCCACATACTTTTAAACCCCCAGATCTCATGAGAGCTCACTATAAAAAGAACAGTAAGGAGGAAGTCTGCCCCCATGATTCAGTCACCTCCCACCAGGCCCCTCTGACATGTAAGGATTACAATTTGAGATGAGATTTGGGTGGGGACACAGAGCCAAACCGTATCAAGTAGTGTACAGTAATGTCCTAGACCTTCACATGCGCTTACCACTCACTCACTGACTCACCCAGATCAACTTCCAGTCCTACAGGCTCCATTAATGGTAAGTGTCCTATACAGGTATACCATTTTAAAATATTTTATGCCATCTTTTTACAGTAGTTTTTCTATGTAGATATGTTAGTTACACAACATATGTTAGATATGTTTAGTTACACAAATACTTGCCATTGTGTTCCTATTGCTTATAGAATTCAGTACAGTAATATGCTGCACAGGCTTGTAGCCTAGGAGCAATAGACTATACCATAGAGCCTACATGTGTAGTAGGCTATAGCATTTAGGTTTGTGTAAGTATATTGTATGATGTTTGCACAATGATGAAATTGCCTAATGACACATTTCTCAGAATGTCTCATTGTTAAGTGAAACATGACTGAACTGCTATGTTCTAGACTTAAAAAATAATGAATTTTTCATCTACATGAATGTTTTGAGCTGGAAAATTATTTTATATAGGGCACTATCCCTCACATTCACGATGTCTAGCATCCCTAATGCCCTTAATGAATACCAGCTGCAGCCCTATTCATCGTAATAACCAAAATTACTACTGAAAATTTCCCAAATATCCCCTAGAGGGAGGTATGCATATACATTGAGAATCAAGTTTTCTAAATGCCTGTAGCTGTGATATTCCCATTCCTGGTCACTAGAGGGAGGAAGTAGTCTTTAGGATGATAGTACGATTCTGTTTTGTCTGCCCTCAAAGTTCAAGTTTAAGCTGATATAGATCAGCTTGGCAAAAATAGATCATATTTCAGTAAAATAACTGTGGCATAGTTTCTCACATATGTTTGGTACTCTTTATTATTACAATGGAATCACATTTCTATTTTATTTAGGCTATCACTGTTACAAAAGTAATATTTTCTCAGGCTAATTATCTAGTTATGATCACTGCCTGTGATAATACTTTAAAAAAAAAAAGAAAAAAAAAAACCTCATATGCTCCTGCTTTCACCAGTCTTAAGAGAAACCAGAGACAAAGGCTCTGACCTGAATGACCCCACACCTTTGTATGCTGGTTAAAGATGCACCCTTTGAAATCAAACAGATCTGACGTCAAGTCCCAGTTCTGTTACTTACTAGCTGTTTAATTTAGGCAAGTCACTTCAGCTCTCTAAGCCACAATTTACTCATATACAAAATGAATATAATAAAACAACTTACAGAATTATCATGAAGGTGAAATGAGATATCTGTGAAGTGTTTTTCACAATATGCTTTCAATAAATAGAAGCTGACTTGCTCATTTTTATTATTTTTATGCTAAGAATTACATTAAATAAACAATATTGTAGGCAGTATAAAATCAATGTCAAATTCTATTATGAAACTGTAATTGTATAAAAGTTGAGAAACAAAAGTCATCCATGTAAAATAAGTGAAAGGTTTGTGGAAGAAAAGAAGAGTTGAATTGGACCAAGTAGATTGGATACCATTTGAATAATCTGAGGAAGTCATGAAACACTAGCACATAGTAATAATGCTTGTCCACTATGTTACAGTTAATTCCTAATGATTCTAGACATATGGTATTTTGGGCTGATAGGGAAAACAACCCTTTTTGCTCTAACTAAAGTGCTTTACCACATTCTTCCACATATCACTTTAAAGACTTTATAAAATATATTAAGAAAAAACTAGATGCATGAAATACATACTTTTAATAGCTGACTTTAAGCAGACTTGGTTGCTCAAAGTCACATTTTCTGTGAGGAACATACAGTCTGTATTTCAAACCAAGTTTGACCTGAAAATCTTTGCTTATAATAGACTAACACATTCAGTTCATCAATATTGGATCAAGACTGGAACACAGCCACTCTCTGAAATCACATTCCAATTAAACATCTACCATGCTAAGAATGTAAGATATAAAGATGAAGAAGACACAGTCTTCTGCTCTGATAGAGTTATACTTTAGTAAAGAAGAGCTAAATACAAATAAATAGAGAGTAAAAAATTTCTGGGAAAAGAAAACAATTCTGGAAAAACAAGGTACTGAAATATGATTACACCTTGTAAACATTCTATTTCTGGGAGCTGCAAGGCCAAAAATAAGCAAGCCCCACTCTTGCCTAATATACTCAGTGCTCAATGCTCACCTTGAAATTACATTTCCCTCATTGTTGATGAAATTGCAGAGGAGTTATCAAAACTGACCCAAGAGAAGTTTGGCCATTAAGCAAAATGGTTAACAACAAGAGCATGTTGTACCATGCACCTGTTTTTAAAGCCATCTGAACACAACTCTTAATTGTATTGTCCAAGGTTAAGTTGGAGTTTGGTGAAGAGGATGATAATTAAGTACTACATGCCTCTTATAAGTAATCGCTCTATTGACTAAACCTCAATAAATATACATTATTTATTTACTAGTGATATCAATAGTTCTTTACATCTCAGCAGCCAAACTCCAGAAGAATATTAAAATATTTGAACTGCTTTGGTCCATTCTATTTCTCTGGAAAGTACAACTAAGCAATTTAATTCAGGCAGTAGATATAAAAAATTACATTTTTAAAGACAGGATACAGTTATCTGATAGGATTTGGAGACCTTCTATTGTTTAACATAAACATATCCCTTTTAAAAGCTACTTGTGAATGAATTAGGAATAACTTTCAACTAAGATCAAGCTATTCAAACTTAATTAGGATTTTAGATATATTTTTATGGCAAATTTAGTTACAAGCTGCTTCAATATGGTGCAAAGTGTCTTAGCTGGAAATGAGAAACCCTAATTGAATGCAGCCCATGTTACCTTCGTCTTGGATAATACACTTCTCTTTCCTGAGCCCCTATTTCCCTATCCATTAAATGGAGATAGTGACACTGCAACTACAAAATGAGAGCATATATGGAAGTTACTGATATATCTAATAATTTGTTGAGATTGTGAAGACAGAGATATGTACTTGATGCAGAATTAGATATCCAAAGCCCAAATTGTGACCCCACAGGGTAGGGAACTTATTTGTGATTAATAATATAGGTAAATGTCTTGTTTTGCTTTATTTTGTTTTTATAATGGTAACAATTAAGGAAACTGAATCAACTGGAGATGAAGCAGAAGCAGCAGCTGAGTTTAGGACAATGGTTCCCAAATGATTGATAGCAGGCATTAGAATCACTTGGCACATTGGTTAAAACCGGTTTCTAGGCCTCACCTTCAGAGTTCTGTTTCAGTAGCTCATGGGTGGGGTTCGAAAATCTGCATTTCTAACAAGATCCAGGTGGTGCAGATACTGCTGGTCTGGAGAACACTCTTTATGATCCACAGCTTTAGGGTAATGGAAAGGAGCAGTTGGAGCTGAAGAAGTCAGAGAAAAGCATCTTGTAAGCATCTAAATGGTCAGAAATGGAAAAGGAAGCTCAGAGAGATTCTTGAGAGGGCCCCAGGGAATGTCAATCCTATTTACAGGACAATATGTCCTAAGCAGACTTCACTTCAATGACCAGAGGATGACAGACCTCAGTTTGTAAACTAAGAGAATCTTGAGAAAGGTCAATTTTGGCCTGGAATTGAAAGAGAAATAAGTTTTTAAAAAGGAATTTCATTATTAGAATTATAAATAAAATCATGCAACAGTAAGAACTCACAAATAAGATCTTGTAAGTAGAGTCAGCAATTTTTACCACCAAGGAAGAGAAGCCAAAAGACTGGAGATGGGCAAATGAAGTTCTATTTTTTAAATTATCAATAATATTTTAAAATCTATTTATTGAGGTATAATTTACTTACACTAAAATGCATAAATCTTAAATATATACTTGGACAAGTTTTGAAAAGTGGATACACCTGTGTTATCACCCAACTCAAGATATGGAGCACTATTACCCCTGCAAATGTCCTCAAGCTTTACCGTTACTCCCCTCAACCTTGAGGCTACCATTCCTGGGATTTCTATCACCATAAAAAAGTTTTCTATGCTAGTGAATTTCATATACATGGAATCATATAATATATATTCCTTTGACATCTTTCACTTAACATGTCTCTGAGATTCATCCATGTTGATGATCAATAGGTTGTTCCTCTTTATTGTTGAGTGGTGTTCCATTGTATGAATATACCATAATTTGTTCATTCACTCACTTGTTGGTGAACATTTGGGCTGTTTCTAGTTTGGGGCTGTTATAAATAAAACTGCTATGACCATTCCTGTGCTACATGTAAATTATACTTTATTAAAGAAAACAACAAATACCAAGTATCTATTAAAACATCTTTGGACACTTTAAAAGAGCAAATAGTGATCAACAGAAGTAAAGCATATCACTAAGAAATCATTTCCTTTTTTGGCAAGGGAATTTCAAAGACAGACGACACCTGCTGTTATGAATTTTAAAGACCTCTTTTGTTGAATTCAGGTTAATTCCATTCTGCAAGACCACAGGGGGGAAACTATGAAATAGATATACTGAAACTCTACGATATACCAGGCTCTTTGCAATAGCTGGATGTTTATAAGGTGGCAAATTTGAATCAATTTGACAAAACTGGGAAGGGAGTATGTATTCCCTAACTTAAGGAGTTCAAGAAAAGGTAAGCCATGATTCTCAAACTCAGCTGCACTTTAGGCTGTAATTTAATTGGTTCAGGGTAGAGTCTTGGCATCAGTATTTTTTGAAAGCTCAAAGCTATATATAATGATCAGCCAGGTTTGAGAACCATGAAGCTAGATGACTATTTGTCTGAATGTAAATTAAATGAGAAATTAAAATTGAGAGGAAGACAAATGGAAATTTTAATTGATTGCATATTATATGCTAGACATGATGCTTGCTGTCTAACCTCTATATTATAACTATATTAATACTTGAAATCTCTTAGCACAGTGTCAGGCGCAAAGTAAGCTCTCAAATGTTTCTGTTGTTATCTTCTCTGTAACCTTATAATGCAGTCTCCAAATGCATCCTAAAACATTAGCTTATACTGCAAGTTTTATCATCCCTACATTATGGATAAGGAAACCAAGATTCAGAGTAGTTTATTTTGGGAAATGCAATACATGGTAATTGTAAAACCGGGATTTAATCCTAATTTAAAGCTAGTATGCCTTCTCTGCCCATCAGGTCATATCTAAGACATATAGGTGTTCACAAAAATTAGTAACTTACTTAAATGACCCTTTCCTTTTTAATTGAACCATTTCCTTTTACCTGTTCTCAAAGAAATTACCTTAAATACAAATCCTAAAAAAAGTGAAGCCAAAAAGTAGACATCCACATTTTTCCTAATGTGGCTTGATAGAAACTCTTCTATAGGTCTTGACAACCTCTGAGGTCAGAGAGAATGGATTAAGATGGCCCTTCAGAGCTCAAAGCACTTAACATGGAGAAAGTACTGCTTCCAAGTAAAACACCTCCCATAATAATAAATGCATAGAGAGCATACCTGTCACTTCTATATAGTCTAGGACTTTAATTATATAATAATGTTGAAGGAAAGGAAGTCAGTCCTGAGGGGGATGGTCAACTCCTCTCAGCCAGGCTGGTCCTCTCTGAGTTTGCTTGTGTGCAGTAGATGTTTTGAATGTGTGTATTTGCTGCAGAAAAAAAGGAAACATTCAAGGAACGGTACCCCCCTCAATGAGCCTGAGTTCCTCAAGGGCAAAGACAACCTTTACTATCCCATTCAATCCTTACTTATGCTAGTATTCAATAAACAACTACTGCAAGATTACAATTACAGACCACTAATTTTCAAAAAGTATGTTTTTTTGTTTTTTTTTTTTTTTGAGACGAAGTCTCTCTTGTCCCCAGGCTGGAGTGCCATGGCTCAATCTTGGCTCACTGCAGCCTCCACCTCTTGGGTTCAAGCGATTCTCCTGCCTCAGCCTCCCGAGTAGCTGGAATTACAGGCGCCTGCCACCACACCCAGCTAATTTTTGTAATTTTAGTAGAGACGGGGTTTCACCATGTTGGCCAGGCTGGTCTCGAACTCCTGACCTCAGGTGATCCAGCCGCCTCGGCCTCCCAAAGTGCTGGGATTTCAGGCGTGAGCCACCCTGCCCGGCTGCTTTTTCAAGTAGTACGCGTTCATTGAACTGACTTAATGCAGAGCTAGACTCAGATATTTTCCTTTTCTGTTGCTAGCCAACTGTTAAAATACGACTGAAAATATTTTCTGAACATCATGTACATTTGTAAACTAAAAATAGAGCATTTGGCCGGGCACAGTGGCTCACGCCTGTAATCCCAGCATTTTGGGAGGCCGAGGCAGGCACATCGCCTGAGGTCGGGAGTTTGAGACCAGCGTGACCAACATGGAGAAACCCCATCTCTCTACCAAAAACACAAAATTAGCCGGGCGTGGTGGCGCATGCCTATAATCCCAGCTACTGGGGAGGCTGAGGCAGGAGAATCGCTTGAACCCAGGAGGCAGAGGTTGCGGTGAGCGGAAGCTTGCCATGAGCCGAGATGGTGCCATTGCACTCCAGCCTGAGCAACAAGAGCAAAACTCTGTCTCAAAAAAAAAAAAAAGAGCATTTTACTTTAGAAAATATGCATATATTGGTCTTAAAAGTCACTAAAAATTAAACCAATATAACTGTGTCAATTTGGCATCAAAATCTACCCTGCCTATATCAAGAAAGTGTTGCACAGTACATTTTGCAAAATATTCAGTGCATCTTAAGTACTCAAGAACAGTTCATTAAAGAAATTTTACTCACCTTCTTTTTACCCATTGGCCTTGAATTTAAGCAAGATAACCCTTATCTTAGTCACAAGAAGCTTCAGGAGGAGAAAGTATTAACATGTTTAATTTTTACAGATATTTTATATGCTTTCAGATATTCCTCAGGAAGTCGAGACATGCTGTCCTATGTAATTTTAGATTTACTAGTAGCCACATTAAACAATGGCAAAATGAGGATAATTAATTTTTCAATATATTTTAACACAATGTCAAAAATATTTCAACATGCAATCAATATGAAAAAAATTGAGATATTTTAACATTTTTCTTTCCATACTGAGTCTTCAAAATCCAGTGTGAATTTTATATTTATAGATCTCAATTCAGACTAGCCACATTTCAAGTGCTCAATAGCCACTGGTGGCTAAAAGTTACTGTATTGGACAACACACATCTAGAGTCTAACCCCCTTCTATCTCCAGTATAATCACCTTAAAATGTACAAAGTATATAAAAGGTAACCCAAAATTAAGTAGTGCTCTGTTAAAATGCAAGTGAAAGATTTAATGTTGAAAGTGTTTAGACGTTTTCTAATGACTAAAAGGGGAAATAGTTATTTAGGAATGGCATTGCAAATCTTTTTGACATTTTCCCATTTGCTCATTAAATCTTTCTGAGAACTAGGTTATTTTGTTCTTTTTCCTCCATCTGAGTTTTGTCATTCAATATTTATCTGCTGACAACTATGCAAAACATTATGCTAGATGGGCTGGGTGCGGTGGCTCACGCCTGTAATCCCAGCACTTTGGGAGGCTGAGGTGGGCTGATCACGAGGTCAGGAGATGGAGACCATCCTGGCTAACATGGTGAAACCCCATCTCTACTAAAAATACAAAAAATTAGCCGGGCGTGGTAGCACGTGCCTGTAGTCCCAGCTACTCGGGAGGCTGATGCTGGAGAACTGCTTGAAACCGGGAGGCGGAAGTTGCAGTGAGCCGAGATCGCGCCACTTGCGCTCCAGCCTGGGCAAGAGTGGGACTCTATCTCAAAAAAAAAAAAAAAAAATGCTAGATGCAATGAACCATGTAAAATGCACTGCATCTCCACTTTCACAAAGTTTCCAAACTACTGAGAGGAAAAGAGTGAACATGGGAAAAACATGAAAATATAATCTCTGTATTTTATTTTACTGTATCACTCTGTTAATTCTTTGTTTGCTTATCAGTCCTTCCCCAGTTCCCCAAAGAAGGGAATGGACTTTATCTTCTTACTCTTTTTCTCTATTTGTGGAATTCACTGTAATGAATAATTATGTTAATTTTCTAGAACAGAGGTCCCTCCAAAGTACACTAAGTGCATAAAGAAACATTTATCTCCTCTATGGGGAACAGAAAGACTTTGGCAGAGGAATTACCAAGGGCAGGCCTTGAAGGATTTGACAGAAGAGAACAGTGAGGAAGTTTAAAGAAAAAAAGGAAGTTTTTACAGATGAGAAAGTATGAAAATAGAGGAGTACATCACATATGATAGGTACTCCCTGCATACAAGTTAATAAAAAGAAGAGCCTGAATAACCTGAGAATATAATTTATGGAGACAGAAATGGAGGATTTGAGCAACTGAAGGGGAGGTTGTGCTGCATAAACTACATGGAAAAAAGTGATTGAGTAAGCAGTTGCAACTGCTAACGTTTTAAGGCAAACTACCTTGGAAGGTACCAAACATACCGTGCCCTGCTTTCTTCTCTTTGGGATAATGTCTATTGTGTCCATTTAAGGACTTTAATGATTCTGTAATTTTTAGTTAACATCAATTTAAGGACTTTAATGATTTTAATCCATTAAGAACTTTAATGATTTTAATCCATTAAGAACTTTAATGGATTAAAGGACTTTAATGATTCCATAATTTTTAATTAATATGAACAACTTCATTCAAGCATTACATTTATGGGTAAGGTGAAAAATAAGAAATCTAGCAGAACAACATGCTTTTATTTTACCATCATGCATAAAAAGGAAGACAAATATGCCAATGGTACACTTCCAATTTGTCAGAGCAATTTCACAGTATTTAAGCAATTTAGGAAAAAAGATATATCACTTACTAAGTTGTTACCAGGGAAAATTATCATGTAAGACAATCAATTAAACCATACTTTTGTAGATTATTTTTCCATGAAGGCAATTTGACAAGCCTAACAAAGACCAAGTTGTTCAAACTATGTTTCTAGGAATATAGTTTAACAGAAACAAGAACAAGTTGAAAACTGTTATGACTATTCATATGTCTCTATATTGTACAGGCAAGTAAGACTGTTGTTCTTCCAAATGTTCCCAATTGAAATCAAAAGAATATCTGTACAGCTCAATTTTCACAATAAGTTTAGAATCAGAAAAAAAAATTTTACTAAATCCTAATGAAATAACAATCTTCCACATAAATTAGGTCACAAAACAAGTAAGAAAGCATTCAAAGTTGCGCTGTCTTTCTTTAAAGAACCCTTGTCTAGGCAACATATTTAACACTTTAACCCCTTCAATTCTCCCTGAAAAGTATTTTTCCATTCATCATCATTGGGGAGTAAGTACTCCTTCCTCGAAAGCTCTTAACGACAGCACAGTCTTCACTCTAGGCCCAATTTTTACCTGGCCCATGCCTCTAGCCTTTTGTTCAGTTTCTCCTGCTTAGGGCACCTTTCATCCC
The DNA here is from genome assembly GCF_000001405.40 of Homo sapiens. Taxonomy (NCBI): domain Eukaryota; kingdom Metazoa; phylum Chordata; class Mammalia; order Primates; family Hominidae; genus Homo; species Homo sapiens. The sequence continues at coordinate 116,277,457 of NC_000006.12, forward strand.
ATCTAGATGTGTCTCTCTTTAACTATTCTAGGAGTTGATAAAAGGGCTAGGAAGTAGGAAGTTGGGAAGAAGGGGAGGGGCGTAAGAGCTCTAGCACTCTATTTTACAGGCCAACTTCTTTGCCTCTGAAAATGACAGAGCCAAAATGAAATAAAAACCTTGCTTTTACAAATGTTTCTGAGCTATCACTTTTTTAAGAGAGGATTGGGAGGCTAAGGAGGGCGGATCACGAGATCGGGGTTCGAGACCAGCCTGGCCAGCATGGTGAAACCCCGTCTCTACTAAAAATATAAAAATTAGCCGGGCGTGGCGGCGCGCGCCTGTAGTCCCAGCTACTCGGGAGGCTGAGGCAGGAGAATCGCTTGAACCCGGGAGGTGGAGGTTGCAGTGAGCCGAGATCGCGCCACTGCACTCCAACCTGGGCGACAGAGCAAGACTCCGTCCTCCGTCTCAAAAAAAAAAAAAAAAAAAAAAAAAAGGAAAACAGGGAGAGAGAGGGACCTTGGCAGGAGCCAATGTAGGGCAGGTAGCAATAGAAAGTGACTAGAGGTGAAGGAAGAGCAATGAAGTACCATAAATCACACAGAACAAGTGGCTCACTGCTTTTCTCCTCTGAGTTCATTAACGTCCAGTAACTGTCCACAGGGCATGTGCCCATACTGCTCAATGCAGAGCTGAGTAGGTGGAACAGGCTCCCAAAGCTAGAAATCCAAGTGACAGCAACCAGTTCAGAGGCCCTGGGAATAAACAGGGTCCAAGCAGTGCAGATAAAGGCAGTACAATCTACAGTATCATTTGCTTGGCTTACAAGTAGTGTGAAGGATGACCTCGTAGCATGTGATATTCCAGAACAGCATGAAGGTCATATGGAAGTGGAGAAGCATACCCACCACCGTCTCAATCTTGAGGTTGAGAGAACTGAATATCCAAAGGAAACAGGGTGCAGAAAAGTCAGCAAAAACAAAGCACAATAGAAGGCATACTCATTGCTGATGCCCAAGCACAGGTCCAGCAGAAGGTGGTAGGAGACCTTGTGCAGGAGTATTCCCAAGGGCAAATGTTAACCAGACTGGAACCCAAAGGGCCTGGGGATCTCTACAGGCTCCCTTAGCGGGCGACGTCGGGCTCTACGGACTCCTTCACGCAACAGGTAGTATTGCAGTGGATTTGGCCACAGATCCTCTTTAATAATCTCAGCAATTTTGTCGGACTCTGGAAGGCTGTGGTCTGAAAACCAAGTGAAGAAGCTGCAGATGAGGTCTTGGTTTCTGCGAATGAAGGACTGGGGTTCATGCCCCCTGCGCCATATAATTGGAGTAGAAAGAGACACCACTCGGCCGGAGGATCTTACCTCATATTCCTTGACAATCAGCTTGTTTCTGAAGTAGGGGTTTCTTCTAAAGAAGAACTTGAACTTGCAACCGGTTCTAGGGTGTCTGAGTTCCTTCACCTCTAAATTGGTTATGTACCTTAACATCTCTGCATCTTGGCCCCTAATCATGGCGGACAACTGGGGGTGGTTTCGAAAAGCAGTCATCCAGAAGCCCGGGATATTCTGAATGATGTAGTTCCTCCGCTCCAGGTAGTGTCGACGCATCCGCCCAAACTTGTGCTCCAGCTGTTGGAAGGCCCTGTCGGCCTGAGCATTCACAGTGTCCAGTTCCAGCTGGATGGCCTCCAGAGGGTCCATGCGGAGAGCCTCATGCAAAGGCCAGGGCCCTTCTTCCTCCCTCGCCTCCTCCTCCAATCTATCCTCCTCCGCCACTTCTATTTCTTCACCTTCTGGCGGCTGCTCCTCTACCTCCATCTGCTCCTCCATTACCTCCTTCTCCGCCAGGCCTTCCTTCACCACCTCAGCGCTCTCCCTCTCAGCCACGGCTGCTGAGACGGTGGCGCACTTTCCTGTCTTCACCTCCTCCGCCTCAGCCTCCGCCCCCGCCGTCAGCTCAGACGCGGATCTCTGGGCGCCACAGATTTCTAGGGCCTTCTCTCCACCCTGAACGCCCTTTTTCAGGCTGCGGTCGGCTGCCATCACCACAGAAGCGGCTGCCAGGCCTTCGGCGGGAGGCTGGCCCTCTTCCTGCCCGGCTTTGATCGCCACATGACCGCGACCCCCAACAACTCGGATCTGGGGAGTACCGCCACGGCCCGCGGCATCCTGGGGTACGCCCCCCTCCTCTGAAGGCGGTGGAGGCGGGAGCGCGACGGTCTCCGAGCCTCCCTCACCCGGCTCCGCCATCACCTGTGTCGCCTCGCTTTGGTCGCGGAGCCTCAGGTACTGGTGTGCGTCCTGGTCGCTCGGGACTTGGTCAGAAATAATGATGCTGTGGGTTTGGAGGGGAGTGGTCCTCTTGACCCCATCCAGGCCGCTCATGTTGCTAACAGTCGGACCAACCGCAGGCGAACGCCCGTTTTCCTCAGAGGCCGAACTGGGAGCTAACCGCCGCTCGCACCGCCCACCCTACAGTCTCACTAACATTTCAGCGGCGGTGTCGTCAGGACTGGAGATCTCACGGTATCGCGAGAACTTGCTGAGCCCGGGATTGGTTCCGCCGCTCCCTGCCAGCCAACCGGATTCTCTGGGCTTTATTTCTGTGAATTTACCCATAGCAACAGTAATTTTACCTACGTAAATAAATGTCGATTGTGCTGAGTCTGGAAGCGCGGACGACCCACCTTGAGATGCATCTAGCGACTGCTCCCAGCATGTAGGAGCAGTTGTAAAATCACAGCCGTAACAGTGCCTGCTCTCCAGTGTCTGAAAACAAATGTTTTTCTGGTCTTCACTTTTTTGAGGCAGGAAGGTAAATCTATTCCCTGTTACTCCACGTAACTAGCAGCAAAAGACTTCTCTTTAAGATTAATAGCAAAATGTTTCCCCCCTTCTTAGTAAAAGTGACATAAAAATATCAATTCTTGCCTCTACGGTTACTGGGGAAAAAAAGCTACTCAGCAGCCTCTTACCACTAAAGCGATGCATAGTATTCATTGCTAATTTTCGATTTATAATCTGCATCAAATAAGAGTTTGTGCTGCATAGTATCGGTAGAAATTAAGCCAGGATCAGTTTGCTAAATGTTCCATGCCTTTTCACTGCAAGAAAGAGGAAATTATAACTATTTCCAGCCCCAAGAACTTAATTTATTATCATATTTAGTTATGTAAGATAGGAATGTTTGGCTCTAACGAAGCATCTGTCTTTAGCAATCAGCTGAGTTCATTAGAGGGGGATGTCAATGTCTCTGGTTGAAGTGTTCCAGTTTGTTGACTTGTGAGTTAAACTGGTGCTGTCTTAGAGAGCTACAAGGCCTCAGAGAAATATCAGTGGGGGGAGCCACATACCACCATTTTGTGAGGAAAGGCTAGTTAAAATGGACAACTAAGATGGCCTTGAAGTAGAAAACAAACTTGCAAAGGGCAACATGCAGCTGGTGGACTCAAGGTATAAAAGAGGCAAACGTTATTTTCTACTTAATTTGCTTTGTGTGGTAGTAGCCTGATGGCCCTCAAAGATGTACCTGTCTTAGTTATGCGGCCAAAGGGACTTCGCAGATATGATTAAGTTAAAGATTTGGAGATGAGAAGATGATTCTGGATTATACAGGTGGGCCCTATGGAATTACAAATTTCTTATAAGAAGGAGGCAGGAGGGTCAGTCAGAGAAGATAAGAGGACGAAAGCACAGAGAGAGGGAAGGAATGGTGGAGAATAGGTGTGGGAGGGAGGAAAGGGAAATCGCTATGTTGCTGGCTTTGAAGATGGAGGAAGGAGCCAGGATCGTAGGAATAAAGGCAGCCTCTAGAAGCTTGAAAGGTAAGGAAATAGATTCAATCCTAGAGCCTCCAAAGGAATGACAACACCTTGAGGTTATTACCTCTAAACTCCAGCACTATAAGAAAATAAATTTGTGCATTTTAAGCTATTAAATTTGTGGTAATTTGTTACAGAAGCAATATGAAATGAATACACCTTGGATTAAGGTTTGGTTGCATCTATGGGTGCCTCAAGTTGTTTCTAATAGCAGCCCCTTCTACCTTGCTCATGGCTTCCCGTGAGTTCCTGCCCAACAGCTGTGATGTATTACAGCTTGAATCTGTCTTTCAATATCAAGACCAGAAATATACTTAGGCAAATGCACAGAAAGACAAAATTAAAGCCTAAACATACCACAAACGATATCTGAGGAGACTGTAAACTGCAAGAGGACATGATCATGGTTTCGTTTCCCTCTGTTTATCGAGTGCCTAGCACACTACCTTACACAGTATCCCATAGATTATTAAAATGTTAAATAAAGGAGCAAATGAGCAGAAAACAGTTTCTCTTGCTTGCAACTTGCTCCTTGCGGAAGAGAAGTAAGGGGCATATGGGTTGTCACTCTGCTCTCCTTCCTATCTGCCACTGGCAAACCAGAGGGCTGCTCTATTCTATATAGTAACAGTTTCCTACTCAGGAGAATGAATTTCTATATATGTTTCAAAGGCTCTAAAAGGATAGGAAAAACACAGAGAAAACAATTTTATTTTACAAATAATTTAAGTTTGTGTGGTCACACTGTATGACAAACGAACTCTGAAAAGACCAGCATATTTAGGTGAGTTTACATATCAAAGCCTCGGACTACCAGCACTGTATTTCCAATTCTCTCCTTTCTGAAAAAGTCAAGGTAATCATTTCAGGCTTTACTTCGTTTCTGTCTACAGAAATATATAATGCATTTCTCTCTACAAGTGATGGAGCCTGTGATGCATGGCTGGAATTACTTTTGGTGTAAATAAAAAGGAATATTGGAACTTTCCACAAAGACTGTTTCTAATTGCCATGAAATCATCTTCTATTTTGAACTGGTATAATTTCATTCGGCCTAAAGTGGAAACTTCTATTATTCCAATATGTCTCCTATTTTTTTTTAAGCAGAAAGGAGTGTCAGGCTTGGACCAATCTTAGAATATATGGCTTTATTTGTCAAAGAAGCCATTATGTAATTAATGTAATTAACACTCTTACCAGTAATGCTAGGAAAACTCTAATTAGGATCATGTAAGTATAATCAGGACTCTGCTGAATGTAATTTCCCCCAAATAACGTTGAGACTCTTTAAAGGAACTCTTCCTTCTCTTCTTGTCGAACATGTATAAAGCTGTGATAAGGAATATTTGAATATATAGAGAACGTGATTTAAAATTAGAAGTAATGTATCTCATGTTCTCTGTGTATTAGAAGAAAATTACATTAGAGAAGTGATTGTGATTATAACTATTCCTTGTAGGTGATGGAAAGCTCAGGTTATGATTGCTTTCGGACAAGTGCTCAGGAGAAGGGTCAGTAAAGGGCAAGGATTTTAGAGGGAAAAGCAAATATGCATACTTTATGTCCTATTTTTTTTTAAAGAAAGAATCTTTGCTTGGAAGGAGGAACTCTCTAGGAATGTCAACATGCACCAAGGCTCACGTGC